>NC_000005.10:116473443-116776473 GCF_000001405.40 Homo sapiens
CACACTTACAAAGAAAACACTTATTCTTTACATTCTCTTTTTACTTCATCCTCACAACCATGCTGTGAGAAACTGTCCAGTGTTACAGTGTTCTGAAATCATCAGGGGTTTTAGTTTGGAAGTTAAAACAAAAAACAAACCCTTACACATATTAGGCAACATATCTGGGTGTGTGCTGTGTGTTGGGGTCAGATCTCTGGTTCACTCAGCCTCTAACACTGGCTCTTTGTGATTTCCTCATTTCCCTTTAAAATCCTGTTAATTTTGTACCAGTTATAATGATTGTACCAGTTAGAGAAATCCTCCCTGAATACCTATGTGGGGATAGGTCTGTCTAATAGAGGTAGTTCATGCTTCAGCAGGAACACGGGGAGAGGAGAAGCCATGAGCAAAGGCAGGCAGGCAGAGGGGCAGCCTTACCTCCTGCCCCGAGCAAGCACCCTTGGCAAGTGCCTCCGCAAGAGTGGGGTTAAAGGTCAAAGGCACACTACAAAGCACGAAGGCAGATCCAGGGGCTTGCTTGACCACTAAGATTACTCTGGAAATAAAGAGTAAAGCACAGGGTTGGGACCTGAGAGCGTCCCCTATGCTACATACAGAGGCTTCCTTAGGTTCTTCTGCCTGAGAACACAGATAAGGGTGTGAGCCTACTGGTATAGTGGACATTTTATAGACACAGTACCAACCATCTTTACATGTTTCACGTATTTTCTGATTTGATCCAAATCTACACCCCTATTTTTCTACAGACACCACTATTGCAAGTAATATAAATATGATGAAAATAGCTCATTAACATCAGCTAACTAAGCTGTTAATAAAGCGTGCACGCATGCACACACACACACACACACACACACACACACATCTTAAAACCTGTTTCCTTGCAAATAAAGCTATAATGCACCAAGATGATTAAGGTCCACTGATCAAACATCAAACTATTTCCCTGATACGGATGAACGCACACACGTAACATACATCTTTTAGTGATGACACTTCTCCTATGCTTATTTATTAACTCATCAATTTTGTGTGTAAGACATAATAAGAATTTTTGCCAATATATAATATTTGTAAATGAAAAATATGTATATGGCAAAGATTTGGAGATAAGTCTGCCTTTAGCCCTCTTTATTTGATTATAACTAATCTCTAAAAAAGATAAGGTAGAAAGTTGAATGACACTTTAGAGTCTGAAATTTCAGTACTTATGACTGAAAGATTTAGAGTTATGTCCGTGACTTCCGTTATAGAATCAAATATCAGGATAATATAGCTTCATTCCCTTAGAAGCTATTATTTGGTGCCATTTTGAATGCAAGCTTCTTGAAATTCAGCATATATAACATTCGAAACAGCACAAACTAAACATATTTTCCAAGAGTATGGTATTATTCTTTAAATTAGCATTAATAAAGCATTTTCAGGAGAATATTGATATTAATCGGGTCACATGACAACTGGGCAGAAATTTGAGCCAGATCCTTTACGTAAAGTTCTAACTAAAATGTTACCATTTAATAACTATCTCTGAGATTTACATAGTAGGCCAATTCCTATAAAAAGATTATTTTGAATTGCCTTGTACTTGTGGGTTATTTCTGAAATTTTTTTTCCTATTACATATGGTAATAGACACAAATCTAATTTAAAAACATAATTGCTTTTGTTAGTCGATATGTTCAAGAATAAAACAGGCCCACTCAATTAAAAAGCTAGAGTACAATGATCAATCTTATTATTATTTGGCGGAAAATGACAGTATAAAAGCATGTTTTTAAAAACAGCAAAACTGTCATTTTGTAATGGAAATGCTGATTTAACTTACTGCTTTGCTACAATTAATATCCTCTAGGGTGAATTTTTTCCCCTGCATTAGAATTAATGAAATAGGTGCCAGCATTTATAGTGACAACATTGACAACACTGGCTTTAGAACGCACTGCTTTCTTTGTTTGGTATTTAGAAGATGATTTCCGTCATTTACGCATGCTTTAGTGTCAGCTGCACTCAGTTCCACATGTGAGCTGATGTTTCTAGGCCATTCACTGAAAGCATCTTTGCCCAAAGATAAAAATGGATAAAAGACTGTACTTACTGTGACAGTCCCCCAGACCATCTGTATTGCCACGCTCTATGTCCTGCTCAAAAGTCAGTCTTTTAAAAAAGGAAGGGAAAGAGAGACAGAAATGAATACAATAACGTGAGTCTTCAGAAATGAGTCAAGCTTCACTAAAGACAGTAACACAGTTTGATAAATTGAGTGGCAGGTGCAAAAAAGAAATACATAACAGCTTTAAAATTTATCTCTGAAGTTTATAGAAACGAGTCTTAGGTGACTCTCCAAAGAGAAGCCATGGTTTAAGCAGTGAATTCAGATATTATTCAGGGAGATAATTAGCTTGCAGATTATTTACATCCTTCTTTACTCTAATTCTCTGAGCATTTCTTAAACATTTAAGAAGTTTAGATGTTAAAATACACGCCTCATAGAAACAATATGGAAGTCTATAAATTAAAAAGAAAAATCTTTTTTTCTCTATTCTCTTTTTCACTCCTACCCTTGCCTTCCTAGGCAAGGTTTTTTGCCTAGACATTTATCTAGCCAAAAACTTGGACGATAAAGTGTTCAAAGGTCCAAGTGAGGGGACAGGAGCCGGTGGTGCATTTTGTGGAGACTGCTTGGTTATTTGTTCACTCCCAGCCCTGCCCCAGTCCTTGGGAGTATTACTCTCATTCTCTTTGACATGCTCATGTTTCTTCCAAGTCTACTAGGTCACCATTGGGCTGTACAAGCAACATGACATTAACAAAACCAATTTTAATAAAAGCTATTTTGATTTTTAAAATAAGCACACCAGAGTCACCTTCCTTTGGGGGCACTTTGTACATATTCCCATAATATAATTGAAACTCTTATTTTGCAACTGCTTTCAGAGTTTATTTATGAGCCGTATAGGAAAACTATTTTGAAAGTCACAGCTTGATCTAATAATCCACCGTGTTTGGTTTCTAATCTTTTTTGCCACATTAAAAATCAAATCCCTCAAAAGATGAAGATTTCTAGTGGTAATGACAGCCAATATTCATCATGCCCTGGAGCCCACTCTCCAAAGGGAACGCCCCATGTTTTAAGCAATGCCAGCATCATTGAAATATGAATGCAAACCTTAAGGAAACTATTTTGGGGTTCTTATATTGACTTAACAATAATTTTTTAAAATTCAGTCTTATAGCCTTCGGTCACATGTTGAACATAGAAAGGACATAGGTCATCTCATAGCTCCCCTCACCATGCTTTGTGATCCTTTCTCCTCCACCTTGAGGGTTCCCATGCAAAGGTACAGAGCTCTAAGATTATAGCATGTCAATAATGCTACTTGCAAAGCTGTTCTAATAATATACAGAGACTCAACCTTTTGCATTAGTCAAATTTCTAGGTCAGATTTTATAGTTATCATCAGCTCTGTTTACGAGAGTACTTGTCCTCAAATTATGCAGGTAGTGGTCATCAGATATGCCCTTGATCTGTTTGTTTAGCTATTCTGAAATAGGAAGGGAGGCTCACAGTGATTTAAAGATGGTTCTGTTCCCCCTTTGGATCTGAGGAGGTTGAAGAAATGGCTGTGTTGAAGAAAGATCTGTGCTGTCTAACCTCCTAAACTGCCTGCCACAACCCATCAAAGATAAACATTGAATACTTCTGCAAATTTATTTTGGATTTCACATCCACTGAAGTAAAAGCATAAAAAGAAACCTCTTAGCTAATGCCATCTAAGCATTTAAAGCCAGGGTAACAATTTTAAACACCAAAATCATAGGCATGGTGGACTGGCCTCATCTAGCTGATCTGTTGGAGAACTGCCAAGAATTGATTGACGGCCTGATGAGTAATAGGGTCAACTGTTCTTCAGCGCAGGAAAAGGTTTATTGGATGTATACACCATGCTTGCAGTACAATTACATTGCTTAACAAATGTTCTGCAATTTCTTCTCAGCCCTGCACAGTCAATTACAAAAGCCGGTTTTGCTATGGCTGGACAAACCACTCACTAATCTAATTGGTATCCTATTGCTCCTTTTCTCTGCTTTTCTCCCACCATGATGATCAAGGCAGGCACCTTCTTGTCTCTCTCTCCAGGGAATACATTGAAGCCCACTGTGTTTCCATTCTGTGTTTTTAATCAGTCCGAGGATGATTAATCAATTGGAAATCTGCCACATGTGATGTGGTGAGGCTCTATGAAATGGGAAAGGGTAGGAGAAAGGCTGACAGTCCCGTTGCTGGAGTTTGCACAGAAAGCTGTGTGGTGGTGTGTGTGAGCAGAGCAAATCTTACATCTAGAATACACCTTGGCTGGAAGCCACTTCACCCTCTCCCACACCTCAGGCTGCCTACCTGCTGTTGGGTGATAAATGGCTGCAGGCACCACCTTCCTTTATCCATCCACAATATGGGTCTCTGGAGGCAATACAGGTTCTGCAGGAAGAGGATGACCATGAGCTACCTAGGACTGTTTCCTAGCCACCATGGACTTTCTAATTGTCAATGAGGCAAAATACATACTTTTTACACTTCCCATGTCGTTCACACCGGCCAAGGGGAACCTTTATCACACAGGTAGAGAACGCAACATACAGAGAGCTGCTTGCTCTGTCCAGCTGCATGCCCATGATCCTTTTGTCTTCGACTCCATCATAGCTGCATCTAATTTCATCAGGCAAGATAATATCATTAATAGACTCTTCTCTTTTTCTCGGCCCCACCCTCACATCCCACTTCCCAGCCCACAAGGCAATCTCTTAATCTAACTGGCGGTGAAACAAACAAACCCTTCTGCTCTTGCACACACGTAAACACACACATGTATATGTATCTATATAAACACACACACATATATGTATCTATATAAACACACACACACACATTGGCAAGGAGAAAATAATGCTTTTTAGGTGTTAAATTTTTACAAACAGCACTAAAAAGTCATCTAAAAATGCATAAAACCTCAGTCGGTCATGATTTTCTCTGAATGAAAGGGGCCATAATAGCATAACAAATAATTACTAAGAAAGAACCAAATATTCCACTTACTTTTCAGAGTTGTAAACACTCATCTCCTCCAGGAAAAGGCTGTCATTTAGAAAACCACTATTTCCTATTCTGGCCAAAAACTTCAAGATGATTCCCTTCTCTGATCCCAGAAAAACCACAGTGTGATTCTGATATGGCCCAGCAGCTGTGTCCACTGCAATTTTGGTAAGGCGGTATCTAAAATGACAGGACCACATTTCTTATCTCTTTGTTGGTCTATCATTAAAGTGTTCCCTGTTCCACTTCAAACAGCTGCGACATAGCCTTCTAGTAATAACCTCAAGAAAAATATATGCATATAAATAATGTTCTCAAGTGGTTCTGGCCCTTTATTTCCATTTGCAGAGCACTAGTGTGGCTCCAAAGGGGAGGAAGGAGGTGTGAGAGAGTGTGTGTGTGTGTGTGTGTGTGTGTGTGTGTGTTTGCAGGCCAAGTACTATAATAGCCAAAACCACCTGAAACCACTTAGCAATAATCCCCTTCATGAACAAGGAAAAGACTAATGTCTCCTATGAGGAGGGTAAGAAGTAATAAGAAATTCATTTAACCTTTAATTTAACATTGAAAAGCAATGACTGCGATTTCTCCATACTCTTCCTCTGAGATACAAGGCCTTCATCAACAAAATGTTTGATTGGAAAGCTTTCTGAAGGATGAGGAGGTAGGGTGCTAATGGCACTACTAAAAACTGTAAGGACCTGCAAGCCAAACAATATCCATTTAAAGCTAAAGGTGAAGGGCATACCTGGGATAAGTCCTACTAGCAATTTGCTTTCTCTGAAATCCCTTGGACATTTGACACTCCATGGGGACCTAGTTGTCCTAAGCACCATAGCTGGAACCAGAAAACATAGACCCTCCTGCAAGTTATATACCATGGTTTCCATTTTGTGTGCCAGAGCTATTACAGTGCTTTAATATGTTTTAATAAAGTCATAGTATAAAAATAGTGGTAAAGTTAATTAACATTTTGTTTGATGGCTACCACAGTGGGATGGTACTTGGGAAAGCCTGTTGAACTGCTTGGAAATAAGCTCTGAATAAATACAAGGAAGAGTTTTTTAATACTACCACAGATCTCTAATTGGCTGTCCCTTCGCTGTTGGCCACCAGTTCAGAAAAAGAATATTAAACTATGAATCCTTCACACCAGCAAATGTGGTATCTGTGCTCTGTGTGACAGCAAACAATCCATGAGCCATGCTCAGGTGGAATCTGCTGCAAGTTTTGTAATCATTTCCAACCAATCAGGTATCCACATCCATTCACTGGTTCTCCTTCACTGCTCCTCTATTTTTGCACAGATTGGATCAATGGGCTAATCCAGAAGGAAAGGTATTTCCTTCCTCTAATTGCTGGCATGTGTCCAACTAGCCTGAAAATATTGGAACTCTTCTCCCTGGGAATGTGTGTATAGGGGTTTAGTGGTATCCAACCAATCGGCCACCATTTCACAGCTGAATGAATGCCCAGGATAGCAGAAGATGTTTGTGGCATTTCAAAGCATGATCCACTGATTGGTTCTCCGACATGAGATGAAGTTAGGAAATCCATCAGGACACGGTTTGTTTGACACCCACCTGACCATTGTTCTCAGGAACCATGGCCTGTTGAAGATGGAGGGCACTGCCTCATCCATGAGCGGGTGCGTCTTGATGAAGTTCAGGGTATCATCAGGGAACTCATTGGAGGTTGCATATCTTTCTAAGGAGGATGAGCCAGCACAGCAACCTGGCCTAAAATGAAACAAAGGGTGAGGAAGGAGGGAGCTTATTTTCTGCCTTATGGCAAATTCTTTGAATGAACTGCTTCTCTAAGCATCTGGAATGGAGGAGAATGTACTGCAGCCTGAGAGGAGGAAGTTGAACAATGCAGAATGCCACCAAGCACAATATGCTGAGATTTCCTCTGAGCCGCCTCCTCATTTCTGAGGAGCCTCAGCCAGCACAGTTCAGCCTCAGCTGGGGGCAGGCTGGCTTCCTCCCAGAAGCACAAACAAACCTCAGTAAACAGTGATGGAGCTTGAAACAAGTGAGTGAGTGTGGTTTGCACATATCTCGGGGATGGTTTTACTTATCCAAAAAGGCTGCTAGAGATTCCTCATGCATTTACTCTACAGAGGGAAAGAATTAGGTTGACGTTTTCGCAAGTGTAGAAAGAAAAGACTCTCCAAAACTCACCAGGGTATGTGCCAGCAAGACTCCGTGTAATCATGTTTCATTACCTGGGGCTCGCTCAGAGAACATTTTGGTTTTGTTTCTTATTGTTGTTTTTATTTTTGTTTGATTTTGGCAGGTATGAAAAGCCAATTATATCAGATTCTTTCCTGAAAGGTCATTTCTTGTCATTGAATGACGACCATAAAAATTTGCTTCTACAAGAAATTCTATGGTTTCAGGAGTCAAGGGTCATCCCAGCAAAGTCAGATTAGGGAAACACTGAAACCCATCTTGTCCAGACACCTGGTTTGCCTGGGTGGTGCAGAAGAGGAGATTGGACCCTCACGACACCAGCATGAACCACTCCTATGTCCACACTGTCTCAAGGCACTAACCCAGCCAGCCCCGTAGAGCATCCTGACTGCTGCAAGAGGGACGAGGCAGGCATGTGGAAGGATGTTTAATTAAACTCACTGCCATTAGTAGAAAATCACTTAAAGTATGTGTGCTGGTATTGGTTGAGTGACACCATCTTTACATACCAAGGAGAGGGTATTACATAAGAACTTACTGAAACCTGATCCCTCAGGCTGAACTCCCCTTCCTGCTAGAAGGAACTATCTAGAACTATCTAGAAGGTAGTTAACAATCCCAGGCAATGACTTAAGACTATCTGTCTGAGGTTGCTGGGGTGTGCTTTTCACACCTAGTCTGCTCTCCATAAGTAACAGAATATCAACATGCCAGATAATTCAGGTAATGAAGATGGATGAGTTTCTCCTCTGGGTTTAAGTGGTTCGTATTATCTAAGTTAGTTCATGTAAGTGTACTTGGCTAGGTATGTTGTGGGGAGGACTGGAGGTTGCGGAAGAGAGTTGAAAAACAAAAAAATTAGTAAGACATTGGGCTTCCTTCCAGAGGCACACAACTCCTGGGGAAGACAGACACCATGGGTTGTTTCTATGAAACTTGGAGTGCAAATGCTGCAATGGAGGTGTGAGTGCGTGCCACAGAAGAGAGGCACGCAAAGGGCTTAGCGGGGACTTCCCTCCTGTCCCAGTTAGGATGAATTAGCCTGTTTGGGAAGAGACTACATAGGACTGAGAGGTCTCTGGGTTGCCTCTGGACCATAGTATCCCATGAAAAGAATTCTAAGCCATGATTTGGGGAGGAGGACACTGCACTGTATTTGGACCCAAAACAGACCAAAACCTGGCAGACCAGAGACATCTTAATGGTCCACTGTACCCGCTGGATTCTTCTCACCCTCGGTCTAGAGTCCTAGACTGAGCTCTGATCCAGCTTGGTCACAAATCCGGAAAACACTATTTATATTTCATATTTTATTTGGGTTTAAAGACATGGGTCTCTATAAAATTGAAAGGAAGCATAAAGAAGCAGCGGAAATCACCACCCCCAACCCCCGCTATTGAACTTGTACAATACCCTTTACCTCTCCAGGCCTCAGTTTTCCCAACTATAAGCCAGTGACACCTCAGATGGTTTCCACCATTGTAGTGTTACGTTGGATAAATAACATATATGGAGGTTAAGCAGAAGACTAGAGGAACATTGGTTTGAGTATATGAGAAGGTAACTTTGGGTTTTGGTTAATGAGATGAAGGCAATCTGCTTGGCTGGCATGGAAGGCACTGGTGCGCAGTTCATAGGATGTTCATTATCAGAGGTGCAAGCTTTGCCATTTCTAAAGTTTAAAATAGCCATATGAATATTTGCACATACCTGGGCTTAGGAACTCGTTCATCAGGAACTGGTGTCCAGGTGGAATCAGGAGACTTCTGTTCCTTGAATCTCCCAGTAAAAACACTGGCAATGTCAAGCATGTCATAGGCACAGACTGCAGACCCAGGGATGCTACAACATGATATTTCACATCAAGTGTTACTCATGCAATGGTTATGCATGTGGTTTGGAACATACTCCAGAGAAACTTTCCTGGTACAGCAAATGAAATTTAAAGTTCATACCTTGGACACTATAAATATAAGGGATCTTAGTACACAAAGAAAATATTTCTCTCAATCAAATTTGCATCAGTTGCCTTAAAGAATGGGGTAGTTATAGGAAGCTCACAGAGAGGAAAAAAACTCTTCATGTCTACATTGCTTCTTGAACTGATTTTATTTATAAAAGAAGAATTGTTGAGCTAGTGATAGAAGTTTCATGAATTCCCTGGTACTAATTATCAGTTAATGACCTCTCTGAAGTCTCTGGAGAGCGTTCTGTGTCACTAATATTGGTGAAAATTTGAAACAAAAATGCTCTCCCATTGTCCACATATTGCTTCTTTGAATTTGGTTTTTCGAGCCAAGAACTTAGGGTGTGAGAATATGTTTGTGGGGAAACCCACACAAATTTTATGTTAGTCTCTGTACATTTAAATTTTTACCTTCCTGATTACTTACGTAAGACTAAACAATTTAAGTTTCTAAAATGCCATCACTTTGCAAATAAAGTACTTTATAAAGTGATAAATAACAATAATGGCCATCAGCTCCACCTATAATTATATCCTTGCCTGGCACCCCTGGAAGGACTTAGGCTTCTTTTTTTAATCAATGATGGGAAGGAATGAATTATTCATTCATCTGGGTGCACAGTTTACATTTGGACCCACATTTGTTTTTGACTAGAGTTGCTCCTTGATTTTGATCAAATAAATTACAGGCACCAGCTGGCCAAGAGTTTTAATCAGGCTTTGAGATAGTGGGTCATTACATGGCAAGAGCGCCCAGGACAAGAGACACGGGTGCCCTGCAGTGTGGGAACATCATCCAGGGCAGGGAATATCATCCAGAGAGAATGATTTTGTCTTGAATTTTGCAAATGTTGAACAGATATAAAAATAACTTCATAAATGATTAGGAGAATTTATTCCATCTTTAATTTCATAAGAAAATTATTGAATAATAATTGCTTAATAATAATTGCTTAAAGCAAGAAATAGGGAGAAGCTTAAAATGCTTATTTAAAATAAGGTGGCAAAATAAATTTTAAATGCTTATAAATTTATACATGTACATATGTTGTTCACAGAATTAAGTGTATAAGACAGTGATAGGCCGGGCGAAGTGGCTCACGCCTATAATCCTGGCACTTTGGGAGGCTGAGGTGGGTGGATAACTTGAGATCATGAGTTCAAGACCAGAGTGGCCAACATGGTGAAACCCCGTCTCTACTAAAAATACAAAAATTAGCCAGGCATGATGGTGGGCACCTGTAATCCCAGCTACTCCGGAGGCTGAAGCAGGAGAATTGCTTGAACCTGGGAAGTGGAGGTTGCAGTGAGCTGAGACTAAGCCACTGCACTCCAGCCTGGGCGACAGAGTGAGACTCTGTCTGAAGAAAAAAAAAAAAAAAAAAAAGACAGTGATTCTCATTTGTTTTGGAATTTCAGAACCTTTGCATTATTTATTTGATTTCGTAACACTCTCATCACATATTCCTTTTCGGAAAGTAACACATTTACATATAGTATTTTCTTTATATATTAAGAAAAATAGGATAAATACTATTTGAAGTATTTTCTGATGCACCTCGTAATAACTAAAGATATCCTAGGGTTTCGTAGTCTTCCTGAGGTTAGAATCAGTTGTGAAATCCTTTCTTCCTCCTTCCTTACATTTCTCTCCTTCGTTCCTTTCTTTCCTTTCAATTTTCCTTCATTCCTTCCCATCTTCCGTTCATTCAACATATGTTTATAGAACCCCTACTTAAGGCAGTAAGTGCACCACAAACAACATAGGGTCTTGCCCTCAGTTGGCTCACACTTCAGTGTGGAGGCAAATATAAGAATAATGACAAAAATAAGGAGAATTGCTTGAACAAGGAGGCGGAGGTTGCAGCGAGTAGAGATGGCTCATTGCACTCCAGCCTGGGTGACAGAGCGAGACTCCGTCTCAGGAAAAAAAAAATAATAATAATAATAACAAAAATCATAACAACAACATCTTCAGGACGGTCTGGTAAGAGCAGAGTATGAAAGAAGTATGCACAAGGTCCCATAGGAGGTGACTAGCTGACATTTGAAGTACCCGCAGGGTTTTAGTGGGCAGATGTTGGTCAGGTGGGCAAATCTCGCAGAAAGCAATGAATGAGCAAAGCATGGCACATTCAAGGAGCAGATCTTTGCTCCGATCAGCCCATGGCACAGGCTGCATGGCAGAGGATGGGAGGGGATGAACTAGAGAAGGAAATGGGGCCAGACCCTGTGGGGGCTTGTGTGTCATGCCAGAGAGCTAGGGCTTTATCCTCAGGGCAAATGGATTTGAAACAATTTGACATGACCAAGTTTGCATGTGTAAAGCATGAAGTAGAGGGATGAAACCAGAGAAAGTGAAAACAGAGGGACTATAATTTATAGATGACAATGGGTATGTATATTTTTAGGTGGGTACAGATTACCAAACAAATATGATTTCTGAGACTGCATAATCATGCACTAAGTGGATATTTCTTAGGGGCCGTTTAAGAAAATACTGTAAATGGAGTTATCTATAATATTTAAGGGCTTACTACTATATTGTAATCACAAAGTAACCCACACCCTTAAAAAACAAGACAAAACAAACAAAACAAAACAGAAACTAGAAAACTAGAACTGGTCTTAGATTCCGGTAGCCCCTGCATTTCCATGTGCCAAGACAGTATACTTTTTCAAAATCCTAGAGAGATAGGCTCTGATGTATGAGCAATAAAAGCCTGAATTTTTAAATATCGTTTTTATCCACAAGTCTAAAAATCCCTACAGATGTTTAAAGCTTACTTATATCTAACTGAATACTTCTTGGTGCAATACGGGTTCGTATTTTCATATTATTTTCAGTGGGGAGCTTGACTCTCATCCGCTGTATAATTGAGGAACATGATTTCATCCTTCATGAAGTTTGCTCTGTTCTTAAGCATTTCTTTCTAGATGTTATCCTTTAGTTTTATCATTTTGGTGCCTGTCATTTAGGCACTCATCAAGTTCTTAAAAGTTTTTGTAAAAAGTTTTATAATTCAAAGCAAAACAGTATTACTAGAGGAACATACTCAATACAGAACACCCAAAATTCTGCACAGAAATGAGAACACAGTGCATGAATTTAGATTTCACGACCATGCACACTGTTAGGATCATTTTCACACAACAATACGAGGACTCTGAAATCTTGTTGGCTTAACAGAGAGCTGAGTACTAAGGAAAAACACTAATGCTTATCTTCCTTCTGTTCTATACACATTTTCACTGCTCTAGGAACAATTACCAGTGCATCATTTAGTTGCTCAAAGTCTTAGTTTTAAGTAAATACAAAAATAGGAGTGACTAGGCTGACACTCATAATTTGTAGGTACAATGTTTGATGATTTATAAATTCTCACTAGAGCCTTCCAGAGTCAGATTCTGGTGCTGTGGTTGGGGTCTGGGTTGTGGCCCAACTTGGTGAGTGAGCTTGCCCAAGGGTGGCTTTGTTGGACAGGTTAATAACCAAAGTCCTTTATCTTGAATCCTAGATTTCACCCTGTAGCAATTTAATACATTTCCAATGTTTTAACTTCAAAAGGTACTGATCCCGTCATGAGAATATTAAAAGTCAAATACTGCAAATTATTAGATGACCTAGAAGAGACAGGACGAACATTCTTGAGTTCCAAACTGCCTCTTCCATCTACTGACTACTTAGACCAGGTAGTATAATATGTCGAGCTCACTTTCCTTAAGTGGAAAAAGAAGACAATATTATCTAGTTTCTAGGATTACTAGAAGGATTTATAAATAACACATAAAAAGTGTTTATATACCAGGCTTATATAAATAGAAGATATTGTCATAATTTATCTAATTACTTCCCCTAAAACCTAACTTAATAGTGCTTATAAACTACTTTTAATTTGTTGATGAAAACTAAGTGTTAAGTGCTTCTTAGCTACACACAATGAATGCAATTTTCAGTCAGTTGCAAATATGGTTTATTAGAAGAGAACCCCCTGGGAGAAGGAAGCCAGGAAGAATTGATGAGGTCAACACAGCTAGGGCATGATTACCTGTTATAAGGTGTAGAAAACGTTGCCAGGACAACATCACGCCCGTTGATACGAATCACATCTGTAACTGCCTGGAGAATGTTGAAATAAAAATGAGAGTCTCCAGGAACTGAGCAGTTCAAGCGCGCCTTCAGGAACGACGTCCACTGTTTCTCCAGGACTCTTTGAGATCCTCCCATATCATTCTTACAAACCTGAGCCACTCTTGGGAAAACTACCTGCAGAGGAAAAACACATAGGGAAAATTAAATGCATTCATTTTGCAAGGAGATCTTAGTAGAATCTGCATTCCTTGAAAACAGAAACAAAACAACAAGGTGCTTAATACTGTTTCTAAAATCAGTAACAAAAAAAAAAAAGAAAGAAAAGAAAAAAAGAGGAAAACTCAGCATTAGAGTAGCATGTTTTAAAAGATAAGGCTGTGGCATTTAATACAGAGTCATAAATCCTTCAGGGAATCAGCTCCGAGCCACATAAAGTCATTTCCATACAGACTGCTTAGCTTTTTATTTCCTCAAACAAAAGCACACTTTGTATGCACAATCTCTGCCATCCTCACTAGCTGCCTCTGGGCCCTGAATCTGTGCAAGCCACCCTGGCATTCTATGTTACCCTCCAACTTAGGGACCTTGATCTACTCTCTGGTAAAAAGAACTAAAATGGACATCCCCTAAGTGTTGTATATTGCTTTTTGCAATAAAGACAAAAATCAAAACTCAATTTGATTAAAGATACTGCATAGTTACAGTCTCTGTGGAGCAACTCAATTAAGAAAAAAAAAACAAAACTGTTGAGTATACCTGGAAACCACATCTCAAGACACTTGAATCTCGGGCCAGGTGCGGAGGCTCATGTCTGTAATCCCAGCATTTTGGGAGGCTGCAGCAGGTGAAATTACTTGAGGTCAGGAGTTCGAGACCACCCTGCCAACATGGCGAAACCCTGTCTCTACTAAAAATAAAAAAATTAGCTGGGCACGGTGGCGCATGCCTGTAATCCCAGCTACTCGGGAGGCTGAGGCAGGAGAATCACTTGAACCCGGGAGGTAGAGGTTGCAGAGAGCCGAGATTGTACCACTGCACTCCAGCCTGGGCAACTGAGTAAGACTCCGTCTCAAAAAGAAAAAAAAGATACTTGAATCTCAGCATGAAACCAACCAAACATAAATTTTCCATAGAAATACTTAAGAAATTTCCTGCGATTTCGTTACTGTTCTGAAACAGCAGATAGGGCCTCCAGACCGCACTCTGTTATTAGATTTATGGCTCTCATTTCAAGATCATTTATAACAACATTTGACCAAAGGTGTGGGTTTCTGAAAATGTTACAAACTGAGCCAAGGACAGCATCCCCTCTTACCTTTCCCATGGTGTTATACTCCACTGCTATTTCCCTGAAGAAGAAGTAGATATAATCTCCGTAATCCACGGCTTGAACAAAGTATGGTTCTGTAGACAAACAGGCACTTTAATTGGGAACATGTCAAACAGAGTTAACAGAATTTCAATCAAGTGTAGCCAAAGACATGTTATTAATTAAAAGTGTAGCACCATTAGACATTTGGTTAACACTAACCATTTCAAATGACTTCACACATGCAAGTGCTGGTGATTTCACAAGGCATTCACACTTACACATTATCTCTTTCAGAAGCTTTGCAATCAACAATGAAGAAATATGGAATTTTGCATATCTCTGTAATTTTATTTTCCACAATGGAATGCCCCTATTACAGAGAAGATTTTGTATACATTGCCTTGTCACCCTGACTCATACAGGGTTGTGAATAGCTTTTCTCCTCTTCTCCACCACCTCCAAGCCCCTGTCCCCTTCCATGAATACATTGTTCAGTTCTTTTCATGCAGAACTCAGAAATGAGAGCTTGAAGCAAGAAAACATGAATGTAATGTATTCTATTGTTGTGGCATTGGTAGTTTTGTTAATACTCCAGAAACTCAGGGGAAGGAAAAAAGGGAGGTAAATAAATCAGTTGAAGCCAAAGATGCAATTTACATGTTTCTGTCTGTCAGAAGCCATTACTCAAATGAAGATACAGTCTGGTCCCTCCAGACTCTAAATCTCCCACAAGATGTGTATTCCCCTCCCCTCCGACCCTCCTTCTTTTAATTGTTTGTTCACCTTTCAACCATTTTGAATCGTGCTTGACGGTCCGCAGGGTAGGGCTTTCTCCAAGACTCCGGTAAATGACTGCGTCAATGGCAAGGAAGTCAGTCACTGTGGCTGAGTATAGTTTTCCATCTTAGAAGAAAAAGAAAAGAGGTGAACAGGGTGGGAGCAAGTCAGTGGGGGTGGAGGAATAATAAAGACATCCCCTAGATTGCTTTCCAACATCAGGCAAATGAGATAGCACAACTGGGAAAAATCCAAGAGTCGCTGGGAAAACTCTTGGCCCACATTCCTAACCATTTTAAATTGGGATCATGAGAGATGAAACATTTTTCATTTTAAAATTGCATGGCAATTTTTTTTAAGCGGCAGCAGCAGCAGCAGCTCAGGGAACAGGGTAGATGAAAGATGTCTGCTTCACTTGATTAGCTGGACCTTGACTGAAACCTCAAGGCCAAGGATCCTTGGACACTACTACTGCCACCACACCATGGTAAACTGGATTAGGTGAGAGCCCAGGGAAAGATAGATGCTGATTGTGTCCCCAGAAATTTTAGGCACATGCATAAGTAAAGAAGTCCTCAGCCTGATCAGGTGAGAGAAGTTGAAGAGAGAGGGTTCATAAGCAAAAACGGGCTGACTAAATTGCTACTGTCCTGAGAGTAACAGCTCCTCTTGACCTCAGGCTTGACAGTTCACTAAACCCTCGCAATCTGGTTTCAATAACAGGTATTTGCTTCCGCATCTCCAAAGTCACAAACTAAAAACATTCCGAAACACAGCTTGGCTAAAGCCAAGAAGAAAGGGGAAGGGGTTACGCTGAGTTCAAATAGGTCTTTCTTTAGTAATTCATGCTTTGGGGGAGATACGATTGAGGGTAGATCCCAGGCATAAGAGAATAAAGCAGACTGAAGATTAGTCTCTAGACCTTTTTGGTTCCTTCCTGGCTCAGCAAACACTCTGCCAACAAATAATCAAAAGGGGTGTTCTAGAATAGCAAAATCTATGTTGATTACATGGAAACAAGAATTATATTCAAAATAAAAAAATTACTTCCGTGATTCACTTTTAGTGGATTGCAGATATTCATTAGTTGTATGTCAAAGTGACTTACATACAACATAGTACTGTTCAAGCTCTTTTATATGTAGTGTAAACATAATGGTTTATTGTTTTGTTTGTTTTAAAAAAACTCATATCCAAATATATTTAAACAAAGATCTCGATGTCTGTCTTTGGTCTTAAAATAATTAAAATTTGTCCAGGTTCAATTTAGAGATGTCTTAATATCTGCAATATTAACAGCTATATATCAATAAGTTTTGGTAGATTTAAACTGCAGAGAGCAAACCTTTAAATTGGCCCAAAAAATATCTACGAATCATAACTTTTCTTATGGATTTTGAGCCCCAGGTCATAAAGACATTCTTTATATAAGACTATAGAATATGTATTCTATATTCCTATAGCCCCGCCTTGGCCTCCTACAGTGCTGGGATTACAGGTGAGAGCTACCACTCCTGGCCCTACAGTTAAATTTAAATTCTCCCCTGCAGCCCACATTCTCCAAGGCCCCAACTAATGCAGGTTCCAAGTGTCAGTGAGGACCTCCAGCAGTAGTCATGTACTTGGGAGTATGCTCAAGTACTCTTTCCACTAGCCTTGCTCATACCTTACAAATAGGTCTACAAGACTTTGTATTCTTGACGGAACTGCTTCTCAGTAATCCTGTGCTCTCATTTAGGGGGAGAACCCGAGGAACCTGCCCTTCTTAACTTGACAATCTATCACTGCAGATCCAGGCCCACAAATGAATGACACTGAGGGAGAGGTTCAGGAAGCCAGGAACTAATCTTGTTTCATAATCAAAGCCCTAGGGTCCCTCATCCAGCTAGTATGTGCCAGTTTTTAGCTGTTGTGATGGAAATTATAGCTAACTGCTTTATTACAAGCTATAAGAATCACTATTATACCAACACTTCTCTTACACCCACCTCCACATACACAGCTGGTAATGAATTCCTAAATAAATTTCTAATTAAAGCACACAAACTCATACACAAAAATCCCACTACATCTGAAAATGATGGTCTGTTTGCTATTTCTTTATATCTTTTGCAGTGGAAAGAAGGAGTAGTGTTGGGGAGTAGAGGTCAGCCTAAGCAATTAGCACCCTCCCCTCACCCACCATAGTCTTTTGGTCAGAGATGGGTGTGTAACCTAATCAGGTCAATGATATTTGAGAAGATGTTTGTTGGAAGCTTGGGGGTATGTGGCCTCATTGCTCTGAGAGAGCTTCCAGAGGCTTCCTTTTGTTTCTTTCCCTTTCTTTTCTATATGTGGACAGGAAGACATGTAGCCCTAATTGGGGCTGGCAGTCATCCTCTGACTGTGAGAACCACCAGTCTCATCATGAGGTCGACATAGAGCATGGGAATGAAAAGGAGCTGCCTCCCGGATGACACTGTTGAGTTGTTGAACCTAGCCAATCCCAAAGTCCATCCTACCTTAAACAATAAAGGCACATCAGTAGGGGATTTTAAATTTAATTTTTTTTTTTTACATTGGTGGTTTGAGGTGGGATTTTCTATTATTTGAGCCCAAACATTCCCTAACTGATCCATCACATGTTCAGCGCTATGCTGTTATCCTTTCCTGAAGGCACAAACACATGGGTAAGTGAAGCAAAGACTTGCAAAAGTACAATTTTCATACTAATTTCAAACAGAAAGGCATTCTTAATTACAGTATTCACCAGAGAATCAAAGCACAACTGTGACTCCACGAATCCTCTAGAGCAGATTCACAGTGACAGGATGAAACAAGCAAAAGCAAGTGCAACGAGGAGAAATCAGGTCGCTTACCTGCAAACAGTGCAACGTTGGCATGTTTGGCATCATATGGGCATCTGGCCATTCCGCTGAATTCATCCCCGAATGGTTCCAATGTATCCATCTAAATGAAATAATCAGACTTAATTACAAACAACAACCTTTTCTTTTGCCCTAAACCCTCAGAAATAATTTCCAGGATGTGACAGGCCTTTTGTAATCTGTAATCACTTTGAGATGGACCCTGTTGAAGCCACTTTTAAACTGTAGTTGAGAATCACATAAAATAGCTGTGTTAAAAACATATTTTTAGGGGAAAGATGGTCAAATCAGACATTCTTTCAAGCAGTGTACTCTTCCACCCAGCACATTTTTTTATGAAAGTCCTTTTCAGATATTTTATACCAACCAAGAGCTTTTTGTTGAACTCTGACAGACTCTGTGGTCTGTGGGTCTGGCATGTATTCAAAAATGATGCTTAGCACACAGTGATGCAACGGAAATGCCCTTATCCTAAGCTGTGCACGCTCTAATCCTAGCAAGGAGGAAACAATAGACAAGGGGTATATGGTTTTCTTTATAATGTAACTAACCTAAAAAAAAAAAAAAAGTGGCTATACCTATAGCTGGTCAAAGGCAAGAAGTAGTGAAGTACAAATGTTTCGGTTTGTGAGGTTGGAAAGGTCCAGAGGCAAAAGCCATGGTGACTTCCTCTTTCCAAGAAGTGAAAACTAACCCTTGAAGCAGTCATCAAATCTTAGACTTCACAGCAGCAGCTCCTGGGAAGTTAAACAGCTATCAGGTACAGATAATTATACAAAGACCCAGCCTGATTTTTGCAGAAGTTCAAAAGGTTTAGAGAATAGGAGGAAAAAGGCAGGGAGTGCACTTTTAGATTTATAGTGGGTAGCCTTCAAAGCTCTCCCCTAGATAATCTTGATAATCTAATTTGGGGCTATAACCTTTCTAACACATTCAGCTTACTTGTGTTATAAAAATTAATATAGATCAGGGCATGGTAGAGAGGCAGATACTGAAAATTTGTCACTCTCTTGCTTCATGTCACTCTAATCAACTTGATGCTTGTGTGCTATGATAAGACTTGGGTTTTTCACTGGAAGACTGGTCATTGTTTTCACTTTGAACCTTTGTCCTGATCTGTTGATAAAAAGCACTTAAGACAGAAGCTGTCGTTTTCCCTGCAGCCAAATACATTATGTCCCATATCATCAGCAATGTCACACTGTCCCCTGAGTCTAAAAATACACTTTTCTGAGCAATGCCAAGGGTTCTTACTACCATTCACAGCGCTAGGCATATTGTTGGGAACTGAGCATGAGCAACATCCCATCTGTGGCTTCTGAGAGGCCTGGGCTACTGGAGCATGTCTCAGCAGGTGTGGCAAGAACAAGCAAGAGGTGACGGCATTATTATAAGTGTAGAATCATGGGAAATGGAACATGTACAGGAAGAATAAGCCAGACCATTCATGGCCTGTATATTACTGTGCCAAGAAAACCTGTACTTTGTCATAAAAGATAGCTTTCCATCTAGGGAATTCCTTGGGATTTGTTAGAAGCATTAATCTTAATGAGTCCTAAACAATGACAAACAGGGATGGAATATTAAGTGGTAAATTAAAGTTGAAACCTTATCTGTATGCTGTCACTAGCTAGAGTAAATGCTGGGCTAGACTGGCTACCTCTATTATAAACTGATGAATCTTGTCTTTATACTTAAAAACTTGATCTTTGGTTTATGACAGACCTGTATGTATTAATTAATTTTGATTTTTAAAAAATATTGCATTAAAAATCTAACATCTTAATTACGGAATTTTTTGGTGAACCCTTCTATTTTGTGCCTGAGCCACATGCCTCACTTGCTCCACCCTAATCCTGGCCCTGTTGGTGCCCATTTCCAAGTGTAAGATGGAAGATAAGTATGAGGGTCAAACAGACCCTCCCTTCACTGTACATGCCAAAAAAAGACAGGGGGTTTTTCTGGTGAGCTTGTTGGTGCGGATTCCAGCCTATCATTGCTTTTCTCATTCTTCCCACTCCTAGGGTTTCACTTTATGATGATGAAACCCAAATCTATATTTCTCTCCACATCTGTCTCTAAACCAAAGCTTACTGATCCATCTTCTTGCTAGATAGCTCTATTCATGTCCTATAGGCAGTGCCGTTCACAGTGCTTGGCATTCTCATACTGTGCAAAATGGAGCCCATACCTTCACACTCCCCCAACCCCCAACCCCAATCTCACAACTCTTCCTTTATTTCCTGTCTGAATTGGTGGCAGCCCCATCCATCTACTCGCCAAGAGATGGCCTAGCAGTCATTCTTGACTCACCTCTCTCTCTCTTTATCCTGTGCTTATCTATTATTAAATCCTACCGGTTTGGTTTTATCTATTCTCTTCCCTTCATCCCTGGGGCTATCTACATCTCCAGTTTTTTCTGTTAACACTTGTCATTTCACAGTCACACAATTCAGAATCAAATGAGATTTCTCAAGCTCAATAGGCCATTTCTTACTCCATGCCTTTGTTCATGCTGTTCCCTGCTAACTGGAATGCTTTTCTTCCTTCATTTGGCTAACTTCTCCTTACCCTTTAAGACAAAGGTTAGGCATTGCCTCATTCAGTGCTTTACAAAAATTAATTAAACGCCTGTTTGGGAGGCACTATGTTAGGTTCTGGAGAATCACAGATGTGATCCCTGCCCTTGTAGAGCCTGTGTTTCTTAAGGGCGGTGGTATTTGTGTTCCCGATGTGGGAACAACAGGTAGGAAAGTTTGAAGACACGGGGTCATCCTCTGAAGCTTTCCCAGACTCCTCACCTCATGCATGGCAGGAACTTTTGTGTTGTGCTTCCATAATCCATTGCATGATGTCACCATGGCAGCAACCCCATGAAATTGTTGTTTTCTTCTCCCTGCCTGGCTTCCCTAAGGGTTGAGGCCTCCTGTCTGTCTTTACAACCTCAGCGATGGGCCACAGTAGAAACACAGTACATGTTTCCTGAGACAAAGGCTGGCAGAAAGATGTACAAGGAAGGCTAACAGTGGTGCAGCCAAGACCTCAGATCACTGCCACCTCTGCTTCCAGGCCTGGCGAGGTCCCTGCTCCTTCATCAGCACCTCTGTTAGCTGCATCAAAACCAGCTAGATTTACTAACTCTTTAAGAGGGCTTTTTCCAGCCCTTGCATAAAGCCAAAGTAAGCAAGGCCGTGGTCAAGAAAGCTGAGTGCTCAATGGAATTAAATTCCTGTGTTCTTGTAGGAAAGTCTACGGTTTCAAATGCCGTGCTTTTGAGATACCTTTTAGAATAGAAATCACTCACCATATAAGTGTGCTTTTGTGCTCAGAGGTTAGATAGTGGGGTGGGAGGGAGAAAAAAAATAGAGGAAATCCACATGGTGTACGTGGTAAGTATGTCAGTCTTCTGAACAATAGAGAAAAGGGTCTTACAGAAACTAACTTTGCTAGGCAGGCTCTTTAAAGATGTGTCAATCAATCCTGAACAAACAGGAAGCTTAGAAGCCTGCTTAGGATCACTCATGTGGAGCAATACATTAAGTTGAACAAGTGAGAGGAACTCAGGTGGTGTTGAATTACCCCTCTTAGGTTGCTGCAGGTACAATCACAGTAAATTATGAAATGCCTCCTGGCAGTGTGGTTCCAACCGACAAATAGCATTTACCTTATAGTTTCTGCAGGAAGGGTTGAAGGCATTAGTTCCACAGACAAACAATGCATCATCGTTTTTCTTTAGAAGAACTTTAATAAAGTTGTGGCACTCATCCTGAAAAATAATTCAAACTGTTTTGTATCATGTCCATTCAGTACAGAAACTGATTCTTCACTGTATGCCATGGTTGGCTGACAGTAAGGTTAAAGTGGAGGTGGCTGAGGACTTCTCCCATTAAAAGTTCAAGTTCTTCCTGATGTTAACCACAAGATGATGCCGACATCAACGATTACTCTTTCAACGTAAATAAAAACAAAGCATAGAATGGAAGATTGTGTGTTTATTTTATGTCACAAAAGGAAGGCAAGCCTGGAAATGCCAACCTCCCATCATATTAATTTTAATGCCAGATGCTCCAGCGTTCCCTGATGTACAAAGCTGCTGGTTGAAGTGTGTTTTTATGTTGTTATATGACCACAGGCACAAAACCCTGCATGTCTGCGGCAGCCTTTTATGAGCTCTTCCACAGACTCCCTGTGGGCCTTGGACTGCGGAGGTGGGCATCGGCGTACACTCAGAAGACAAGACTCTGGGCAGCCGGCTTTGTGTCCATAATCCTGTGTGCGCCTAAGTAGTTCATGATGCAGGCCTAGCAGCTGTTGTAATGTTTCATCACATTAAAAGCAAACTATTTTTGCAAATTAAAGCCTTCAGTAAGTTGATGAAAAAAGCAATTACTGAGGGAAAAAGGAAAAAGCACAATCCATTCTACATCACGGTCTATGGCTGGAGATAACAGTCAAAAACTTAACCCAAAGTGGCAGCTGCAGGAGAAATGAAAATTGCCTACCTTATGTTTTCCCTTCATTCTGCATGTGTCTACATCGGCCTGTCTAGATTTCCATGTCAGTTTCTGCAGGGATCAAGAAAGAAATCAATTAGAGCCCAGAGGTTGTTGCGTTTGATTTTAGAAGTAAGAGTTCCCTTGGGGAGACTAAAGGCTGAACATATATTTATTGAAAGCTTTCTGCACCCTTTCTCCATGATTAATTCACCGTAACAACAAAAGATTCCAGATGAAAACGTCCGTTTAATTTTGAACTCCTATCTATTCATTAAACCACAAAATGGTCTTCTTCTGTTTGAGATAAAGATGAAGGAGAAAAGAAAGAAGAATAAACAAGAGTGTGGAAATTTTTCATAAACTATCCAAATTAATTTGCCAAATTATGCTCATTTGGATAAAATATATGTCCTTGCCCTTTCCTTTCAGTTGATAAATCAATTTTTATAAAGAAGGCTTTTTTCTTAAAATACAGAAGTCATTTTCTTAAACATAAAGAGGACATTCACTCTAGGTGGACAAAGATTTAATTCAGGTTATACTCCTTCACATAGATTAATGGACTGAAGGGATCTTCTACTCCTATGGCACAGGTTTTATTAACTAAAATATCCCCATGTGGAGTTATGAGGAAAGCTTAGGTTATACTTTATGTCTGTCTGAAATGGGTAACGATCAAGTTCCTGAACCACAGCAGTCAAATCAAACTTAATACTGCAAGACATGGAAATATAACATTGAAACCTTTGTAGAATACATTTGTGGAACAAAATTTTACTTATGAAAACTGATGTTTTCCTGGATAAATGAGGCAATATTTTTATAAAAGAAATGTAGAAATTATGTAAAACTTCAAAATGTATATGTACACATATATTTGATGAATAAAATATGAAGTACATAACTGTTTCTGAACATGTATCAAATCCTAACCTATTCCCTAATTAGGATTTCACAAAATGCATGTTGGCATCTCTAAATTATGATTAGCTACATCATCTTAATGCACTTAAAATACATATTCTGTTCAAGAACTATCCAAAGGTCCTTCATTTTACAAATATAGTTTTAAAACAACTTACTTTGCTACAATAAATTTCTTCCGTGTGTGATGTGTCTATATCAACAGTATAAATATGGTCCCTATAGGCAAAGAAAAATTAATACAAGGTCAAACACAGAGTCAAAACAGTTCATTTTCTGCTTAATGAGTTATGTCTTATCAGGGCAGATAAGCCCATATCCATGTTCATGATATCCACATGCAAGAAGAAAAGAGCGCAGCCTTCAAGAGATGTCTCCGGATCCCATTTAGCACCTTCTGATAAATCATGGCATTGTGCTCCAAGGAACACCGTTTATGAAAACTTTCCTGTATTAGCTCTTCTCTCTGACACTAGAACTATAGCATCTGCATATATGTAGCTCAGAAGGGAGGGCTCTGAAAGTTAAATTGGCCCAAAGACTAGAACACAGATGGATTCGTGTGCCCTTTCATTATCTTCAAATACACGTACCAAATACTTGGTATTCAACATGCCACATCTGTTCATCAAGAGGGCTAACAAAAAAAATGATCTCCATCGCCCTCTCTCTTTTGAAAATATATTTCCATCTTAACTGTGACTATTTGATCGACAGGATGGATGACGACAAAGGTAAAATTATTTCCAGAAGCCACTCTTTTCCCTCATAATGATGGTCAATTAAAGTCTAAAATGTACTTAAGCTAAAGTTTACATTTCTTGCTTCTGTTCACCTTCCTGTTTTGCTGAGAATTGGGTTGTCTTTACAATTTGCTGCCAATCTAGCCTTGGAAGGGGAGAAAGAGAATCAGCAGCTCAGGTGTGGGGCTATATTTAAACATCCCCTTCTGTGTGAGCTGAGTACAAGGGCGTTTTTGTCTGGAATTTGTAAGAAAGAAAAGAAAAGAACTACACTCAACAGAGGAGATGGGGGGCTACTGAGGGAAAGCAAAACAGCTCATTTTCCCTTGAAATAACATTGACTTTCTCTAAAATGCAGGAAGTCCTGGGGCTGAAAAATTACCCACAGCTTTAAACCAGGACCTCGTCTCCCATACAGACTTTTAAGTCCCCTCGTTACTTAAAAGAAAGAGCGGGGAGGTGATAAGAAAGGAATTATTTGCAGGATTCACATATACATATATATAATTTTTTTCAGTTCATGGGAAATCTGTTTGCTTTTTGTTTTAGGAAAAATACAACAGAGAAAGATAACAGGCCGACTCACGTGAATATAAAACGAGCGGGAAGGGCAGTTGGCTTAGAAAATTCCCTTGCCAGCTACTGTGAGTGTGCATGGGGGGAGGGGGTGGAAGGGGGTGGAAGGGCGTGGTAAGGGGTGGAGGAGTAGGGGCCTGTTTTGTAAATTGCTGAATAGGCAAGTTTCTTCAAACTTCAGTAGGCTGCCAGAATCACCCTGCCCTTTAATTTCAAGGCAGTTTTATTGCATTTGTTTATTACTTGCTTGACTTTATTGGTGGTGCTGTGGTCAGACTCATTATTGGAATGGAATTGCCTATTACTTTGCTATCAGGTTTGAGATGACTCGAGGCTTTTCCTTGCCTGCCTCCCCTCAGAACTTAAGTTTGAGCTGAACATATGAATTGTAAATGAACAACTGATTAATATGCATTGGCAGCTCCTCAGAAAGCTCTCAGATTGCCCCCTTTTGGCATGGCCTGTTTATGTTAATTAGCAGTTTAGAGATTAAAAAAGAAGAGGAATTTACAAAGTGGATAATAATAAAGCAGAATTGAAAGGGGTTCTTGCCACCAACCCTCACTCAGTCCCCCGGGTTCTGGATGGGACTTGGCTTGCGATTGCTGACAGCAATTGTCTAGAAGAACTGGGAAGCCTTTTAAACACAGAATTCTGTGAATGAAATCTTCTTTTGGACAATGACAATCTTTTTCAATATCCAAAAGCTCACATGGCCCTAGCAAATAAAAATGGTGCTTTATGGTAAACCACAGACCAGGGTCAGGGGTCATTCCCAACCATCTTAGTGTACATCCCAGGTCTCATATGCTGTTCTTCCTGAATTAAGTTATTTGAACATAAACTGACTTAATCCTAGGACTTCCTCTTCCCCCTCCAGCAAGCACCACTGAATTGTGTTGCCATGGCTTGAACCTGGGCGGGCGGGGGTTGGCCGGGGGGTGGGGTGCGGGGAGGGATTTAGCTTTAAATCGTGTTACTTGCTGCCTAGAAACCTAGATCTCTCAGAGCAATGTTGAGAAGTGTAAAATTAAAGTGAATTAAAGTTGGAAGTGTAAAAATAAAGTGTAAAATTAAAAGGAGAGAAGAGGTCCTAAATATGGTGGGCATGGAACTCCTTTAAGAATTTTTCTAAGGTTGTCTGTTGAGAGGAAGTGGCTGCGTATGGTGTGAAAACAAACATGTCAATGCTACAGTGATACAAACTTGACCTTTAGTAAAGATGAGCTTATTTGATAGTTTCAAATATTAGTGTGTTTCTTCTTTTTATCCTTCTTTTCCTTTCCTTCCTTGGGGTGAGGAGTTAGAATAAAACTGTCTTGGTTTTAATGAGCTAGACTAATGGTCACTTTTAAGTCTGCATAGTACCTTGCTCCTAACACTCATGTAGCCCTGGGACCTATGGTCCACGCCCTGCTAAATCATCGAGTACAAGGGCAGTCTGTTATACCATTTTTTCCCCCGGAAACTCAACTGGAAAGTGAACAATTCACAAGAGATTCTTAAGTCAACCTATTTCTCACAGATTCAATGTTTTATCATTTGTTTTGATCAGCCCTTAGATAATTGAGTATGTCATTTTCCAACCCTATTACGTTTAGGAAAATAAAAATGACATCTAAGAAGGAGCTGGTATTCTATCAGAGAGGTGACTACTGAGCATCTTATGGAAATGCTTTATAATGGCTACTCATAATGACCATGTTCTTGGGCAACAGCTATTACAAGGGTATTCTCAGGACAAACAGTACCAGCTCTATTCCTCAGTATGCAGCATAGTACAGGGAATGACAGCATGGACTCTAGAGCGAGACCATCCTGGTTCAAATCCTGCCTCTGTCATTTTGGCCCCATCATTTCACCTATCTGTCCCTTGGATTCCTCCTATAAGACATGGGAATAATAATAGCTCCTTCTTGTAGGGTTGTTTCCAGGATTGGATGAATTGACATTCATAAAGAATCTACAGCTATGTTTGTGAATTGTATGTGCAGAGCATACTAGTTGTATATACTGTATAAGTATTTGTAAAGTAAAACTTTAGGAAAGTATTTGGACATTGCTTCCTGTAGCCAAGTTAGGGGCAGTTTCAGGATGTTTTAGTCTAGCCCCTTTTTTTTTTAACTTTATGTTGCACAGCTTATCACCTCAGAACATCTAAGTGCTTTAGAAGAATCAACCACTGTTATTTACTTGTTCTTTCCTTATGCCAGATAGAAACGATCTCCAATTCTAGACCGGGCATGGTGGCTCACACCTGTAATTCCGGCACTTTGAGAGGTCGAGGCGGGTGGACCACTTGAAGGTCAGGAGTTTGAGACCAGCCTGGCTAACATGGTGGAACCCCATCTCTACTAAAAATACAAAAATTAGCTGGGCGTGGTGGCGGGCACCTGTAGTCCCAGCTACTCAGGAGGCTGAGGCAGGAGAATTGCTTTAACCCTGGTGCGGGGGAGGAGGTTGCAGTGAGCTGAGATCGCGCCACTGCACTCCAGCCTGGACGATGGGAGTGAAACCCTGTCTCAAAAAAAAGCATAATCTTCATTTCTTCTCCCCAGTGTGAAATGATTAAACAGTGTAGAGCCAGGAAAGACCACAGGGGACACTACAAGATAGTGCTCCATGTTGCTGTTCATTTGGAATTATTTTGAATAGCTACACACTCCCAAAATGGAGGATCATATATTGTTGGACTCCTTAGGGACTTCATTAAGGTAATCAAATACAACATCTCATTTGGCAGAGGATACTTATGGCCAGACAACTTGTGGTCCGGCTAAATTAAGAGCAGAATTATAACAAAAGCCTAAATTTATGTGATCCCTGTTTGAGCCGTATTCTTACCATGCCATTCAGCCTTAAGACATCAGCCTGTCTGTCTAAATAACATTTCCCCAATGGATGAGTATTTTTTTTTTACTAAAACCAAATAAAAACCTTCTGAAATATATATAATGCTTTCTTTGGTTGTCATTGCCGTTCTTTCAAAGTGATGATATAGATTATCAATGATATATATGTTAACTGCAAAAATACAAATAGGTTTAATGCACACACCTACATTCACACTATATAATACATGTTTACACATTCACCTTAATTTAACAAATAAGTATTAGGCCAGATGAAGTGGTTCATGCCTGTAATCCCAGCACTTTGGGAGGCCGAGGTGGGTGAATCACCTGAGGTCAGGAGTTCAAGACCAGCCTGACCAACATAGTGAAACCCTGTCTCTACTAAAAATACCAAATTAGCCAGGCGTGGTGGTGCATGCCTGTTACAACAGCTACTTGGGAGGCTGAGGCAAGAGAATTGCTTGAACCCAGGAGAGGGAGGCTTCAGTGAGCTGAGATTGCACCACTGCACTCCAGCCTGGGCAACAAAGAACGAAAACTCCATCTCAAACAAACAAACAGAGTATTAAGGAGCAGAGCATTCTAATGGGTGCTTGAATAAATATTTGCATATATGTTCAAGATAAACAGTGGATTATTTGAGTGTAAGTGCCCAAATATGCTATTATTTCTATTTAAATCCACATAGGGTTAAACAGACACAGACAATTTTGAAATAATGATTGCTTGATAAGTTAAAGGAGGCTTTAAGTTAAATAACACTCTATTTAGAAACCTCAAGATCTTAAAAATAATGCATAGCTGGTAAATTTAGGACCTTGGGCTTTTGGACACTCTCAAGGCAGACATGGGGAAAAGGCCCCTTACCTAGCAGCAATGTAGAGGGTTCCGTTCATGATCATAATCATCTGGATGTCCAGCCTGTGCCTCTGTGTGGTGTTCCGTCCTGGCTTGTGGCCCACAAACACCGGATACTGTTTTGTATCTGTGAAAAGAGGAGATGGGGCAAGAAAGGAAAAGCAAATCAAGCCAGGAATTGACAGGGTAGGGAGGGGAGGGAGACAGGTCACAAAAGAAACCCGTGTTTAAGTCAGACCATGCCACCATTTTCCATTTCCATATGAGTCTGTTATTTTAGGAAATATGATAGAAGAGTGCTCCTTAAGGTTCATCAAGTTACACTTTCATTTCTAGATAATTATAAGCCTGGATTTATATTTCTAAGTGTCACAATTTTTGATTTGTCTCTCTTTCTCAGGGCTCAACTCGCTAGTGAACCCTTTGCATGAAGGTGCTCTTTTCTTCCACAGTTTTCTTTTCATCTTCTGTAGAGCTAAGCCTGAGGGGGCAGTCTGCCAAAGATCTTGTCTCGGGACAAAACTATTTCAAAGCAGCCTTCCCATCAATCACCACAAATGCAATGTGGTCTGGAGGCGAGAGCCCTTGTCCAGGAGCCAGAAGAAAAATACAGTCTCCACAGGCGTCCAGTTGGAATAATCCACTATTGAAGGCAGCCCCTGAGAGGTTGGTTGGCATTCTAGGAACTGTGGGAAGTTCACCCTTGAGTTAAGCAATTGGCTAACAATTTCACAGAGATGTGGGCTTTGACAGGACAGGGTCAAACTGAGTGTAGCCAGTCAGGTGATCTGAAATTTTCCCTGACTTGGTGAGTCAATGAGCATATTTCTCTTTTCCTACACTTCTCTTTGGCTGAGAGTGGCCAATCTGTATTGAGATCTGGCCTTTAAAAATACCTACATCTCAACATCTCTGCCTTTACACCTACGATCTCCAGAGCACTGGCGAGCCTCCAGACAAACTCAGGAGGAAAGAAAGATGAGCCACATTTAAAAGGCACTTGTTTTCTGGAGAGGGGTGGGGGTGTAAATGATGACTAGAAAACCATTCACAGATTTATGCTTCGACCCTCACTTTACACCCTTGTAGTATCTGACCATTACTCACAGTGGGTATCTTATCAGGAGCCTTACTATATTTTATTTACAAGGGAGCTTGGTATAAGACAATCTTGTGCTTTCCCTTCCACTGCTTTGAAATTTCATGTACCCATTCATCAAGGAGATTGCTAAAACAACTCAAATGTCTCTACGATCATGGATTTGAGTGATCACTGAAGGGTGGCTTACAGTAGTCCATTTGGGCTGGAGTCCCTTCTTTTTTTTTTTTTGAGACAGAGTCTCGCTCTGTCATAAGGCTGGAGTGCAGTGGTGTGATCTCGGCTTACTACACTCTCCGCCTCCCCAGTTCAAGGTATTCCGCTGCCTCAGCCTCCTGTAGCTGGAACTACAGGCATGCACCACCATGCCCAGCTGATTTTTTTTTCTTTTGTATTTTAGTAGAGACAGTTTTCACCATGTTGGCCAGGATGGTCTCCATCCTCTGACCTCATGATCCGCCCACCTCGGCCTCCCAAAGTGCTGGGATTACAGGCGTAAGCCACCGCGCCCTGCCCTGGAGTCCCTTCTATACTCGGGCATCCAAGACAGAAAACTTACCTCAAATGGAAATAAATAAATGTTTATTAAGTTTGGAACCTTGAGTTAGGTGGACTCTGCTATTTCAGGAATGATGAACTTGAACTACACATTTGGTCTTAATAATGCCCTTTGACTCTGGACTCTAATTGTTTTGTGTGTCAGTTTTGCTACCTCATTTTCTTCCAACCCAGAAAGAACAGCTGAACACTGGGCATATTTGGATCTCCTTAGTATTGCATATTAATGTTAGACACCTTTGTATGGCTCACTCAGTGTTTGTTTTGGGGTCATTACTATGAAAAGAGATATTTAGGAAAAAAATGCTCTCTTACATTTTTACTGTAATAAAATACTTAAGCCTTTTGAAGGGCATGAAAAAAAAGTGGTAAATTGAATGTTCCATCCAACACATAGGCAGGACTCTCCTCTTTTGAGGAGACAGCTGAATTCTTAATCATGTTAGTATCTACTCCTGACAATGAAGCAGAGACCAAAGGAAAGTTATAAACAGTTAAAATGGGTCCTCTATAAATTAATTTCTCTTTACCAAAGTCTATTAACTATGTAACTTCTAAGTCCAAAAAAAATTTTTCTCTGAAGTACTCCAAAATGGTCATTACTTTTTGTTCATATTTTGCAACAGTCCGGATATATGAATTATATATAAAAGCGAGTAATACTGCCAATACCCAGATCATAGCGATATTCTCCCACAGAGCTGATTTTAAGGCATGAACACGGCAGCCTCGATGTAGTAGCTGAGACTTCATCAGGGTTACGAGGGGCGTTTCAAATCCTCACACGTGTCCCCACAACAACATCTGATGGAGTTATAGAAAAATCATCCTATCAATTTGACTAGACTTGAATTAGCCACCTTTGCCACATACAGAGGACTAATAAGTCACCTATTCTATTTCATTTTTCAGTTTTATTTTTTGCTAGGCTGATTCAGGCTAAAATGTTCTCAAAGGGAGACACTGAGTGAGACCATGGGTACTTACAGTTGCCATGCGAAATACTGATTGGCTCAGAATCTTCTGGGAAACCAGCCCCAGCAAAGTGTAGCAGTGTGAAATATAGCAGCAAGGCTTCTGACCTCATAGTAGTTCAGCGGGGAGACTTTATTTCTCTACTTCACCCTGCCAAAAAGTAAAGAACAGATTTTTTTCCAAGTCAGCTTTGTTCAATGCCATAAAATGAAATACCCTGAAAGATAAATTCGAGAGAAAAAAAGGCTTCTGCTTTACATCTTCTACATGGTAAATTCGTTGATTTTTGTGTTTGGAACTTGTACCCGTTACCTACTGCTACCTCCTTCCCCACGCATCTGAGCCCTTTTGCAAAGTTTCTCCAATATGGAACAAAGAGCTTTAGTTCCTTTATCCTGAGCCATCTTTAGGCTTTTATAGATGGCTATTTCACAGTCATGAAACTCTGCCTTCAAAATCACTCAGAAATTTGAGGTGACTGCCAATATTGAAAAATAGGAGATTTCTGATATTAATCTAGATTTTTCAGCTTCTTTGTAAAAATCAAAATACCTGCCATACTGACCTAAATGACAGTTTCCCTTTGGCACCACTTCCAACACACAGGTACACAGACACACGCACGCGCACACACACACACACACACACACACATCTATAACTCATCCTGTTTACTAATTTCCATTACCTGCTTGACTTCTTAATTGAGATATTCACCCCTGACTTATGTCATTCTACAGTGACTTAGGCATAAATAAATAAAATCACACAATCTATAAAGAGAAGTAGGCAGATCCTTTCACACTCTGAAGATTACTACAAGGAGAATCTGAAACTGCATTCTGAAACGGTATTGTTGATTTAAAAAGTCATATCTCTATATATTTTGGTCTCAATACTTCCTTGCAGTGAAATCGTAGTGAATAAAAATGTCAGATATACTGTTCTACCCATCTGTATTTTCTTGACGAAGCTCTTTATGTGCAGAAAAATTCTCCTAAATCTTGGAAATAAAAACAATCCCATGTGGGACTGCTGGATACAGTGAAAAAAAAAAAAAGACTCATAATACAGTAAATATCACTTAATTCTCAGGCATATTGCAAATAAGCATTGCTCTATCATGAAAATTAATGTAAAATGAGGATTTCTTTTCATCTTTCCAGAGCAGTAAACTCTTTGAAGTACCTGCCAAAGATTATCTTTTTTGAACAAAGCTATTTTACAGTAATCCATCAATCATTTAAGATTTGTGTGTAGAAATGTCAAACTTAGTAACCTAGATGTCTTTGAAAGTTAATTTGGCAAACTGCTAACTTACGCTTTTTGGAACACCATTTTGATTATATACCTATGTCTCTTTTCTTCATGCCAAGAAAGTATTAATCAGTCCCAAGTGTTGCACTGTAACTTATAATTTCACACACACAGCTGGGTCTTAATCATTTCTTCAATTGAAAAGTGCACATTAATTAATTTGCTTTATCTTGAAAATCAAAGAGGGAGACAGATTGAGAGAAAAGCCTAAACAATTCCATGTCTCCATCTCTGATGTGTACATTAAAATTAAACTTTAAATGATTACTTGTTCATAAGGGTGAACCATTATGAAGAGACATAAACATGTATTTATTAGACAGGTGAAAAGCAAGAGTCTACTCATTCATTTATTTGCCAGTTCTTCCTATCCTAGAAAATCTGAACTCAAAGGAAAGAAGCTCTGAAGTGCCCTGATTTGCTTCTCATGGCTCCTGTTCAGTACAGCATTAAAGGGCAGAAATAAATAACAAAAGTAAAACATAAACAAGACACCAGTCAGCTGTTAGATTTTAGGAGAGAAAGCATCTGGCGGGAGGGGGAGGGGGAGGGGTCAGGGAGAACTGGCAACTTTTACCAGGAGCTCAAGAATAGTATTATAAAGAAGCATATTGCCTCAGAGAATTTGCAGCATATAATGAAAGAAAGGAAACTCAAAAGGCTAATTCTCATTCCTTTAGAAATGTTTAGAGATGTATGTATGCTTTTAAGGCTTAATTTTTCTTGACATGACAAACGAGTCTCCATCCTTCAACAACTGCATTCATCTTTGTACAAATGTCCTATAAGCTAACAAGACAATGTCCTGCTACTTTATTATATCCCCCAATTTTAATTTTTTCCATCTTAAGATTGCATGTGTCAAATGCAAAATTCTCAACCCCAGAAGCTGGCAGGAAGAGCAATGCATGCAGAAGAAATCTGTTATGCAAGTCAGTGGCTATTCTGGCTATCCCTGCAGCCAGCATCATTTAAGTATCTCCAGGTTTACAGCAGGGCTCTCTGCCAGGAAAAATAGCTGTTTTATATGTCTTTCTATCATTATATCATCAGGTAGTTAACATGTACATCATACGGGTGAAAGTGCTCTGGAAGTATTGGTTAATCTTGGTCAGTCCACATGAACACTTTAAAATTTTCTTCAGTTGAAGTTTTGATGTATTATTCCCTTTCTACTCAATTTTGGGCCCTAACCCTTGTAAATATGTAGACAATAAATTTTCTTGTTGAAATGATTACTTTGCGGAGGGATCCCAATTCCATAACATTGTCATTTCTCATCCAAAGAACACAGGCTTGAGTCTCAGGATTCCTAAGATGACGCAATACAGACTTGCACCAGCCCAGGAGAACAAAAACCAGAACTTAACACTGAGTTTATAAACCTTGAGTGAGCAGTGTTGCTGCAATTTAAGAGGCTGTTTAAGTCACTTTCAAAACTTTGAAAAGTGCTACCCACATGTAGCATATTTATAGGTATCTGCAAACATTTGTCGATTTCCCTGTCTGTGACTGTGCTTATATAGGCTAAATATAACTTAGACTTAAGCAGCTATTCAGAAAATTAGATAAAGGAAGACTGTCAATATAAGGATTCTAAATGAAAACATTTACTTCATAAGTAAGCCTATTATATCTGAATTTTCCATCTACTTGTCTCAGCCTTTCACTCTCCTTAGCCTGAAGTGAAATGGCCTTTGTAAAACATACCATTACTACAAAGTTATAATCCTAATTTGCCCCAAACCCCCAAATTCACAGAAAACCTTAAGAACATTCTTCATTTTAATAGGCATCTGCTTGGTGAATTTGTCAGGTCTATTTAGGTTCATCTGAAACTAATTTGTATTGACTTTCTACACCCAAATTTTTTTTCACAATAATTTTTCCCTACAGTTTTTAAGCCCAAATTGGATCACAGAACTGTGATGTACAAATGGTGTTGTGATTATTGGTTGCCATGAGCCAAATGAACCATGCAGAATGCTAATTGGGCAGGAAACCAGCTTTCAGGTACTCCAGATTGAAGACGAAACAAAGGAGACCAAAAGGACTGTCTGAAAACCGTGTGAATGCATTCACGCTGATAAATTTTTTAAAAATAATAAATTCTTTTCAATTACTAGAGCTTCCATTTATGCGCACCCTTACCTCCCACACCCTTGATGTACAGCGGGTCATTGTGTCAGCCAAGCATGAAGCAAAAGGGATGGCAGCGGAGCTGGAAATGATTACAAAGTCAGAGAATGAGTCCATCAATTGCCACATCTTACTTCTAATGAGTCAGTTTAACAAGCCACGAGGACTGGGAAGCCATGACAAGTGGACCCAGCCAGAGTACCACGCAGGCTCACCCCTGACACTAGTTCTAATCCTCTGCCCAACTATTCCTCCAAATCCTGCCCTGGAAAATTCTACGGGGGCTCACAAACTCGTAGTACCTGGCAGAAGCTGACTCAGAGAGAAGAAAACAACTAAATTAGCAATATTGAGGGAAAAATAGGAGATTTAACAAACTCCAGATTTTTGACTTCTTAAAAAAAATCAGAGGTTTGGCTTTGCTAGTCCAAGACCCCACCTGACAAAACTCTGGAGTTGAGCATTGGCTGCCCCAAATAGGGCTCTCTCCAGACGGAAACATTCCCACTCCTTCCCACTCTCTTAGGAGGCCTTCCTTACCCATTAACCTCACCTGCCTGCCCTTGAAGGTTCTGAGGGAACCTTTATACTACCCAGGTACAGGACATCAACGTTGCTGCGTGAGGTATTCTGTTCCTCTTGACCATCATCTGCAAGTGGCTGAGCAGCCTTAGCAAGTGGACCATGTGGAACCCACTGTCTATACACACAAATTAATGAACACTGCTTGTTTTAGAGACCCGGCTGGGCTGCCCCACCAACTGTCTACATGTCCGGTTGCAGCAAACGGTGCATAAATGCTTGGTGCATCAAGTTGCATGGAGGACTTGACTGTATGAATACAATTTGTGTCTGATTTGGTAGACATGGCAGCATCTTCCAGAATGTTGGCACACAAGGAACATTTTAATAATAAGTGATAGTGACGTGAAAAATAATATATCTGGATTTGCAAATACAAAATGCTTTTAACAACTCCAAGTGTGGGCTTGAAATAAAAAGGAAATGATAATAGTGGCACTATTTTTCCCTGAGCAAAGTCACTTACTACCATGTTTCAGTAATTCTTTTAAAAAGCTCATTTTCTAATATCATATGAAGTTTTAAAGATAACCAACAATTCATGCTGTCATTAACAGAGGGAAGAGCACATTAATGGCGTTGACCTTGGGCAAGTTAGTCAGCCTCACTAGCTCCTAGTCTCCTCACCTGTAAAATGAAAGGATATGAAATGTAATAGTCTATAAGATTCCTCCGGCTCTGTGATGGTACTGTTCTAAGGGATTCTGCCCCAGTGAAGAAGGGTGTCTCTGTGTGTGTGAGAGAGAGAGAGAGAGCATGCGATTAGGAAGGATGGTACAGGGAGTGGCCTGCCTCTGGGTCATGTAACACATTCCAAAGCCAGGAACATCACCTGGAGAGATGAGGTAGGGGCGGCAGGGGGAATAAGGGGACCCAGGCTGAGGTGGGGTGAGGTGCTGGACCTCCACACAGCTTTCCTCTTTGTCCTAAAGGCACTGGAAATGTAGTTGGGCTCTTGTTGTTGTGTCAGCCACTCTCTGAGATCACCACAGAGGGCAGGCAGAGAAAGTTCTATGCAGTGGGGCAAGTGACCTTTCCAAAACAAACTGGGGAACAGGGCTCATTTTTCCCTCTACACTCTTTCCTGGTTGCTCCTAAGCAGCATGTGGTTTGGAAACTCTAGGGATAATCAGCGTGTCAATGTGTGGTACTGTTTGTGGCAAGCATGAGGGGTAGAACGAACTCTCTTCCATGTAGCTCTCACTGGACTGCAATAGGCACATCATGAAAAGTGGTGAAAAGTTCATCAAGCGAGAGCAAAGAAATCCCAGCATGCTATACTGCCTAGTCTCAACTTCAGGACCCAGTTCAAGTAGATAAGCAGTTCTAATCTGACCACAGAGAACACTGTTGTTACCATGTAATCTTATTTAGACTTCAGTTGAGTTTTACACTAAATCTAAAATTTTCATTTTTATTAACTCAAATTTTTGGACCTCATCATCTTTGTCTGTACAGTGTGACTGCCTCCAAAAGTGAATTGAAATTGATTTAAAAACTCCTACGTGACATCAAACTATTGCAATAACATAGGAGAGCAGAAAAGAGCAGGGGGTGAAACCTGGGCTTTGAAACCCTCTGCCCCCTTACTAGCTGGGACCTCTAGCAAGATGCTTAAGCTCTATGAGCCTCAGTTTCCCCTTCTTCATATGGGTAAAATAGTGTCTTGGAGACTCTCCATAGTCCTCAATAAATGTTTATTTATTCTTCAGCTGAGACACTAAAAATTACTTTTTAATAGCTTTTCTTGGACTCCTTACAAAATTCTCGGGGAGGTCCTAGATTAGCTTCTAGTGTTCTACTGCTTCAGTGAGAGAAGTCTCCTTCTCTCCCTCCCTCCTTCTCTCTCCCCCACCCACTTCAAGTCACTAAGCTTCTTATCTCTGGAGGTGGTCACTTGGAGAGGCTGGAAAGTTTGTCTTGGGAGTCACACAAACATGGTGTGGTTTTTAAAAAATGTAAATCATGGCACTCACACTAATGCAAAGAAATATAATGATGTGGAAAATAAAGAAAGGACTGGGTGGAAGTGGGGGTCTACTGAGTATCTTCTGTGTGCAAGGTACATATGCCTATTACTTTATTGAAACAGCACAGCAACCCAGAGAGACAGGCCTTATTATCTGTGTTGTAAACACAAGAGTAAACTGCAATTCAGGGAGGTTAAGTAACATGTCTAGGCAGCACATAGTAAATACAGTCGTCCTTCAGTATCTGTGAGGGATTGGTCCCAGGACCTCCCAAAGATTCCAAAATCTGGGGATGCTCAAGTCCCTTGAATAAAATGATATAGTTTTTGTATGTAACCTATACACATCCTCCTGTATACTTAAATCATCTCTAGATTATTTATAATACATAATACAATGTAAATGCTATGTAAATCATTGTTTCACTGTATTGCTTAGGGAAAAGCAACAAGAAAAAGAAGTCTGTAGATGTCCAGTACAGATGCAATTTTTTAAAAAAAAATTTCTATCAGCGGTTGGTTGAATCCACTGCTGTGGAACCCACGGATAGAGAGGGCCAACTATATTTACAGCACAGTAGTCAAAGGGTAAAGACAAAACTCAAAGCCAGGTCTGTATAATGCCAAAGTTTATGTCCTTCCCAAGGCATTAAAGAAAAAGGAACAGAAGAAAGGTTGGAAAGAGAAAGGTGATGGCATAAAAGGAAACTGCACTTAAGTTCATATATAGGCTGATGCATCTATGCTTATGTGGACGAAGTGGCTGAAAGTCCCTAATGGCTTCGGTGATAAAAATCTATAAAGGGAGTACACAGTTGCTCCCAAACATGTAGGCATGCAAAGCCTCATTCCACTTTATGGCCCTGTGATTGCAGCCTTAAGGTGATAGAAAGATGCAAATGCTTCTCAACCAGTTTTAGGAGAAATTGATTCTCTCATGAACACCACTGTGTTAAGTGGAGCCACTTGCCTGCTTGCAGCCTCCCTCAACCGTGATGTTTTAACATCAACACATCATAGAGAACAGTGTCATTTGCAAAGGGTAAGAAAGAAGTTGCCTGCTTCAGTAGCTGATAGGATAAACAGATGTGGACATATCTCAAGTGAGTAAGGAACCTCTGTCCAGAGAGAGATGGGAAAGCAGGTGTTTTTGCTGAATATCCAGCTGGAGACCTGCTTCACAGAGGCTGGAACTGCTGATCATTCTTGCACCAGAGGAAAATTTAAAGAAGTAATGAGTGTTTAAATAGTAGGTATCCTTCACTGACCTGGACAGCTCTGTTTCAAGGACCGCAGCATTAAGAGGGTGCTGCTGTCCACAAGATGCAGAGCTGGGTCAAAGAACACATCCCATCGTAATTAGAAACAACCTGGGCCCATTGATCCTGTTTGAAACCTTTATTGTACCCAGTTTGCAGGAACCACGAGGGCCGCCTGTTCAGTGATATTTGCATTAAGATATAAGGTTCGGGCAAATGAGAAAAATAGCTCCAGCCTCTTAATAAAGCATCTGGTCTTTCTTTCCTCCTTCTCTCAGCCATTAAGAGAGACATAAAAGCACCCATTTTGGAGGAAAGGGAAATGCCACAGACCTAACTTCAACACATTTTGGAGAGTGATGATGGCATTCAATGGAGGATAATAATAAATATCGACTGGGTGTAATAGATGTTCCATTTTAGATCTGAAACCACTATCACAAAAACGTAGAAAAACTGAATTCGTAAGTACTTCTAGAAAAAAATATCTTTTCAAAAAATAAAGGTTGGTTGTATACGTATTATCTTTTGAGGGAGAAGGCAAGTCTTTTCTTTCAGATGATTCTGTTATGTTCGTTTTCTTTCTCTCTACCCACCACCCCCACCCCAAACACACAGCCCTGAGCCAATGCAGTTTACTTGGATGTTTATTGCACATTTATTGCACTTTACTTGGATGTTTCAGATACAGTCTCATGGCCCACTGGGACTCTGCTGCTATAGTCACGACCTTAGTAGGCCTGAAAGTATTGTGGCAAACTCTGTCTTTATCTCAAAAGTCTGCAACAGTCTCAACCAGGCTTACCTGTGGTATGCTCTAGCTTTTTGCCATCACCATCTTTGTAAACGTTCTTTGTTTGTTTGTTGTTGGCTTAAAGGTGGCTACTTTGTTTTGAATTTTATTTTTACTTTTTGTGGGTACAAGGTAGGTGTATATATTTACGGGGTACATGAGATGTTTTGATACAGACATGCAATGCATAATAATCACATCAGGGTAAATGGGGCTATCCATTATAAAGGCAGCTATCTTTTTTTTTTTCCCCCGCGACGGAGTTTCGCTCTTGTTGTCCAGCCTGGAGTGTAATGGCGCGATCTCGGCTCACCACAACCTCTGCCTCCCAGGTTCAAGTGATTCTCCTGCTCCAGCCTCCTGAGTAGCTGGGATTATAGGCATACATCACCATGCTCAGCTAATTTTGTATTTTTAGTAGAGACGGGGTTTCTCCATGTTGGTCAGGCTGGTCTCAAACTCCCAACCTCAGGTGATCTGCCCGCCTCAGCCTCCCAAAGTGCTAGGAGTACAGGTGTGAGCCACCGTACCCGGCAAGGCAGCTAATTTTTACCTCTTAATCTAAACCTTTAGTTTTAGAATTCCAGACCTGATTTTGTACAATTCCTCTGGAAAACTCTACTTACATGTATGGCTTACTTGTAAAACTCACACAGTATGTCCCCAGACTGTAATCATTACCTTCATTCCCAAACCTTCCTCTTGATTTTCTTTTTTTTTTTTTTTAATTTCCAACTTTTATTTTAAGTTCAGGGATACATGGGCAGGATGCTCAGGTTTGTTACATAGGTAAGCGTGTGTCATGGTGGTTTGCGGCACAGGTCATCCCATCGCCCAAGTATTAAGCCCAGCATCCACGAGCTATTCTTCCCGATGCTCTCCCTCCTTCCATGCCCTGCCCTCTGACAGGCCTGAGTGTGTGCTGTTCTTCCCCGTGTGTCCATTTGTTCTCATCATTTAGCTCCCACTTGTAAGTAAGAACATGCGGTATTTGGTTTTCTGTTCTTGTGTTAGTTTGCTAAGGATAATGGCCTCCAGCTCCATCCATGTCCCTGCAAAGGACATGACCTTGTTTCTTTTAATGGCTGCATAGTATTCCATCATGTATATGTACCACTTTCTTTATCTAGTCTATCACTGATGGGCATTTAGGTTGATTCCATGTCTTTGCTATTGTGAACAATAGCAGTGCTGCACTGAACATATACGTGCATGTGTCTTTATATCAGAACAATTTATATTCCTTTGGGTATATACCCAGTAACGAGATTGCTGGGTCGAATGGTATTTCTGCCTCTGTCTTTGAGCAATCACTACACTGTCTTCCAGAATGGTTGAACTAATTTACACTCCCACCAACAGTGTAAAAGCGTTCCTTTTGCTCCACAACCTTGCTAGTATCTGTCGTTTTTTTACTTTTTAATAATAGCCTGGTGTGAGATGGTATCTGATTGTGGTTTTGATTTGCATTTCTCTAATGATCAGTGATTTTGAGCTTTCTTCCATGTTGCTGGCCACATGTATGTCTTCTTTGAGAAGTGTCTGTTCATGTCCTTTACCCACTTTTTAATGGGGTTGTTTGTTTTTTTCTTGTAAACTTGTGTAAACTGTTTACAATATTGCTGAACTCGGACATCTGCTTCAGATGCAGAAACAAATGCCTCCTATAATTTGCTGTTAAGAAAACTGAGGTCCAAAAAGGTCACTTGCCGAATGTAGGACAGCTCAAAAGTGGCAAAGATGAGCAGCAGCTGAGAACTCCTGACTTCTCTTAGTGAGCTCTTTCCCTGCCTTATGCTACTTTCAGAAGGGAGCCAAAATTCATTCACTTCTCCTTGGCTTGCTGCCTGATGTTCATTACTACCACTGCCTGATTTCCATCTTACCAACTCCCTGTTTTCTACTGGGAGGCTCTGTGCTAAGATGCTGATGCAGATAGAGATGGAAACAGCCCCTCCCCTTGCATCACCCCCAGGACCTCACTATTCAGTGGATGGGCCCCATAGCTTTTGCTCATTATTCCAAAATAGAACACATACACAAATTAACAATAATCTTCCAAAAAGAAATTATTACTCTGTTGCCAAGAATACCACCTGGAAAGTGAAGATGTTGCAGAGGCATGTAAGGTGGGATGACTGGCAAAGGCTTCTGGTTGGAGAAAGCCTTAGAGGGTTGCATGACTGTTCACTGTGGAGGGGGCAGGTGGGAACTAAGACATTTCAGGTAGAAGGGCCAGGCCAAGACAGCAGCGTGTTAAAACAGACAACTCCATGCTTATTGGATTTGTAGACACTCAAATTAGACTAGTTCATTCTTTGCTTAAGGAATTTCAAGCATTTGTCTGAAGTAATGGATGGATGTTTTCCTTTAACTGAAAGTTTGGTTTAAAATATTACAGCTGAGAATAAAGATTGTGTCTGATTACTATTTTTTCTAAGAATATGACAGAGAAGAAGGGGTGGGGGAAGCTCTGAAGTATAAGCTCAGAATATTGGTATTTATTTGCTTGAGGTGTTGAGTATATGGGTTATTTTTGCGTTGCTCTCCCTAACTTTTTCTTTGTAATTTTATTAAAAATGAAGCAAACTGCAAAAAATAGTATGCCTGAATCCAAGCATTTTTCCTAGCCAGTAAAAAGATATCTGGAGAGTGACTTTAAAGGAGCAAACCAGAGATATTTTAGCACCTAGAGTTTTCCACATACCTTTGTCAAAGTCCTTAGAGGATTTAAACTAAAATAAAGCAATTGCTGAACTTTGACAGGACGACTCTCCCTAATAATTTCTCCTCTGTTTACTCTCAGTATAGTTAATAGAAATACAATCTCCCAGTCACAACTTGAACCTTCCTGATCTCCACTCTGCCTGGGATTGCTCAGGCCTAAACGGCTGCAGGGATGTGTTCTTTCCCCAGTTTTAGAGTAGAAGTCAACTTCAAACCTGGCTCCTACAGAATTAATAACAACCTGCAAGTCGCTCCGTTGAGCTCTGAATAACAGCCCCAAATAACAATGTCATCAGTCACGAATGATTTAAACTTTGACCTAACCCTATAAATCCTTACTGTTTTCTTGTTGTTTGTCAACATTTTTGGTAAGACAGTCTCAAGATCAGGAAGAAAGTGAAAACATTTCCTTGAACTAAAATGTTGGCATCAGGTCCTTTGGTGTTTGCTGCCTGTGTCAGCCCTCATTGTATTTCCTGCCTCTTTCGATGAGCTCTGATGCTTTCCCAGAACCCTGAAAGCCAAAAATAGAGTTTCTATTTGATTACAAGCTTCTGATTATACAAAAAGAGGCATAATATCATTTCAGGATCTGCTCCATAACCAAGCATGATATTGATGCTGACTGGTGCTTATCATCAGTAAAGTATCTATATACACAGTACATTTTCTGTTCATCTGTGTATGTCCAGACACATCGAGAACAGACATGATATGGAAGAATTATATCTTGAATTTCTATAATTTTCCCACATTTTTGGGGAAATTCATTTCGTTTATCCGAAAAAAGCCTGCTTTATGTCTCAGTGAGCTCAGTGAAAACTGCAAACCCACACATTTTAACCTATTATTAAATTTGATAGATATTTCAGGTTTTTTTTTCTGAAAATTACTAATATCTTTATTGGCTTTGCTCATTTACTTTTATGTAAAAAGTGACTCATTAGCCTGGCTTGATTTACTTAGCAAAATAACGTAGGTGTTTTCCAAAGGCAGTTTATCAGTTTGAATTGTGGTGGAGAGAAGACGATTCACTAGGTGCCTCTTCCCAAACCAGAGTCAACTCTAGGATACCACCGCATAAAATGTTCATTTGCTTTTAATGTGAAATCTTATCTTTGGAATTAATAATTATCCCCAAACATCCTGAAAATATGCTTCCTTAGAGCGAATGAAAATAAATTCTACGAAATTATAGGTTTGTTTGAATGTCTCTACCACTTGATGACTTGACTCCTTAAACAGGTGACTTCAGGGTCACCGCACAAACAGAACAGTCCTGTTCTTTGGCAGCATCTGGAGGAATCATTTTGGTGTTCATTGTTTTTGAAGTCTGCCCTGAGGCTCCTTAAGTTTAAAGAAAAATACGATTTGCTATCCCCTGTTTCTCTAGATCTGGATGAGGCCAAGTTCATTTCAGGAGTATAGGTACACAATTTCTTATCTGCAATTACAAACAAAACAAAAACAAACCCTGAAAACCAAAATGTTTTTTCTACTCATTGTGTGACAAGCTTGAGTTGGCATGAGACCATTTGTAGTCCTTATTTATCCCTCTTAGGATGAATATTTATGCATTTTGCTGCAAATTATGAACAGGTATGATTATTAAAAATTGCTCCAGACTCCACTGGTGTATGTTTCCCATGTTACTTTTCCAAAATCTAAAAAATTTCAAAAAAAAAAAAGATTGGGACACTACATGCCTTCGTTCCTAAAGAGATTAAAAACAGGATATAAAGTGATGGAGAAAGGAAATCCTTGAGAGTAAATTCCCAACACTGGTTTTGCTAAAATGAGAACGTCTCTTAATTATTCCACAGTGTGTTGTGAAATTCTCACAGAATTTAAAAAAAAAAGTAATCTGATTTCACATATTTTTAAAAGTGTATGTCGTATCATACTTGCAAGAATAATTCAGAGATGAGGAATTGCTGACTGAGTTACTTATTTTTCATTTCCTATGTTCTGGGCTTATAATGACAGTTTTCCAGGCCCCTCTCCAGACAAAGGACCGACAAGAACAGACTTCCACAAAATAAGTGATGTTCCCAGAGCAGATGTAATCTTGGTAGCAAGGTCCCAAAGCCTCTCCTAAGTAAGTGATATCATCCAGAAGCAGCAGAAGTGACTGCCTCCCCAGGCTCAGCAACCCCTCCACCTGAGTGAGCTGCATTTCTTCCCATCTGATGGCCAACTACAAGGGAGTCAGCACTCCTTCCTCTCTCTGTAGAAAATGGACAGACTTCACAGGCTTTTTGTGCACTTGGTGATGGTGTCTCCAAAGGAGATTCCATGATGTCAGAGCCTGTAATCATTTTCTCCCCAATGGAATATGCCTGGTCACGGCATTTTCCAATCCCTGGCATCAGAAGCAATTGTCAACTGGCAGTATCTGCCCTCTGCTTTGTTACAGGTACCTGCCTTTAATTTTCAAATATCTGTAATTTTCTTTTGATGAATAACCCCAGAAGTTTAGGAACTAGTTACTAAAATTAAGAATTTGGATTTCTGGAATATTTGGGGAGGACAACTGTTATCTTGGACAACAGGTAGGGGTGGTAGAGAAGGAAGACAGACTCTCCTATTCCTCTCTGAGGTGCCCTCCACTGGCTGTCCCTCACCTTTCTTTCTCCCAAAGTGGACACTGGGCGTCAGACAACAACGTAATCAATTTTAAGTCTGAAATAAAATGGAGGCAAATGGTTAATATCAGATAACTTGGATACAAGGTTAATTACTGCAATCCAATTATCAGGAGGGAAGACAGCACATGAATATCACCAATTAACCCCTAAATCAAATTTAAAAATCACCATTCCCATAATTAATAGCACAGCAATCACTTTAATTACCATCTCTGCCAGACCAGAATAAGGAGGAAAAGTGAAATTATCCAATAAGTTTGAGTGTGACAAGAAGAAACCAAACTAAAGTGCTGAGGGTCAGACAAAAGAGAGGTGATAAATCAGAGAGAAAGTGAGTGTGAGACACACACCCAGCCCTGCAGGCATGCCTAGGCGTGTCACTCTAGCATAGCACAAGGATCCCTGCACGTGTGTGCTTGCCTTTCTTTGGGAGGAAATGGAGGCACAGAAAATGGATAAACGTCTCTAGAAGCTACTTAGCCCTGGTTACTGGGAAGCAGAGAGGTCAACCTGCATCATCCAGGCTTTCACTAGTAAGGATTTCAAGTTCTGAGCAATGAGAAGGAAAATACACACCTATGGAACACATGGAGAGTAACAACACATGAACGTCTTTCAAAGAGGAGATTCCCCACGTTCACTTTGAATAACTAAAAGACTAAGGCAGAATGACTTTTTTCTCAAACACGGTATTTTCCTACTGGGTTAACATAGTCTTTATCTCTCCTAAGAGTTAAAAAAAAAAAAGTCATTCTAAAATGTTATGCAAGAATAGGCAGATGTGTTCTTCACATATCTATTTAATCAGCTCTTTCCAGCAGCACTAAGACATGAAAGAAAGGTTGAGTGTCGTCCAGAATCCTCAATGAGAAGAGAGCAAAGTGCTGTGTTGAGCTCCAGTCTTGCAAGATTCCCCAAGCTGGAACACTGCTCCACTATTTGGAAGTAAGGGAGCTAAGGGCACCTCCTCCATTCTCACACAAAAGGTACATTTGAGGAGTCATTATCAATAATTTTTCCAATTTTTTGAAAGTAATTCTATTCCAAAGGAACACTGCTTTTGTACACCACAGGGTACTTTTTTAGTGTTTTGGGAGGTACAAGCAAGAACATGAGATGTGAGAAAATATCGTACAAGTGTGTAGGCATTGAAAGGATGTTCCTTTGACTGTTCAATTAAACCCAGAAACAGCTTTTGTTAGTAATTTTCCTGTACTCATTCATTCACTCATCGAATTCAGTCACTTTAGAAATGGCTGAGTTTCTAATATGTGCAGGCAAGGCACTGTGCGGGAACAGTGCGGATATTGGGGTCATGGGCTCACCCATGGGTTCTGCCCTTGGGAAGTCTCCAGACCACTGCAGACTATACATAAGTGGCTATAACGATGCTGTGTGTACACACACACACACACACACACACACACGCACACACATACATTATACATATAATACAGACTTACATAAAACACTGTGAGTTAAGAGGACCAAGAGACGTAATATCCAAGTATGGATTCTATTTCCAAAGTACATGCCAAATCTGCCCACTTCCCTATGTTCTACCTACAATCCTCTTAATCTAACCTAACCTCAGCTCCTGCCTCATGACAATTGCTATCTACTTAGTCTTTCTACTTCCACTTGGCCCTCCTTCAGTTTAATCTCCACACAGCAATCAATGGTCTTTTAGAAACATAGATCATGTTATGTCCTCCCTTCCATAAAGCCTTCCAGTGGCTTCTTAATGTATTAACAACAAAATTAAACCCTCTATTCTGGGCACAAAAGGCACCACCCAACTGGTTGACCCCATCATGTTCCATTCCCACTCTGTTCCAGCCCCTGTGCCTTGCTTTCCTCAAATGCACAAGCTCTCATTCCTGCCTCATGGACTTTCTGCTCTCTCACCTTGGAATGATCTTTCTTCCAAGATCATAAAATGTCACTTCCTCAGACAGGCCTTCCCTGAGCCCCCAAAGCAGCCTGATGCTTTTTTTTTTTTTTTTCATCACTTTATTCTACATTTCTGCAATGGATTTGTTCCTAATTGAGATTTTCACTTGCTTTTGTCTGTTCCTCCCCTCCACTAGAATGTAAGCTCTATGTGGGTAAATTGGTCTTATTAATCACTGTATCCCTCCCATTCAAGAACAAAGTCTAATGTACAGTAAACTCTTAACAAATATTCATTAAATAGTGAATGAAGCTCTAAAAAAAGAGTATCAGGACAATTTCTGAAAAATCAGTACTAAAACAAGGAAAAGGGGAGATGCAAGGGGCAGAGACTGGCATTTTTCAGATATCTGAAGAGAAACCTAGAGGACAGTTGTGAGGGTAGACCTAAGATCAATGGGTAGAAACTATAAAGATGATTTCTGCTCAAAATAGGGAGGAACTTTCTAGCAGCCCCTGTAACACACACATGGACTAGCCTACCTAAGGGGATGGGGAGGCCAGATGAGTGCTAGGACAGAAGGAATATTCTCCAGGAATTTAGACGCAGGATGCAGGGCTAGACCAGACAACATTTAGGGTCCCCATGGAGAACCTGACTGCCTATGGTTCTTGGATCCTCTGACAAGTCTTTCCTCCCACGTAGTGAGGAAGTACTGTTCAGAGCAGGAAGCCACAGATGGTCCAGAAGGATCCTGCTGTGGACTCAAACTCTTGCTGGCAGCTGCTCCTAGGGCTCTGTTGTAATAATGTCCCTGGAATCAAAAGACCAAAAGAAAGTCCTCAGGCTTTGGCCAATCCTCATTCATTGTCTCCCAGTTTGACCAGATTGTATAGGATATAGATCTACAGCCAAAAAGCATTTGCAAGGAGACAGATGGCAAGAACCTAATGAACATCATGGCCAATGACAGAAAGTCTCTAGGGATGGAGACATCCAGCATCTATACAGCTCTACCTCTTTTTCACTACAAAGCCCAGAGGTGTGGATTGTGGAATACAAAGTGAAGCTCTGGTTGTGTGGCCTTCCTGGGACTGTCAAGCACTGGCTTGTTACTAAGGCTCGATTGCCAATGACACACAGACCCCAGGAGATGGTTTAACTCTACTCTTGTCTCAAAGCCCTTCCCAGTGACTCATAACTTTCTTTGACACCAGAACAGCTGGGCCAGCCAGCTGGAGAGAAGACATACAGATGTAGCTGGCTGGAGTTTGAGGGGTAACGGGGCTGTGCAGTCAGCCTAGTATCCTGCAGTGGGCTACAGACTGGAAGTCTCCCCCTCTGCAGACAAGTCATGGGTGGGGACACTGGCTCTGTCATGACCGTCTCTCATCCTTCAACACATGTGTGTTTAGAATAGAAAGCACTGCAGCTCTTCTTCAATGGCCAGTTGGGGGATGTTTTATTTCTTTGGGGAATATTAGATCCTTGAGCCAATCCATCTGGGGAAGGTATGAGAGAGAGTACTCTGGCCAGAACATACCACCTACCCAGATGTCTCGGCGTAAAACAGAACTCAAATGAGAGAATGTGTGAAAGGCTGAGAAGTTAGAGGGGTGAGGGAGAGAAAGAGATCATTTTTGTTTCTGAGAAAAACATTTAAAACAAAGACTGACTACCCTTTCACTAACATAATTTTAGATTAGTTGTTATACACCAGAAAAAAAGTATGAAACATATATGTGTAAAATCCTCATTAGAAATGGCTTGTTTAGGCAACATTGTGCACATTGAAGGTACTTATTAAATATTTGTTGATTTTGATCCAAATAGCTTTGGGTATTTTTAAATATCAGTGCATTCAGTACCCCAGTGATTGTAAAGGGGGCTGTTTTTTGTTAATGAAACTTGAAATACAAGCCAAGATTGACTGATTTTTTAAAGTGTCGTGAATATTGCAGTTCTCATATATAAGCAACTAGTAACAGTGTCTCTGAGGGAGGAGGTGTAGGAGGTCAGATTTGGGTAAGAAACTCACTTTTTATGTTGTACATTTTTATGTTTTATTGACAATATTTTTCTTGTGCATGTGTTTTTTTAGAACAAAATAAAACTAGTTACTATTTTTTAAACTCTTTGTCTCTAGAGGCAAACCTAGAGCTTAGACCTACTGATAACCTGCCAGTTCCCACTAAACTAGAAAGAAAAAAGGATTTTTCCCAGGATCCCGTCTCTTCGCAGTATGGTCAGCCAATAGAAATATTCTGGAATACAGGATGCGGGTGAGGGAATTTATAGGCATTGTGGTGTCAGTAGTGATAATTCTAGTCGATCTGTGATGCAGATGGATGTATATGGTGGCTGGTGGTTTACACAGCACTATAAACCCGCCTGCGTGCCATATGAATGGCTAATTTATTAGCTTTCAAATAAAAATGTAGCAAACTCAGAAAGGCAGGCCACAGTGCAGTCTAACACAAAGAATCAGATGAGCTCAAAGCAAATAACCTTCATATTTTTTATTTTATGCTCCATAAGTGGGATTCCAGTACTGCAGATGGGAACTTTTTTTTTTCTCCCTTCTCTATCTGCACGTTGATTTCTGGGCAGGCACCTGCCCCCTTGTTCTCTGTCTTCACTGGCCTTTCTTCCTGTTCATTTCCTATGGCAAAGGAAGCCCAAATGCTGCTTTTGAAGCATCCCCAAAGGACACCTGACATTTTAAAAGCTGAATGAGTGTCCTCCCCTGAGACAGTCATCTTCGACCATCTCAGAATGACTGCTCCCAGAGAAGACAGGAGATTGACTAAACTAGAGAGAAAAGAAAGAATTCATCAGGAGAGCGAGGAGGGCAGTGTGGAGAGGTGCCCACTGTGCAAGGATGTGGTCAATGAGTTTCCTCCATCCCATCCCAGTACCCTTTCTGGGAACTGAGCTGCACATGACCACCTCCTCTTTTCTCTTTTTATTCATTTATTCAACTAACACTGAGCTAAGCACTAAGAAAGGAGCAAAGGCATGTTTCCTCCTTTTTTGGTTCTCCTTCTCCTCAGAGCTGAGTCTATTTTGACCACTTTGAGGTTGCTTTTCTCACCGGGTGGGTCACATTATGCTTTTTCTCTTGGGGTTTAAGGTCTTACTGGGGTGGGAGACAGCAGTTTCTTTTCTTTTTGAGACAGGGTCTTGCTCTGCTGCCCAGGCTGAAGTGCAGTGATGCAATCTCTGCTCACTGCAACCTCCACCTCTCGGGTTCAAGCGATTCTCCTGCCTCAGCCTCCCGAGTCTGAGACTACAGGCACGCGCCACCATGCCCAGCTAATTTTTGTATTTTTTGTAGAGACGGGATTTCATCATGTTGCCGAGGCCGGTCTCGAACTCCTGGGCTCAAGTGATCCACCCGCCTCAGTCTCCCAAAGTGTTGGGATTACATGCATGAGCCACTGCACCCGGCCTAGACAGCAGTTTCATATTTTTATGCAAAAATATGCATAAAACTGAGTATAGACCAGTGCTTTCCAAACTTGCCTGCACATTGGAATCACCTAGAGAGCTTCAAAAATTAAAGATGTCTGTGTTCCATACCCAGAGATTTTGACTTAAGTGGCTTGGGTGTGACCTGGGCTGTGAAAAATTTTAGTAGAACCCCAGGTGATTCTAGTGAGTAGACAAATATCGGAGCCGCTGATACAAATACAAATGGCATCCATATTACAATCCTAATCCCTTTCATTTCAATGCCTTCAGCCACAGCCAGGGATAATTAGCCATGATTCAAAAACCTTTACTTGTGCCAGCTGCATGGAGTGGCTTTAAAAATATCTAAGTTTATTTCATGTCCAATAACAACTGGACATTGAAACCTACCCTCATGCCAACCCACTTACAGAATATAATTTAATCCATTAAAAATTACAGGGAGGCATACAGAAACTTCTTTTCCAGCATGGGGCGTGCAAAGTATTTCTAATGCAAACACAGACAATAGGTATGTTTTCTTTTATGACAAGGTTGAAATAAAGCAGACCTAATGATCCCACCCAGATGCTGTGGAGAAGAAGCCATGTGAATACTGCACGAGGAAGCCTATCTCCCAGCCTTATCAAACCCACTTTTCTCTTCAACTGTGCCCTGGTAACCTGGGAAATATAAATTTTGATTACTGATTGCTGCATTGTTAGTAACTGACTATTTATCATCAGTAGCTGGTCACCAGTGTCAGTCCAGACTTAATTATCTCAGCTGAAGGGAAAGTAACCCCATGAAAGAATTGTTTTCCAATTAAAGCAGCATGGAACATGTGATTTGTCTCTCTGACCATATCCAGTTCATACTCCTTTTCAAGTTATTTGTATTGTCTTCTTTTCCTCATTACAAGCTCGGGTTGTGAATCTTAGGTTCCCTAGCAAGAAACACATAAATATCAAGAGGGCAGCTGTCAGACCTTTAAAAAAAAAAAATCATGAACAGTCACCACCAAAAACATTACAGTAATTACAGAGTTTCCACTAGCAAATGCTACACTTAGGGTTAAAGACATCTTTCAACATAACCATTTATTTTCATAGGTTCCTAACCTCCTATAGAATGTGTGTATAATTACATGGGTATGTATACACACACACACACACAGACACACACACACACACAATTTTTAGAGCTTATTCTTTAGGGGTTAGGATCAGATGCTCTATGCTGTGTTATAGCTATTGGGTCAATGACAAGGAAACAAGGAAACCATTTTTCTACTAGCACAAGTATTTTAGGTAAAGATCTAGACAATGGCATCTCTGAACTCTTCATTTTTCTTATCTTGTTTTTGCCATTAGTTTGATATTTATTTTGCATGTCTGCCCATTTGCCTATCTAGACAATTCTTTATTCCTGGAGCAAGGACAAAAGTTTATCTTCTCTGTGACTAACTCAACCCTGATCACTTTGTAAACATGGCCTTTGAAGTCTGGGTTGTTTAAGAAAATATTTATTCAGCACCTACTGTGTGCCAGGCATGTTCCCGACACTGAGTATTCCCCATGAACAGAAGAGGTCTCTGCTTTCATGGAGCTTATATTCTAGTGGGCTTCCACCCTAGTCCTTCCATTAGTGGCTGAGTGGCCTTGGGTTATTTAATCTGTGTAAGGCTCAGGTTTCTGTGCTCTAAAGTGGGATAATGATGTTTTCCCTTCGTACAGCTGTTATTAGGATAAAGAGCTCCTGGCCCATGAAGAGTTATTTAATTAATGTAAGCTTCCATTTTCTTCTCAGTCTCCTGTATCCTTTGAGTTTCACTGGAAACTCAAAGTATCCTCACCTTTCAGCATTTTGAATTTTGTATACTTGTTTCCTATACCTATATACCATCCCTTGTTTCCTAAAAACATTTTCCTACTGTAGTTCCAATTTCCCCCTGTCCTCAAAACTTCCCACCCACAGCCTTCTGTGTCTTGCACTGGAGCTGCCTATATTTCTTAGAAGATGGTAACGGCAGTTTGGTGTTTAACCAAAATTTTGTGGAAACTTAAATTATTCCTTTGGGAAAAAGAGGGCACATTTTTCAGTACCGTGCCAATGTAAAAAGGAGGAATAGCCTATAGTCATTGGTGGTAAGTCATTATCTACTTGGCTTGTAGTTCTCTTCCCAACTGCATTACAAACACCTCAAAGGGAGGGGCCGTTTTACTTCTATTTACTTTCAGCAATTCAAATTAAGCATTTATTGTCTATATGAGCAAGGAACTGTTTCAGGTGCTGTGGCCAGTACAAAGATGAAGGCTGGCTGGAGGAAGCAGCATTTAAAAACCTCTCTGGAATCTTTTCACCTAGCAGCCAGCTGCCCTAGGTTAAGAATATATACCAGAATTTCAATAAACTGCCCCTAACAGAAAGTTTTAAGAATTTTTCACTCTTCGATTGACTTGGGTGGGTGGGTGAGGGCTTTGGAGGGATGGCTCTTATTGGATCTTCCTTTGCCTTTTCCCCCCTTCTTTTTTATCCTTTGTGTCTTGAACTACTCTTCCCATGACTATGGTTTTTCTTTTCAATCATTTTCCTATTAACAGCCCCTCCCCACTCCACTTTTCTATCCTTTCCCTTTTCTGCCTTGTGAATTTCTACCCTTTTCTTAAGACACTCTTCAAACATCACCTTCTCTGTGAAGTCTCCCCTGATTCCCACTGACAACTAACCACTAATGTCTCTCTTTTTTCTTTCGAAATACTTGAGTGAGCTCTATCATAGCAATCAAATTGACATTATTTGTTTACTAATCTATCCACACCATTAGTGAACCTGGCAAGGGCAAATGAATGTTTGATTGGTAAACAAACGGATCAATGAATGATCTAAAATACAATCCCTGTCCTCAGAGGATTTACAAATTATGGGGTAGACAGGTATACCAATAAAAAGCTGCAAAATAAAGTATAAACACATACGTCGTATAAGAAAGAAAAACGCTATAGATTTTAAGTTTTAACTTTTCCAAGGGGCTTATATTACTTACTTAGCTCACTTTATAATGAACTGTCGCCCTTGAAGAAGTTACTATAGATTGCACTAGGCTTTCTTTTTTAAAGGCCTTAGTGCTAGCTCAAAACTCCTGTTCTATATACACGCCCAGGTAACGCACATCAGACTGACACCCAGCATTTGCCTTTCTACTTGCAAATACAGGTCTTGAAATATACATGAAATGTAAGATGCTGGTATTCTTACAGTAACACAGCAGTTTCACATTCTATGAAATCCCTGACCTAGTTACATTGCTGAGGGCACAGCTTAAGTGCATATAATGCCCAGCATGAGGAAAAAACTGTTATCTTGAGAAAAGTAAATTTTGCATTCCCCAAGTTCTGTATTTTTAAATCTGTGACCTTAATATTACATTAGATATTTTATTCAATTATATGGACAATGAAATAAGAACTGAGAAAGATATAGCTGGCCCCGAATCTCCTGGGTGTGAAAAGATGATATTTATTGTGTCTACTCCCGACAATAAAGTTTAAACTGTTACTTAAAGCTCCAGCAAAATATCAATTCAAACACAAGTTAATTCTTCACAGTCATACTTAACATTATATATTTTTTTCTGAACTAAAAAAAAAGAAGCAATTGAATATTTCTGCCCTAAAAAATGGATAGAGTTGGATCTTTCAAAATGTTGGAAAAAGAAAATTAAACATGGCCAAAAGACGAATATTGCCAAATTAAACAAATGGATTTGGGGTTTGCAAAATAAAATAAACTATTCCTAATGCTTCAATACGAGGAAATACATGCGCTTTTTTCTACTTGCATGGAAGTATTTCTCACATAAGCACTTTCAAAACAATGATCTTTTATACCCAATAAGCCATGAAAAGTTGAAAGTATAAGGGAGGTTGAGGAAGAAATTCTTATCCACCTTCTTCCTAAGAGCTGATGTCCTGTGTGCTGGGAGAAAGAAGTCGGTAATGTGTACGTTTAACCTCAAATGTATACAAATGTTTTTCTAACATATTCTTTGTGGTTCAACAATTCTTTTATTTTTTCTTGTCAAACCAGTTGGTTCTAATGAGTCTAATGATTAGTCTTCGTAGTCAGAGTTAACAGTATAACGTGACAGTTAGTAACGACTTTCAGTTAAAAGTCAACCCTGTGATGCACAAAACCTTGGATAAGATTAAATTTTAACAGCTTCCAACTAATCTAAAGGCAGAAGTCCAACTCAGGTGTTACTATTTTAATAACACTCAAATCTAAAAAGCATAAAGCAAATGCATATTAAAAGAAGAACAAAGATGCGAATTAGAGAACCAAACAAAGGAAGGAAAACAATACAGGTTTTTCCTTAATTAACAACTTTTGCAAGACATAAGTTGCAGATACAATTTCCTGTAGGTCATATCATTTAGGTGAATCTAGTTGTAAAGCAATTTAGAACTCTCCAGGAACAGTAGAGTTTAAATAACTAACCAACAAATGTGCAGTCTTTTCTTTTGCTTCCTTTTCCTTTCTTCGCTTCCTTAACAATTGGAAAAATATTCTTAAATTATTAATATAGTACCCGATTTGCTTCTCATTTCCCAATTTCATTCATTGAAACTAAAAGTAAATAGCAAGCCTTAGTAAACTTCCAGCCAGGTTTCTTGCTTACAAATATAATGTGGATTTCTGGAAGTGCCCAGTTAAAGGGAAGTACAATCCCACAGACCCCAGTACCTTGCTGACCAATGCCTCCTGCCCAGCCCCATCCTCATTCGCCTTTACAATATCAAGCTGATACTGCAGAAGCAGTTGATTGTCAGGAGAGCCAGCTCAGGTAAATTAACTTAATGAAACAGATGACTTTGTATGTATTGAAACTGACTAGGCGCTCAAATATCCACTCAGCTAATGAGCTTGCGATAGGACCCTGGCAGAGGTGTCATCATTCTGCCACTAAAAGCCTTTCTGCAGCCCTGCATCCTATCTTCCTGTCTGAAAAGCAGGCAGAAGCTTAACAGCCGCCAAGCTTCCAAAATGCAAACAGCAGCAGTTGCCTAAGTTGTGATTGATGGTACACAAAAATACATGGCTACTTCACAGATATTCTAGCCTGCAACAAATTAGGGATCTAAACCTTTGTGCTAGGCAGATAGCCAGTGTATTGTGGGGGACTGCTGTGGCTCTATAATTATATCCAGCCTGATAATCATCCGTTCTACCGCTGTGAATGGCTGTACCCTGGGACTTTAATTTCGCCGTCCCCTTCCAGCAGATAATGCCTGACCCTGTGTCACTTTGACTGTGAAACACATGAAAAAGACAAATGAGTTTTTCTCTGACCATGTTAAATTAACTAACGGATTCAAGTTGTGAAACTGGCATAATAATAAGCCAAGGCTCTGCTGGTACTGGGTGGACATTCAGACAGTCTCTAAGGGTGTTATTAACCTCATGCATGAAAACAAAACACAAACACCAAAAAAGAATCTGGCCAGTGTGAATAAAGAGTCTGTTTAGTGTGAATAGGGATTAACCAAATATTTTATATTCCAACCAGTTATTTTAGTATTTTGAGACACAGCTATAAGAGAGTGTTGAATTACTAGAGGTGAGGAAGGATGGGAAGAAGGAGAGCTTGCTAGAGGTTGGTTAACAGATACAAAAGTACAGCTAGATAGGAGGAATTAATCCTAGTGTTCTATAGCACTGTAGGGTGACTATAATGAACAACAACAACCTATTGTATATTTTCAAACAGCTAGAAAAGCAGATTTTGAATGTTCCTAACACAAAAACACAGTAAATGTTTGAGGTGATGGAAATGCTAATTACCCTGATTTGATCCTTACACGTTGTATACATGTATCAAAATTTCACACAGTATCCCATAAATATGTACAATTTTTATGTGACAATTTAAAATAATAATAAAGGAGGGAAAAAAGAAGACCACGCAGCTGGAGAACATCAGAAGCAGGATTAAAACTCAGTTTTCAATGGTTCCAAAACCATGAAGAATTTCCACAAATCCACACTGTTTCAAAAAAGAAAGAGAAAGAAAGAGTTGTTTTATGGTTTAAAACTAGGCATTAGCTGAAGGCAAACTAACACAGGAACAGAAAACCAAATACTGCATGTTCTCACTTATAAGCAGGAGCCAGACACTGAGTACACATGGACACAAAGATGGAAACAATAAACACGGGAGGCTGCTTGAGGGCGGGTTGGGGGAAGGAGCATAGGTTGGAAGGTTACCTATTGGGTACTATGCTCACTACCTGGGTGACGGGATCATTCATATACCAAGCCTCAATGACACACAATTTACCCATGTAACAAGCCTGCATGTATACCCTCGGAACCTAAAATAAAAGTAGAAGAAAAAATAAAAATAATGACAACAACAACAACAAAAATTAGGCATTAATTGAACGATTTTATAATCAACATTTCCCTCTTTTCTTTCAGAGTTGTATTTTGTTTTCCCAATCAGAAAGTGGCTATAATTCAATATCCTTGAAGATATACTCATTTGAACTAAATGTTGTAAATGTTAAATATCTTAGAAGAGAAATATCTCAGTGTTTACATTACTTTCATGCCAACATAAAAAGGCACTATTGCTTCCAGTAATTAGTAAAAGACATTATAATCTGTACGGAGAGTAATTGTGCAAATTCCAGTCTTGTAGTTATGTAGGCACTCCCTGTTATGCATGGTCTTAATTTTTAATATGTATTTTCTCTTAGCTCACTAAAATATCACGGATTTCATATTAATGCAGCTGAAAAGATAAATGTCCTTTCCCATGTTCCCATCAGAGGTCTGTGTGTTCTGGGAGGTTAAAAAATTATAACTCAGCTGTTCCATACCGTATTAAGATTGAAATCTGGCATCCCAGATGTGAATTTGTTTCCAAAATGAAACAGAATCTGGTAAGCTTTTTTTAAGAGAAAAAAATATTTTAGAAGCTTATTTTTAAAGTAGACTCATATTGCGTTCATGGGTGCTTTTAAGATAAAACTGTATACAGTTTTATTTAAAACTGTTTGGACTTCTGATGGGTAAAACCCCACATTTATCTAAAATTTTTACCTTTAAAAACAGGCCAATGAAAATGCAGAAGTTGTATTACCTTTCTTAATCAGTGACCAAAAATACATGCTTGCCTTTTCTTTAGGTGGTATATTTTCAAAAAAGCTCTCTCTGCCCAAGAGGAATTTATTTTTGCAAAGTAATATTTTATTGTGTGTTTACTGTATGACAGACACAGACCTAGCTCTTGATGTGTAATGACTCACTTAATCCTCACAATAGCTTTAGATATATGCCATTATTATCCCCATTTGACAGATAAGGAGACTTCCCAAGGTCACCTGCTAACTAGTAAGTTGGGGAACAGGGATTTGAACCTGGGACAAACTGGCTCTGAAGCTCACATTCTTAAGTACTATGTGTATTGCCCCTCTGATCATAGTCATTTCCCTAATCTTACCTTCACTAAACATTTAATAAGTGCCAATTAATCTATGTGCAGGGCACTATACTAGAGTTGAGTGTGGGGTTGGGGGAGGCGGTGGGGATTGGGGGGATCCAGAGTAGAGAAAAGGGGTCAATAAAGTTTTTTTAAAAAATGCAATCTCTACACAGTTCTGCAGGTCAGATGGACATGACTCAATGACTACAACACAAAGTAAACGCTGCACTTTGCAGATTGGTCCCTCCAGCTTTTGGGAATTGTAGGACCTGTAGTGCAGTGTCTCTGAGGCACGTGGAGCCCTCTGGATGTTTCACCCGGGCCCAATCTACCTTGTGTAAAGGCCCTCCTGTTCGACTGGAGACATTTCCCAGGACCTTCCTAAAAACATTCAAAATCTGGTGGTGAAAGTCCTTGTGTAAAATTTTGACGCTAGGTGTCCTCCATCCCTTGCTCCTGTTAGATATAGTGATTCCCAAGTTTCTCTTCAAAGAATACTTGGGGGAAGGGGGTTCTTGTTGAATTATTTCAGTATGTTCAGCCCTCTTATTCTTTGATTCTCCATTTTAAAGTTTAACGTCCTGGTTCTGTTTGCCCCCTTGCTTCTAGTTTCAGTAAACCTTTTCCACCAGTTTTAATCAGTAGTTCACATCTGTTCCCCTGGTCACCTGCTCTGTCCTGACTCATCCCAGTCACCTGCTTTGACCTGAGTCACCTCTGGTCACCTGCTGTAACCTAAGTCACCTTTAGTTACTTGTTCCTAACTGTCCTTCCCACCAAGCCACTCACCCTGCCACTCTGGCTCATACCCCTGCTCTCTTTAAAAGAGCCAACTGGAATTAGCTGAGACTGTGCAGTCCAACCCTAGCCAATAGGGGAACAACACAGAGGTAGGGACCACCTGCATCAGGAATAAGAACCCCTTCCCCTCCCTTGTTCAAGTGTGCTCTCACCATTACTGTATTTACAAGTCAAACGCTTCTATAGAAGTAAAAATTGCCTTGCTGAGGAAATTAAATTTATGTTCGAGTGCTATTTCTTTGTGGCACCGAGGAACAAGCATTTCTAACATTCCCAACCTCCTGAGTCAACACCATTTCTTGATGTGATTTATGCCAAACACTTAAGACACTGCTGTATTTTGGATGGATCAAGCCTACTTAATCTTTAATCCTAAAGTAGAAAGAAGCAACTGGGGGCCTTCGGTATAGAAAGTGGGGTCAGGCGGCCAACAAAGGGAATATGAATGTATATCCAAGTCACTGAGATACTTTTATGCAGGTGCAAGAAATTTATGTCAAAGTGGCCACAAGACTGTTTAATAGGAGACAGACAAATGTAACTCCATGTTTACTGCTAGAAACCAAAGTTTTGTGTGAAATCTTGAATTTATGGGGAGGGAGAGAGGGTAGCCTGTAACCTGCCTGTTCTTTTTCTGATCCCTCCCCCCCAGTCCTGAACTGCAGGAGATGGAGCCCCTCTGGGCTTCGGTGACCCCATCACTGGGGTGTGTTTATTTGATGGTTGATTTTGCTGTGCTGGACACTCCCTTTCCCATTTTCTAACCATCTTGTAACACATGCTGACTCTTTTCCCTTCCCTTCTCTTTTCCCTAGGAAAATCAATGAATCAGTAAAGACTTATCGGTACTGGAAAAGAAAAAAAAAAGTCCTCTGTATGTCACGGTGCTTTGTTATTCTCTCAAACTCCAGTGGACATTAATAACATCCCTCTGGATGTGGTTGCTCTGAAAGTGCCAGCTCTTAGCATTTTGTCACACTTAGCCAATTGTTAAGGTATCATTAACAGGGACACAGACAGAGATGACAGGTGTAAACAGTTTATAATTTACAAAGTGCAGGATCAGGTTTCTCCACCCCCTCTGCCAAGAGATCACAAACACATCTTAACTTGGCCCTGTGTAGGCATGGCAGAAATTCTTACAGGACTGTTTGAAAATAAATCCTATCACACATCTATTTGGTAAAGTTTTGGCCTTTTGATCTTTTACTGTTAATTCAAACTATGCAAAGCTTTGAGTTAATTGCTAAGTCAACATTTCAAAATGCTCTGTACAACTAAATACACACATGTGCCCTGGAACCCTCTGAATGGGCTTTCTACTCTATGTCATAGATTTCCTTCTTTGTTTTTCCTTTTTTTTTTTTTTTCCACTAGTCGTGCATTGGAGATGGCAGGTTTGAAATGCCTAACAGTTGAAGAGACTCGACACTGCTGCTCTGTGCACAGATGTGGGATTTCTTACACCTTTTTAGTCAGACCTACTTAGCTGCCTTTTGCATTTTTCAATGCTGACATGTTTCAGTAAAACTTTGACTAACTAGAATACTTGGGGGAAGGGGGTTCTGGTTGAATGATTTCCTGGTTAAACTAAAAGTTATTTAGAAAGCCCTTTTTATTGAAAATCTTTCCAAAGTATATCAGCATACTTTTCTCTGGAGCGAGGCGGCACTGTCAGAGAAAAATTGTACAGTATGTAGCTGTTTGGAAGGACTGTGAAACAAATTTAGCAAAGCTGCTAACTGCTTATCACTCCTTTCTCTAGCTGGAAAGCAGCACCTCTCAGTATCCTGAGGTAGCTAAACCCTACTACTCTCTTCAAAATTTATTTTGCCCTTTAAGCAGAAGCCTGGATCTTTATCAGGGGACAAACAAAGGTCCTGGGGCCAGCAGCCCTCACCTTTCATCCCTCACACCTCCAGGCTTCACTCCCTCCAGTCTCCACTTAGGTCCATGGCTGCCTCTCCTTCACCTATGCTGGGAATTCATTCTCTCCAGCCTCCACAAGGCAGCCATCTCTATGCCCTTTCTCTGGTAGTTTCATTCTCTCCCAATTCACTGATACTCCCTAAATATGCCTGTCTCCCTATTCCAAACGAACCTTTCTCTCCACCTTTTCTTCCCTTGAGGGAAAAGTCCTTTCCTTCATTGCCAAACACCTTCCAAGGGTGGGCACAACCTACATTTACTTCCTAACCTCTTATTCATTCTAAAACTATCTTTTTCTTCCTTCTGTAACTTCACCAAAACTACTTTCAAAAAGGCAATCAGACTATCTACTGGATCCTATGGCTTTATCTCAGCAAGCCTTATTGATTCTTCCTAAATTTAACTAGAATTCCTTCCCTTCCCTGTCTTTGCTGCCACCATTTTGTTTTGCTGAAATTCACATGTGTGCAGCATAAATCAGACCATGTCACTCACCTTCAGTGCTTCCCACTGCACTTATAACAACACACAGACTCCACATCTACATGGCTCACAACTCTGATGCTCAGCTCCGGAGAGCTCATGCCTCCTTCTCCACCACATTCCAGCCTGTCTTTTGAGTCCTCAAATATCCTGGAGCACACTCCGCTCCCTCTCCCCAGTGAAGTCTTCCCCTCACTGCTCCTGGCTGGCTTCTCCACCTTCAGGTCTTAGCTTAAATGTTACTGCCTAGGACAGAGCTTCTTTGACCAAATCATCATCTATGTGGGTTCCTGATAGCCCCTCCTCACCACACTGCTCTTTTTAATGTACCCCGTTCTCTCCTTTCATACTAGTGACCAGAAGCTGTAGTGGGAAATGAGCTTGTATGTTTACTGGATGGTTGATCTTTTGTCCCCGCTAGGCTATGAGTTCCTTGAGTCCTTGGATCATGTCCCTTTTTTCACTGGACACCCGCTGCTTAGCCCAGGAATGGGCACGTTATTACTGAATGAATGAATGAACAGATGAAGACTTTATACTTTTCTGCAGAAGGACTGTCTAGAAGGACTACAGAAATCTGACCAGACAAGTAACTCAAAAAAGAGTACCTGAAGAAATTCAAATTTTAGGTTTTGTAGCATTTGAAATGTCAGAAAAGATGCTAACTCATCCTTGCATATACATAAATCAGGCCTCTCAGCCTGGGGAAGAAAAGCATTTAGCATAATACAAATACATATCCTTTTGCAGGAAATACACAAACATTGTGTTGGGAGCAGTGACTAGGATGGCCTGAAGGAAGGAAGGAGGGCAGCCTGGCAATGGACTGCTGCTAGCTCAGTGAGAGGAGCACACAGCACAAAAGCCTGGAAGGAGAAGGAAGTGGAGTGATGGTGGGGAGAGTTTTACCCAGATGGGGAGGCCAAAGTTAGACCAACTAATAAGGTCACTGACCTGCGGGAGAAACAGAGAAGCTGGGTAGAAAGTGGGATGCAGAACTGCAAGTCCTGCACAACACAAAATTGTGTTTGCAGCTGGTTAGGGGAAGAGGACAGAAAGGATTTGGGTGGAGATAAATAGAAACTGCAGTGATGAGCAAAATGCATGGTGGCATGAGGAGGTTGCAGTAAGCATGTATGAGTAAGCAGCAGGAGTTCCTAATAAGTATGTGATCTTTGGAGTTTGAATGATTAGAAACTGTGATCAAGGTAATACCACAGTTATGCTAACTGTCCTATCCTATCAGCTAAGGTTCAAGGGGACCCACAAAGAATCACCATTTATAATAGATGTCCTACTAATTCCATGCGGTCCTGACACACCTTGAAAAACAGGCTAAGACTGAGCTGAGGGGGATGTTGAAAGAGGCAGCACTTTCAACAAATGTCCAGCTATTATATAGGTCATGTTATAACTGCAGGTGTGGAGCTTCTGCTCCAGAGACTGCTCCTATAAATGATTTTGTAAAACAGATTACACCTACTCTCTTGATTTTTCAACAATTCAGATTTTCATATACTGAGACTGCTTAAAGCAGAAGTCTTTTATGCCATTCTAAAGCAAGAAGATATGCTGGTCATTTTGCGTAGCCTTTTAGTTTTTAGGCATTTTTAAAATGCTTAAAAAATTAAATACCAACCCCCAAATAACTCAGTCAACTCAATTCTACTGACTCAAAAGGAAATGGTTTCAGATAAAGATGCCCACATGGCTTTTAGTTCAGCCAGTTCTTTCTAACTACAAGTAACATAATAATTTCCTTTGCATAGGAAAGTTCTTAGAATCATCAGTCATGAAAACAGATGTTGGGCACAGAGGTGAAGCAGCAGCCAGCATCAGTAAATTTGCCATTATTAACCGCCCACCGCCACCCTCAACCCCATTCCCACCCCCTGTTGGAATTGGATTAGCCTTCTGGTATTATTTTAAGAGTGATTGGAATTTAATTTTAGTTAGGAAGAACTGAGTCCATTGTTTACTTACAAACAAAAAAAAAAAGAATCCTCTCTCCAGCACTAGGATTCCTGCTTGGCTGGTTTTAAATAGATGAAGCTAACCAGATATTTACCATCAGCTTGGTGAAGAAAGAGACATTGTCCTGGGGAGCCCGAGTCATGGGAACTCAGTCCACACAGTAACGCATTGCGAACTGTAAGTGGACTATGACCAATCAAAGTCTCACTGTACATTTCACGGAGGTGGGACCAAAAGAGGAAAGAACAAAATCCCCTAAGTGCCAGCATGTTGGGAATGCATCATTGCAATAAAATTGTGAAACTAATGCTGGCAGGCAAACAACAAAAAACAACAACTGCCACAAACTGCAATATGCTTATCAGGGTCTGACCAAGAAGAAAGGCCCCCGATCTTCCACAGAGGACACTGGCACCAGTCCCAGGTCCTGCAACTCTTGAATAGCTCCATGTGCCGTGTTCTCTTCAGGTACTGCATTGTCCGCGGGAGATGTTCTCAGCAGTCAAGGAACAGCTGCACAATGCAAGCAGCCTCTGAATGGTCGAAAAGCTTTTTATTCAGTCCCCGTGTGATTTCTTAAAAAAAAAAAAAAAAAAAAAAAAAAAAGCAAAACTGGTGTTCTTTTGTGCTGTACAAAGGCAGCACTTTGCTGACTCCAAGTTCAAGACTCATGGGCTATTAGGAGAGGAAAGATGGACATTGTATTAGCATGTGTGAAAAAAAGAATAGGCGTTCCTTTAAACCAAGTCCATAATAAGAGCAGCCTGGTATTTGGAACACCTACTTAGCTGGAAGCAGCTCCAACAGCAGTTAGAAGGTAAGTGTTCGCAACAGTTACACACACATGCACACATGCATGCACACATAGAGACCCACCAACAGGGAAACTGCAGCATGTGTTCATAATAAATACATTTCTTGAGAATAGGGCAGTAAAAGAAAATACAATCACAGAAAAGTTAGAACTGGGAAGGATGTGTGAACTAAGAGGCATGTGACCTTACTTTGTAAAGAAGCTGTTCTTCCAGAGAAGTTAAATGACTTACTCAAAGACACATGGATACTTCATCAGATCAAGTTCTTAACACCACTTAGGAAGGATGTCCTGGTGCTTCCTGCTCTGCACGTGAAGCAGTGTTGAGGGGTCTGTGGAGACCAGGTCAGGGGTTCTAGCATCAGTCTAATCTGAACTAGAACCCCTAGGATATATCAGTGCTAGGGGTTCAAGTCCAGGGTTTCCAGTTGCATGACCTAGAGACAAATTCCTTTCTTCTTCAGAGTTTCAACAGATTTAACCCCCAAATGGAGATAAAGTAACTTGTGCCTTTACAGTTGCCACAAAGATTAATTGAACAAAGAGCCAACATTAAATAAATGTTGGTGACTACGCTTATTGCCATTAGGAGTAGCCATAAAGGTGGTATTTTCATCTTCTCAGAAATTTCAATACATTTAGAAAAAAAGAGAGAAAAGAAACAGGAAATACACAGAGAATAACCATATAAGTATGCAAGTAAGCATATGGGGAAAATACAGAGAATTAATATAGACAGGTGGCACAAACAAAAAGTTTAACAGCTTCATCTGCTCCTAAAAACTTGGAACAGGCCAGGTGCGGTGTCTCATGCCTATAATCCCAGCACTTTGGGAGGCCGAGGCGGGCGGATCATGAGGTCAGGAGATCAAGACCATCTTGGCCAACATGGTGAAACCTCGTCTCTACTAAAATACAAAAAATTAGCTGGGTGTGGTGGCGCATGCCTGTAATCTCAGCTACTTGGGAGGCTGAGGCAGGGGAATCGCTTGAACCCGGGAGGCGGAGGTTGCAGTAAGCTGAGATCACGCCACTGCACTCCAGCCTGGCTACAGAGCAAGACTCCATCTCAAAAACAAAGCAAAACAAAACAAAACAAAACAAAACACACAAAAAAAACTTGGACCAAATACTTTACACATGAATATTATGCCTCTGATCCATCTGTATGGGCTCATTGGTTTGAGTTTTTTTTGCAATGATAGGTATTTGTTGATCCTTTAAAAGCATTTTGTCTTCCTCAAAACAATTTATTGCTGAATATTTAATTTCATATTTTTTTTATGAGCAGTGGGTGTCCTCAACTTGGACTGCCAGGACACAACACCACTTTCTGTCCTGAGATGACAGACTCACGTGGAGCCACCTCAGTGTGCTGGGATAATGAATTATTTTCAGGTCCATGTTTTCCAAGGTACTTCTAGCCCTATTATTTTACATATGTCTTGAAGATCGTTCTGCTCAGAGGAACAGAATTTCAATTAGATGTGTTTTTGCCTTCAACAAAAGTTTGAAATTTTTTTATCTGTCCTTAAACTCATTATACATTTGTTAGAATGTACTTCTTAGTAGCTACTCTTTGTGTACTTATATTAAATATACAAATAATACATGGCAACCTTCTAATGATAAAATAAATAAATAAAATAAACATTTTAGACAAAACTAAAGTCCTGCTTGACCATCACCTTGTCACCATCACCATCATCATCTTGAACCTTTCACCCTGCAATACCCCTGGCCTATTCCACAACAGGGGCACCCTATTACCATGCTGTTTCCTATGTATTTTCTAGAGTTTTCTTTTCCTTCTTTGCCTTTGCTTGTTTGTTACAAATATCCTTTTTTTGTAAATAAATTATTGGAGTTGGCATATTTTTCACTGGAAGTAATTCATAGCAACTAAGAAAATATTTTCAATTGTGTGTTTGCAATCAAGCAAATTTTTCTCCATTATATAGAAGATAATTTCAGACATCTACACCCTATTCTTCTTATCTACCACAACCCAATGTCCCCAAAATGGCAGTGCTAGAGTTCAAGCCTAGACAATATTTATTTCTTTGGCCCTAGACAACTTTTCTCAACAGGCTTTTAGCTGTGACGATCTGGGCAAGCTTTATACGGTGGTCCTGCTTCCTAAAGTTGGAGGCAATCCTGGTTTGATTCTGTAATTTTTGTTTTTGTAGCTTTCCTTCTGAAGTATATGTCACATATTCCTAATTCTAAGGTTGCTAAAGATCTATAGACTATTGAGTAGGCACATAATCTGACGTGCTATGAAAGCATTTTCCTTGTTTTGCAATCTGAGAACAAAACAAATCATTGATAGTCATGACTTGTAAGAATCCTCTTGCCTCTGCAGCTGTACTGGGCAGTGTGCAGAGCTTCCATCCTGCTTCTTAGGTTGTACTCCTGAGAAATGGCTCCCTAGATTCTAGTATGGTTAACTTGTCCTTCAGTGCAATACATTTTAATAATTCTGTGCGTGTGTGTGTGTGTGTGTGTGTGTGTGTACTTTCTTTAATTTTACTCCTGTAATCCCCTTCAAATCACACTAAAATATACATAATAACTGATGGATTTCCTTCAACAACTTGATCTTCACCACTAGAATGGTTAAAACCATTTCCATCAGTGGTGGAAATTATTTTTCAGGATTTTTGCAGTTCAGATACTTTACATTTAATTATTATTTTACTTCTGGCCTGAACTTTTTGTTAACCTCTTGGTTTTTATATAAAATTTTAATTATTTAAGTCATGAGTCATGCCAATTTTTCTTCCCAGTGTATCTTAAACTCACAGGAGATATAGAATGCATTTTGCTTTTGTCTGGTTAAAGTAAAGTTTTAGTTTATTGAGTAAATGTACTTGGGAATTTTCTCATCTCACTATTTTCTGTTCGTTTTCCTTTCATTGCAAGTTCTTTTTTTCTTATTTTCTTGCGCTAAACTGCATACGTTTTACAAAACCCCTTTTCTTCCACTGGTTGGTTATGTAAAAGATTGATCTTTATATGCTCAGTCTGATATTTTTTCCAAAAAATGTGATAGGATTCAAATACTCATTATTTTCAAGGCATGTAGTTACATATATAAAACAGTATATTTTAAATTGGGAAAAGTATGCATTATCATGCCTTTGATTCACAATCACTTCAAATACCACTTTAAAAGTAGATGAGTAAAAATTACGGTAAATGCAAACCAAACTAGGCTCTGCCATCAGTACAAACTTATGCTTGCACAGCATGGAGGCTGTTTTCTGTCCCCTGCCTGTATGTTGCTTCCACCATTTGGAGATCTCTATCCCTGGATAAACTCCTGCTTTAGGTGTTCACAAAAGATCCCTTGATTTCTGGCTATAGCTTCAGTTTCTGGCCATTCCTCCTGGGAAGGCCTGGTCCCTTTCATACTGTGAAGTCTAGAAGACATGAATCCCCCCATCATTCCCACATGTCACTTTCATCTCTACTAGAAACATATATGGCAAGATAGGGGCTGGGGGCAGAGTTTGGCCCCACATGTCCCTGTTTGCTTGTAATCAAGCATCCCTCATATTTCCTATAGACTGATGTTGTGTATATGCATGTTAGATACCTATTTCAAGAGTGAGAGAGAGAGGGAAAAAAACTTGGCCCAAACTATCTTTTTTCACTCCAGTGTCTTCCTTGGCAGTTTATTCTCATCTAACTGGCACCAATACCTGCCAACAACTTCTACTTCGGATCAGCATCTTCTGGCACTTAAGATGGTAGTATATTTCTACATGGCTGAATGCAGACAGGAAAAAGTCTTGTGTAAATAATATATTCCATTAGCAATACTGAACTGATGTCAAAGTTCTCGATCCATCTCAAGACAACAGAATTCACAATCATGATAATATTAAGATGACAATGTAAGTGACTTACGGGGGATATTGTTCTGCCGCACTTGATACTATTTGGAAGAAACTACAGGAGTCAAATCTACATCATGTCTTTTTCAGGCTGCAAATGCTTGATAACATTCATGTAGATCAGCGGTGATGGGTGTTGGGGTGGAGGGTAAACACAACAGTTGAATCACATGCTAGCCTGGCTACACAGAATGCTAATTGGTGATATCAACGTGTCCAGTGCATTCTAAATTCAAAGTATGGCAGATTCAAATTAACACCACACATCTTTATCTAAACCTACTGTGTCAGTTTTCAGAAACCCTAGAGGTAAGAGGGGTAAGAATCACCAAAATTCTTATTTATTTTTTTCATGTTTACTAACATTCAATAACACTTGAAAGCAATGTTCTGAAAGGAAGCAACCACATACTAACATGACATAATAAAGTGTTAAACACTGTACATGTTCCTATACTAAGAGGTCACTCACACAAGTTCATTCTGTCAGTACTAAGTTCGCATTATTGTCATTACAAGTTCAAAGACTAATTAATAGTTAGAGCAGGCCGGGTGCAGTGGCTCACACCTGTAATCCCAGCACTTTGGGAAGCTGAGGTGAGCTGATCACCTGAGGTCAGGAGATCGAGACCAGCCTGGCCAACATGGCGCAACCCCATCTCTACTAAAGATACAAAAATTAGCTGGGCGTGGTGGCGTGCACCTGTAATCCCAGCTACTCAGGAGGCTGAGGCAGGAGAATCATTTGAACCTGGGAGGTGGAGGTTGCAGTGAGCTGAGATCACGCCACTGCACTCCAGCCTGGGCGACAGAATGGGACTCCATCTCAAAACAAACAAACAAACAAACAAACAAAAAATAGCGTGAACTCGGTAACATTTTACACATGAATGGGTATCTAGGGAAGAAAAAGAACGTAAGTTCTTTAAGATGCTTTATTTATCCAGTTATGAAGTCTCATGTGCAGAAGCACATGTCATATCTTGGCAAATACATTGGTAGTGCCCATTCATTTTCTTCTCCATGTTATCTAAGGACTCTGTCCCTGCTGCTGGGACAGTATCCTGGGGAACCATCAGGCATTTTGTCTCTTTGTATGCCCTCTTCATTTGAGATACAGAAATTGGTGTAGAATTTTTTTTAAGACTTTGCATAGGGAATCTCAGATAATTATTTCTTACATCCTTTACAGCTGTTACCTGCTAACCAAATCATGTGTCAGTCTGAGAATTGTGCACCAAAGTCTGCTACCATAACTGATCAATATTCTAGTGTTTATATAAGTTAGAATTCTGGACACTTCTTTGAAAAATAAAGTATCTTTTAAAGGACATTCAGCATTACCGTTTTTCTTCTTCATTACTCTATTGCACTTTATTTCTTCCCATGAGATCCCTCCCCGACCTTTTACAGGCATATATCATTTTTAATACCCTTTTCTAAAGGACCCTCGCTGTCCCTTTGTCTTTCATTAATGGGGTCCAGAGAATATTTGTTTTCTTCCCTGTCATTTACTTTAGACTGCAGAGAATTTAAAAGCACCATGGGCCATACATCTACTGCATCAAAGAAATGAAAACAAAATTTAGAAACCCAAAAAAGTCAAATATCACACTCTGCTAGGATTCTAAGAGAATCTGGATTTCTTTGACAGTGAAGTTTGATCATTTGCAGAAAGTGGAGCACCGCAAAACCTGTGAGGGTTACCATTATCTTAAACCCTGGTCAAGCTAGTTTCTGCATCACACTTAGAGAAACAGTAAGTGCCTGGGCTGAACAGCACAGTGCATAAGGAAGTGAGGGCAGCGGCTGTCTTCTGTTCAGGACTATTCTGTTTGCTTCACTTCCCCGGCCTGGCAATCACTTCCTTTAATTCCAGAGGCTGCTACTTCAGCAGCACTTGAACCCTTTCTCTGATTTTTTTTGGGGGGTCATTTTGAAGACAGCATCATTATTTTCCATTTGCAACACTGAGATTCTGTAAGTACATATATTTGAATACTCACAGAGCTCAAATAGCATATCATAAAGTTGAAGAATTTTTTTTCTTCTAAGCTCATAAAATAGTAGCTTTTCTCTTTCAAGAAGATGTCAATTTTATCTTTCAACTACTATGGGAGGGATGATTGGTTTTTCTGTGTTATGACTATAACCGGATTCCTTGAAGACATAGAAGTGCTAACTTTCTACTTCACAACTAACTAAATTTTACTTAATGTTTTTGGAAAATTCTTACAAGGCGCTTGGGTCCAGTAAAACCTCCTCCCCTGCTCTCTCCTACCTGGCCTGTGAGCAAAGCAACCCAGTTCAGAAAAGGTTCTCTCCCACTTCAAACTTCACTATGCTCACGTTTTCACGTTTTCCTATGTTCATGTTCACTGCAGATGTGTATTAAACTTCCATTTTTCTCTTGTTTAGTTTATACTGAAAATACTTTTTTCTTCTTAGAATAATTCTCACTACTCTGGAAACATAACTGGCTACATAGAAATACTGACTAATATAAAAACAATGCTTATCTCTAACATCTAGACCTGTCATCTTTTAGAATAAGGCCAAGAATTTCACCTTTTAATTCACAACGTGGTCAAGACTGATTAATACATGATGACTGTTTAATCTTCTCCAAAGGTTTACAATCCGACTAGTTGCATGACCCTTCAGGGCTGTTTTAACACAGATTAGGTAGCAGAAATACCACTTCCACATGCTGACACAAGTTTGTGCTGGCAGAAGAAAAAGAAAAGTAAATGGGACAATATGATAAGGCAAGCAGATGTGTTTGGATAATGTGGTCAAGCCTCAGTGCTCCTGACCAAGTCTCCAATGTGGTTAAATTGATGCCAAAACTAGCACGTTTTACTTTTACAGTAGACTTTGCAGGCTCTCTCTTCTCTACTTCTCTGTTAAGTTCTTTAGTCTTCTGAACTGCTGTTAAAATACATTTGCAAGGTCTTTGCTTATATGACAGTAAATGTTCTCTGTGGCATTACTAATACAGATTAAATGCACCCTAGTAGAAAATAGGAAAAAAGAATTCTCTTTGGCCCCTAATGAAATAACTGGGGTACTTGAATTTGAAGGCTCACCTTCCAACCACTTCCACTATGGGTGGTCTTTCCTTGTCAAAGTTAGTGTCTAGGATCACTGAGACATTTCCTTTCTGATCCACTTTCCTAAGGCTGGTGGATGCAGCACTGCTTGGATGCGGGGTCTACGGCATGGATGCAGTTTACAGAGGTCTCCTGAGGTCTCCCATCTGCCACACAGGATTGAGGTTTTTTGTTTGTTTGTTTGTTTTGGAGACATGGTCTTACTCTGTCACCTAGACTAGAGTGTAGTATAGCATGATCATGGTTCACTGCAGCCTCGACATCCTGGGCTCAAGCAATCCTCCCACCTCAGCCTCCCGAGTAGCTGAGATGACAGGCATGTGCCACCATGCCCAGCGAAATTTTTGAATATTTTTTTTTTTTAGAGATGGGGGTCTCATTATGTTGCCTAGGCTGGTCTCAAGTTCCTGGGCTCAAGTGATCCTCCCGTCTCAGCTTACCAAAGTGCTGGGATTACAGGCATGAGCCATTGTACCTGGCCAACTGAGATCATTATGTCAAAAAGTTGCAAGGACAAGAACAGATTTGTGATTACTGTGATATCACCATTTCTAGTCAATGTTTCTCTAACTTGGTATTTATTGCCTTTAGACTTTGGCATAAAAGGTGAAGTGGCAGAGGATTTATCTGCAGCCTCACCCTCCACTGATAGAGGCAACTATGCCAGGGGGAAAACAGTTTATTTACATACCACTGTTAAATATAGTGAACCCCAAGCTTCTCTTCAAAGAATCAATATGTCAGTATGTTCAGCTGTCTTATTCTTTGATTCTCCATTTAAAGTTTAACTTCCTGGTTCTCTTTGCCTTCTTGCTTCTAGTTTCAGTAAACAACTTTCCTTCCAGTCCTAATCACTAGCTCACATCTGTTCCCCTGGTCACCTGCTCCATCCTGACTCTTCCCCAACACCAGCTTTGACCTGAGTCACCTCTGGTCACCTGCTCCATCCTGACTCATCCTAGTCACCTGCTCTGACCTAAGTCACCCTTAGTTACCTGTTCCTAACTGTCCTTCCTGCCAAACTACTCACCCCACCACTCTGGCTCATATCCCTGCTCTCTTTGAAATAGCCAGTCGGGTTTAGCTTAGATTGTGCGGTCTGGCTCCAGCCAATGGAGACAGGACACAGTAGCAGGGACAAGCTGCGTAAGGGATAAAAATTGCTTCCCTCGGCCAGGCACGTGGGTCATGCCTGTAATCCCAGCACTTTGGGAGGCTGAGGTGGGCGGATCACCTGAGGTCAGGAGTTCGAGACAAGCCTGGCCAACATGGTCAAATCCCGTCTCTACTAAAAATACAAAAATTACCCAGGCGTGGTGGCAGGCACCTGTAATCCCAGCTACTTGGGAGGCTGAGTCAGGAGAATTGCTTGAACCTGGGAGGTGGAGGTTGTAGTGAGCCGAGATTGCGCCATTGCACTCCAGCCTGGGGGACAAGAGCGAAACTTCATCTTAAAAAAAAAATTGCTTCCCTCCTTTGTTCAGGTGTGCTCTGGCCGTGTTCCATCTGCGAGGAGCACCCTTTCTGCAGAAAGTAAAAATTGCCTTACTGAGAAAATTAATGTTCAAGTGCTATTTCTTTGTGGCACCAGGGAACAAGCATTTGACATTTCTAATACCACCTAGTGGGCTTGGCTGCTATGGAAAAATGGCAGCTCCAAATGGGAAAATGGAGACAAGAACCAATCTAGTCTTTGGATGAAGACTTGGAGATGCCATTCAAAAGAGGTGCTCCGAAGACAGGCATCTTTTTATCCTGCCATCTTCATGGCCCTATCTAGTTCTGCCATTCATCATAACTCTGCAGGGTTAATGGCATAAGTCCTCATTTGCCTTTTAAAGTCAAGGGACACAGTAGAGCTATTTCAGGAGGCTAAGGTGGTTCATTTTGGAAACAAGATGCTTCAGTAAAATAATAAATCATTTCAATAATAAGTATGTGTTGGAAACCAAGGGCAGAATCTTTGTTTACCAGAGTCAAAGCTCTAAAACCTGGTGATAACCATAATCCCAAAGGCCACTGAGATTAGGATCACTCTTCATATTATCAGGCTTTCTTATCTCAGCTCCATTTGCCCACATGGCCTTGGGGCTCTTACGCAAGTACTGGCTTCCTATGACACAGAGTCACAAGCTCAGAGTCACAGGCTTGTAAAGGTCCATGTAATGACTTCCCTGAGACACTCTGATTGCTTTACAACTTGAAAGATAAACTACTAACAAACATCTGTACATGCCTATAATGAGTTAGCTCACTAGCTAAAAAGTCTGCTCCTTCTTTTCCTAGGATAACCCTACTACTGCACCCCACACTGTATGTGTCCTCACATCTTGTGTCCATGTGTTCCTTCAGTCAGTGTCTCTCAAATATGAATGTGTATGCCAATCACCTGAAGATCTTGTTAAAATGCAGATTCATATCCAGGCACTCTGGTATCAGGCCTGAGCATCTACATTTCTAATAAGCTTTTGGGTGATGCTCATGCTGCTGGTTCAGGAGCAAGGCTTTAAGATTACTTGCCAAGCTGACTGTAGGGATGTAACTAGGTAATCACTGGGAGTTCTTTTGTGCAGCCATCAGACCACTGCCTGGAAAGCCCCCACACTCATTACAGATCCTGATCTTAACTCCCCTCCAATGAACATAACAGCACAAGGGAGAATTACAGGGCTTCCAAAACTCAGAGCCTGCAAACTATACTGAGCCCACCCATTTTCCCTGATTCCCTCTCCTCTCACTTTAACCATTACCACCTTTTTATTGCTCATTATCGCTAGTCTGAGCAAACACAGGCTTCAGCCTGATAAGCAATCAACTGACTTTTCCATATAGATTCTCATGAAAAACAAAAAGGAAAGGGAACAAAATGGAAAGGTGTTATATATTGAATTTATTTTAGGTTCCAACCCTATTTTTTTTCCTTAGGCTTATTGTCTGATTTCCATTAAGTCATTTCTGTTTGCTGTTTGCCTTTGAGTCAGATTTTCCTGGTACTCTAAAAGGACTTTAAAACAATTTTTTAAAAATCTATTAGCCTCAACAAAATTTATCTTTTTTGTTCTAGTGGCATTAAGTAAATGCTAGGTAGTACTGTGGACATGCATACAAGTGTCCTGAAGAGGTATAGCATTGATGTTGCTGAAATATCTCATATTCAATTTTATGGAAATCTTTGCTTTGATCCTTCCAAGTCATCTTTATTGAATTGCTAGCCAAAGCATGCACTAAACCCTCTGAATGTATTCATCCTACATTTGTATGTTTCTTTTTAAAGATTCAAACATAGAAAATTAACTCCTAAGAATTTGAAATGCCAGCAAATTTGAGACATGTGTTGTAGAAAATAAGTGGTTCTGACACATTATTAAGGTGAAAAGGCCAGTATTTTTAAAGCATTCATCATTTTCCCCTCATTTTTTAACTATTTCATTAATATTCTCTAAGTAACGTACTGGTTAAAGGCCTTTGTTTTATCTATTAAGGAAGCTTCTGCAACAGAAGCTTTTATTTCATAACAGTATTACTAACAAGCAAGCATTAAGACTGGCCAATAATGTCTTTGGATCTAAACCAGGGGATAAAATCCAATGATGTAAACTGCTATGTATCTGATACTTAAAAAAAAAAAAAAAAAAAAAAAAAGCCAAATGATCCCCTGAGTCAACACCCGTGAATGTAAAGTGTTCTGCAAATAAGGAAGGAACATGATCAGCACTGTTAATTAAGGTATATTATACTCAGATCCTTGCAATATGTAAGCTACACTTTGAGAGGAGCTAAAGTGCTTTTAGGGGCTACAAATTAATGCCATCTCCAAAAGTGCTGAACCTTATCCCCGGCCTCACATTTGTGCTGGGGACTCTGACCTTCATGGTAGCATGGTTATTTTGAAGACCACCTATCCTATCACTTACATTTACATCTGCAAACAGGGATGTCTGGCAGCCCTGAAACTTAATTTCCCACTTTGGGGTTGACCAGTCTTGAATTGGCTCCAAAGCTCTGTGGTATCAATACAGCTGGACACTACAGGCCAGTTATAATGCCTTCGCCTTCCTTGACGGCTTTCTTCTCTTGACTTGAGATTTGATTTATGGACCTTAGTTCTTGTTTCCAGGGAAGGCTATCACACTCTCGATACTGTACATTTAGATGCCATGCCCAAGGTGGCTGAACAGTAGTTCTCCAGACTCACGGTGCATTTCAGTGAACATCACATTTCTCATCACACTGGAGCAGAAAACTTGCTTTGGAGTGGTATATGGAGTGAAGTTCCAAGGTCCTGCTTGGGTTCTGGAGGGTGACTACAGGCTGTGAATACATCTCAGGGTTTCTGGGAGTCAGGAATTATAAAACAGGCTTCATGGTATTTGTGTTACTTTCAAGGCTTTTCTCAACTTATGGTGTATAAATATAATGCTGCATACCACGGAAAAGTTATTGTTGTGTTTAAACAACACATTTTTCATTGATATAGCTTCTTCAGCTCAAGAGTTTTAAGATATGTTTCCAAAAATCCCCTTTCCAATGGGAAAATTGAGGCCAAGGAACAACTGCCCACAGATTAGACCAAGTCAACAGAAGAGATAAGAAGACAACCTTATTCTCTCTGCCTGGATGGCTTCAATTCACCTTAAAACAGTATTGCTTTGCACAGTTCTGTTCTGCAAAAGAGTTTTATCCAATGGCATTATCCAATATCATTTTAAACGCTATGCTTAAATGAATGCTGCCTTGGAAACTAAAAGAATAATAGGACAGGCCTGGCCTTCTCTATCTGCAATTTCTACTTCTAGAAAGAAGTATACAACAAGTAAAGCATGATCTTGTAGATAGAGTACTCTAAACCACTGATTTAAAGGTTCTCAGTGCTAGCTGATGGAAAGACCAAATAAGCACTTTTCAGGCTCTCTGATGAATCAACGAAAAATACAAATAAAAATCACTGTAAGCAAACAACAAAATGGACCTGATAAATCATCTCTTAAAACCTAGATGGAAAAAACATCACATGCTAAATTCCCTTAATATCGCCAGGGACCTACTAAAAGCATACTTTACAAGTCTTTATAAGCCTCTACCATTTGAGGGCCTGAATCTAGAAATAAAAATTTCTCTTGGAGTCAGAGAGGTGAGCATTCATAATGGAATAAGTTCCCCCATTCCATACCCTCCCATAGCGTATGGAGAGCTCGGCACTAGAACAGAAGCACTGAAGCCTGGAGAGGAGAGATTAGAAGCAGGAGGATCTTGATCATGCTTATCTCCTGGAGAAGACCAGACTACCATAAAGCCCTCATGGATTTGGAAGGGGAAACAAGAATGGGGAGCTGGTATGGAGGTAGCTCAAGCTAAAACCCCAGGGACCCATGGTTGTCTATCCTCTGACTGCAGGTTAGGAGGCTAATTTTCTTTTCATCTCCACCAACATTGCCCAGACAAAACAAAATATAAACAGGTGGAAACAGAAGACATGAAATAAGAATAATTTTATTTATAATAAGTGGGAAATTACCCTCTTCTCTTCTAACAAGGCATACATATCCAATTACTGTTAACAGAATGTGCCATATCAGTACTTTTCTGGTGACAACAGGAATGCAGTATACTCTTTATACAAAATTCACAAGGGAGTTTCCCTCCACCAAATCATTCATACTATGTACAAATTATAACACTTTTCAGAGCATTTAGTAGTATACAAACAATAGTCAGAACACACAAACGATACTTATGCACTTTCACAAACACCTCTTTGCCCAAGTGCTACCTGTACGATCGGTCACGGCACACATTCCATTCAATTAGCTGTGACCCAGAAATGCCAGTTACATTGCTCTTGGGCCTTCTAAATGGTCGTCTAAATGATCATGTTTGAGTCAGTGATGGATCCTAACCTTGTACAAGCAGAAAATATGAAACTGCATTGCTTTAGGATTTGAGTGGAAAGGGACTGATGGTTAAAGAGTTAATTTTTTTAGAGGCACTTTAAATCACAGTCATTGTCATTTTAAAATATAAATGTTATACATATCCATTGATTACTTTAGGTCATTCATTTTCAAAATATTTCCTCTTATGGCTACTTCTAAGCATCCTTGGTTTTTATTTTAAAAGCAAAATCAACATATCTACTGAAGGTTAGTCACAAATTTCACATTGTCAGCAATATCTAGTTTATTTTAAGAAAGGAGAGATTACCAAGAAAATGATCCTCTCTAAGGTTATCTGACACCATTTCTCCACCTTTTGGTTCTGAACATTGAAACCATGTCTGTGAAATAATACTCCAAAAGTGCTAATGTTAACAATATCTAATGATACAGGAATCCCATGGCAGGCTCTGAGGGCTGGAAACTTTGCCTTTAACTGGGTTTACTGAACCAATGAGAAGGCAAAAGAGATGCTTTTCTCAGAAATGTTGATCTAATCTTCTTTAAGTACCATTTTTTGAAGGATCTGTCAGCATGTGCCCAGTGGACATCTCTGCACCCTGTAGCCTGGGGACCTTCCACAGCACACAGGTTCTCTGCAGTAATAACAGTAATAACAGTGCTTTAGGTTTACCTGGGCTTCAGGCTTTGTAAAAACAGGACATCATTTGATCTGCACCAAAACTCTGAGAGAAAACTTGGCTTTCTAATAATCTTACACATAAGGAACATTATTCTCAGGATGATTAATTAAATCAGAGGCTGCCAATATTGACTGATCATCACAATCACCTGATGGGCATTGATTCATAGATGCCCATACTTCAGCCCTGGAGATCAGGTTTGTCTTGGGCAACCCAGTACCTCAAGCAGCCTCATGCCTAAAATTCTCACTCTGAAGGATAGGAATCTAACATTGTCAGAAGAGGTCATGGATCAGCACCATTTTCAAACGCTGGCATCCGTTAGCACATTTAACAACTAACACTGCACAAAAGGATCATTAGGGAATAGTCTCTGTTCTTGGAGACCTCAAAGATGAGTGGCTTTATGGAATTCATAAAGCATCACTTAGATGAGGTACACATACAGGTCATGACCAAATAGAACATGGGTGAAATAATCTGAAGGGGAAAAGCAGAGGAAGCGAGTGACATGCAGGGGCTTTGAGAGTAGGGGAGGTGTCAAAATGGATAACGTAGGCAATAACAGCCAAATATGCCCGTGTTACAAGTGTAGAATCAATTCTGCATGATAGTCTTAGCATACACACACACACACACACACACACACACACACACATTCTCTTTGCAGCTCATCCTCTATCAGCAGAAGATTTACCTTTACAAAGCAGAAGATTTGGGGGGAAATATAAAAATAGGAAACACTTATCTAGTGCTTATGATGTAATGGGAACTCAAGGGAATGTATACATATGGACTAATTTAATCCTCACAGCAACCCTATAAGGCAGATGCTATTACTACTCCATCTTACAAAGGAGGAAACTGAGGCCCAAGGAGGTTAAGGAGCTTGCCTGATGTCACACAGCTAGAGAGTGATGGATTTGAACCCAGGCACTGGCTTCTCTGCAGGTCAGTGACATGCAGTCTCTTCTCCCATGCACATAGTTTCATTTGCGGACATCTTTTCATTCCCACCCACCACTAAGTTTTGACCTGATTGTTAAGTTCAGATATAATAGGTATCTCAGAGGTCGTAATCACAACAAGCTTTCTCTTTCAGCTTCCTGTCTGCAATTAAACACAGATGTGCTACAACAACATCAATAATCCCACTAAAGAATTAGTGTGTCTGGACTGACAATGTAACGTATCAGGAGCCATCAACTTTCTGACAGCTATCGTAGGACTTTAAAACATATCTGCCAGATGTTTGTCACAAGGATTCTCCTGAGAACCAGTCACAGGATCTTGTCTGTAGATTCTGACTGCAGTTTTCTACATGAACCTGAAGAAATGGTGACAAAGGAAAATACAGGCATGCCAATCACTACCCACCAAATGTCCCTGACACCAGTCAAAGAATCACTGATTAACCTGGAGAGCACTGCAAGGTGAGCTATAGGCTTGTTCTTGCTCTTTAAAATGTCCTAGAGTGTCTAAAATAACACTATTTACGGCCTAACGCTTCCTCTGATGTACACATTTCCTTTAAAAAAGGATTTTGTAGTCAATCATTTTTTTTCAGTATGTTTTAGCGTGTTAAGTTGAAAATTACAAAGAACAATATTTGGGTAAAGTGATAAAACACATAACTTTACACAGACTAAGTCTTTTTAGTCAAGGGGAGAAGTTCTATTTTTCCAAGCCAGGGTAAAGGCAGGTGCCACAGAGGTCTATGGGAATGAAATGAGATGGTGCATATAAAAAAGCTCTGCAAAACTTTACACTAATTACCTGGCCACTTTCTGGGTCAACTGATGATTTGCTAATAAATGAAATACTCCGGGTTCATTAAAGGGACGCTCTTCTCCATCCTTCAGCATAGCTACACAAGGCCATGGAGCAATTTAGTTAAGCGGCCCGGGCAGTATGAAGGTGAGACAGCCACCGTCTTGTGAGGGAGCATCAGGCCACATCCTCTGTACTGGCAGGAAGGTTCAAAACCGATCTATTTCGGTGAAGGGACAGCTATGGAAAAGCCTATTTACACTTACAGGAAGTGTTACTAATGGGGCACTTTTACAAATCCAATAGAAAATAATTTCATAAGAGGTGCCAAAATGTTGCCAGATGGGACAAAAATGAATACGTTGTCATTCCACCATTGCCAAAATATGCTGGAAAATTTTAAAGAGTAAAATCTTTTGTGGATTGGGTGTAGGGATAAGTTACTAATGATGGCGATCCTGTCTCCAGGAGAAAAGCATCTTCTAGCAAGACAAGGGCCCAAGAGGAGTTGGCCCTGCTCTAGGGAGCATTCGCTCATTGTGAATCTTTGTGAGTCACCAAAGGACACTTCTCCATTTAGAAAAAAGCAAACCGCTTAGAAAACTATAGAGGGAAAATGAGTACATACAGCACATATGCACATACAATATATTATTATTAGACAACTATATTACTTTGAATAATACGTTACATAATTTTGTATCAGATCTATTTTTTGTGACTGTGTTTGGAAAGTTTTATTAACATATTCACTTTAAACACAAATACCTTTCAGTACTTGAAAATCCATTAAGTATAATCTTAGCCAAATTTCTTATAAACCTCAGTGAAACCACCTCTGAACTCCAGGTTCAGTCCCTCAAAGGGATTAAATCTTAAACACACCATCACAACCACAGCTCTGGCGGCTCACACTTGGTGTCATTAGCGTCTATTTAATATGGCAGCTGATGCCTTGTGGTCCCTTGCAAAAGGGGGAGAGCAGAGCCTTGGAGAAAAGTGAATTATAATTGCCTGCCACAGGACTGTGTGGCGCTGCCTGTGACAGCAGCAAATGGGGAAAATAGGAAGGCATTAGAGAAGGTCTGTTGTACTGATGAAGTGGAATTCCTAGAACACACTGTGCTATAAAATGAGATTTGGCTCCACAGTGCTGGGAGCAAACAATGGACTCAATAGTACCCGGCCTTGGTTGCTGGGCATATTCTAGCTCCTTTAGTCAGAGCAGCCTTTCATTCAAAGGAGCAGGAGCCACACTAGAGAATGGGAAAGAGGGGGTGGATTCCTGGTCCAGAGAAATCCTGAGAGTGAGATGTTAGGGGGGAAAAAACCAACATCCTTTCAACCAGGATGAATAGTACCATGATAAGATAGCTTCTCACACTCCATACGATACAGCAACCATGTATACCATTTTTTAAAATAAGTAATTATAGAAATGACTGATAAAATGTGTCCAGCCTGGGTTAATACCAATTGTGTTTTGGAAATATCTGTAGTGGAGCATGGATCGTTCTTAAATCTGTATTCCTGGAGAGGAGTGGGAAAAAGGAGACTTCAATAGGTAATGATAGGAGGAGGGCCACAGAGAGCCCTATAGTAGGAAAGGGCTTTCTACTGTAATAAACAGTAATAAACAGTAACATCAGTAAAAGTGTTTTAAACCATGCATTGTAAAACTACATCCTGCCTTAGAAAGAATTATTATTTGCCGGCACATAGATGGGAACAGATTCCAATAGTATTAATAATAAGCCAGGAGTTAGAGTTTGTTCCCAACTTGCAAAATTCAGAGGAAAAAAAGAGGAGAGAATGCTTACTCAAAAAGTGTCTCTAGCACTAAAAAGACAGTTGAACTGTTGAAATCAAACTTAATTGTATCCTGTACAAGTAGGAGCAAGCCCTATCTAATGATTTATGGGGCATAGTCAAACCAGTTTGCCCCTGAAATATCCACTTTAAAACAGCTTTAGGTTTTTAAAATCCATCTAGCAAAAATATTTGCACAAAACTACATCACAGATAAAATAAAATACACACATTTATTTGGAGGGGTTCATATTAAGATAATACGTAACAATTTGTATAAAGTATTTGTTCAAAAACTACTGCATAGAAACCAACTTTGTGGAGAAAATTCTGCATTTTAAGACTTGCTTTGGTGAGAGGTGGGTGGTGAAGTCCAAATGATCCTTCCTTGGCCTACCTTCTTAAAAGGTTTCAATTAAGTATATACATACAAGCATATATACATATAAAACAAATATTCAGTACCTTTTGGGAGTTTCATGTCAAGAAGCCCTGGAACCAAAAATCTCTGGCTATGGAGAAAGCTCAGTTCCCCAACAGGGCCTCCTCCCTAAGCCAGGAAAGGCAGGCTTGGGCGTTGAGATGGTCAACAGCAGATACAGCCCATTCCTGCCTTATTTGTTGAGATTGTCAGGAGGGTGCCAATTAGTGCCTATTTTGATGAAGCCTTTTGTGTTGTGAACATCTGTCCACTAGCATCTGGTCAGGGTCCAAGTCCATTTCACAAGAAACACCAAACAGCTGTCAGATGGTTCTGACTTTGGGTAAATACCAAATGAACACAATCCTCTCTGCCACCGGGAAGGAGGGGCCCCAGTTCCCATTATCCAGCTCCAGAGACACCCAGTCTCCAAGCTTTTGTTAGCACATTCCCTAACCCCTGACCAACAAGTTCCTTATTTTTGTGAATCAGGCTGTGCCCACCTGAGTAAACTAGAATGGATAAAGCCAAAATTAACTCTTGTTTGCTTGAGAGCTAATGATCAGCCCTTGTTTCTCTTCTTGACTCACCCAACTTCTTTTCTATCTCCTCATTACACCTCAGTGAAGTAGGGGTGAAGGCAGGCTCAGAATAGGGGTTTACTTTCCAATCTATCCACTTTGCTGTTTAGCAGTTCAGCTGTTTGGTTTTGTGAAAGACAAGTGTTTAAACCCCATGACTCAATCTGAAAATTCAGTTTATTGGTACGAGTAGTTAATGCCACATATAACAAAGTTTTATTATATAAAATAAACTTGTTTGTATCTATACATTGGTTTTGAGTCAGACATTAAGTTAACAGAGCCAGGTGCAGTGGCTCATGCCTGTAATCCTAGCTACTTGGGAGGCTGAGGCAGGAGGACCATTTGAAGCCAGGAGTTCTGGAGTAGCCTGAGCAACATGGCAAGACCCCCCCTCAAAAAAAAAAAATTGTAAAAATTATCCAGGCTCGGTGTGCACCTGTAATCCCAGCTACTCAGGAGGATCACTTGAGCCCAGGAGCTCGAGGCTGCAGTAAGCTATGATCATGCCATGCTACTACACTTCAGCTTGGGCAACAGGAGACCAGTCTCTAAAAGATAAATACATATTTTTAAAAAATCTAATTAATTGACAGAGATCTTTGGGCCCTCTTTGTTAGTGAAAATCCCTGAGTATTGTGTTTCCAAATACACAATCTACATTACCTACAATCTAAACACTGCATTCAGAAAACTCACCCAGTGAGGAAATACTTGATATTATGACCTCGGAGTTTCTTCCTCTGAGAACAGAAGACAGGAAGGCTATAGCTCAAGGCACCATGGGCCTGATAAACATAGGCTCCTAACTGGGCACTGGACCCAACAAAGGCAAATAACAACTGTAGCAAAACATAGTCACCTAACTCCTAATGCCTTATTTAATATTTTAGAAATATCCAATAAGATCTAATTTAGCACTCTGCACATAGTAGGCATGTACTATATTTCCTACATAAAATGAAATAATGATTACTTACTTAGTTATTTTAAACCATGCTCTGACACACAAAAGAACATAAAGAGACAGAAACTGGCAGAAAGATTCATCTGGACACTATCATCTCCTCATCATCTTTTTAGTTTTACTTGTCAAGAACCCATATCCTGCTGGTGACAAAAACATTGAATTTAGCTCATTATATTAGGAGGGTTTGGTGTCAAATATTAATAGCTAATTTTTATTGAGTGTTTATGTACCAGACATCATTCTGGTGCATATTGTTTCATTTAATCATCAGACTCCCTTTATGAGGAAGGTACCATTAGTATTTCCCCTTTACAGATGATGAATATGAGGCACAGAGATGTTAAGTAATGTTCCCAAGATCTCACAGCCAATAGAATAGCAACCTCCAGAGCCCATACTTTTAACTACTCTATCATAACACCCCTCTAGAAGAAAAGCTGACTTCCAAGTGTCATTTTGGTGTTCAGCTTCATTTTGTGTGTGTGTAGCGCTAATATGATTTTAGTTGTTCTTCCTGATCTGAGTTTCAGAACTTTGGAAAACCACTGTTACCAGTAACCATTTTTATAGAAAACATGTCAGTCACTCTGCTGCTGTAAGCTGGATGTACTTGGAGTGTTGCAACGTTACCTTCATAATCCACTGAGAATGCCATCATTATACATGCAAAAAATAGCTACTGTGTCTGAAATTTACTCTCCCCACTTTCTGCAGACTCTGGAGTATGCTTATTCTTCATCCAAGAAAAAGCAGAGTTGGCACTACTGTGAGAAAAGTACTTAACACCACCATTTAGGTTGTAGGGTGTGCTTCTCTTCTTAATATCTTTAGAGAATAATCTTTAAAGTGCTTGGATCTACTCTTTGAAGGTTTGTAATAGAAAAATGTGTTGAAGTTTGAGAACTCTTCTCTGAGGACTAATTATATCATAAATTTTGAGGCTGTCTGGTCAAACACATCCCACCCAATGGTGGTTGAAATACTTTTCTTTTTGTTTTTTGAGACAGAGTCTCATTCTGTCTCCCAGGCTGCAGTGCAGTGGTCCAATCTCCACCTCCTGGGCTCAAGCGATTCTCGTGCCTCAGTCTCCCAAGTAGCTGGGATTACAGGCATGAGACACCACTCCTGGCTAATTTTTGTATTTTTAGTAGAGACGGGGTTTTGCCATGTTGCCCAGGCTTGTCTCAAACTCCCGGCCTCAAGCCATTGGCCTGCTTTGGCCTCGCAAAGTGCTTTTCTTAATACTTATAATTTTTATTTAAACTAAAGAAGTTCTTATAGCCTTATTTAGAGAGAGCTTATTTTATCACATGTAGCTTTTTTGCACATACAAAATAGAAAATAAAAGTGAAGTTAATTGGTTAAGGTAGTCCTAAAACCTGTGTTAGACTTGGTATTCCGGATATGGCTTCAATTCAGTCATTGGTGTGTGTTTTTTCCAGTGCTGTCTTCTATGCCATCAAGAGCACTGGTGATGTGCACATTTTAATTTATTCAAAATCTTTCAAACTATGTATCATAAACTTAACACTCTAGCTGCTGACTAGATGGTAGCATTCTGTGTGTTTTGTCACCTTTCCGGGGATCTAAACAAAAGTGGTTGTGCTGAGATTCAGTAACACTAGAGGGCAGCCTCCAAGTAAAGTTAGAAACAAGCGATAGCACAACTATGCAATAATGTGGCACGTAATAGATAAATAATCTATAATTTGGTTTCTCGGCATTATGATACCAACTCAAATATGGTGTCCCAACATTTTTTAAAAATCAAATCGTTCCTTAATGTTTACTTCTAATATGCCTTTAAAATAAGACATCCAAACAAACAGTTTCATAAAGGTTCTCTAGAACCTTTCTAGATATTCAGTTTGTTAAAGCCCCCTGAAAATAGTTGATTTTCCAATCCTGTTTTGTTTTCCTTTTGTTACTCAGCTTCTTTTTAAAATACAGAATGAGAATAAAACATTCATGTTACAAGTTTTATTTAGAAACCCCACAAAGAAAAATGTAACATGAAAGATAAATATAGAATACCCATCTTTTTTAATTTTTACTTTTACTTTAAGTCTTGGGATACATGTGCTGAATGTGCAGGTTTGTTACATAGGTATATATGTGCCACGGTGGTTTGCTGCACCTATCAATCCATCATCTAGGTTTTAAGCCCCGCATGCTTTAGAGAATACCCATCATTTAAGGATTCTTTTTTTTTTTTTTTTTTTTTTTTTGAGACGGAGTCTCGCTCTGTCGCCCAGGCCGGACTGCGGACTGCAGTGGCGCAATCTCGGCTCACTGCAAGCTCCGCTTCCCGGGTTCACGCCATTCTCCTGCCTCAGCCTCCCGAGTAGCTGGGACTACAGGCGCCCGCCACCGCGCCCGGCTAATTTTTTGTATTTTTAGTAGAGACGGGGTTTCACCTTGTTAGCCAGGATGGTCTCGATCTCCTGACCTCATGATCCACCCGCCTCGGCCTCCCAAAGTGCTGGGATTACAGGCGTGAGCCACCGCGCCCGGCCAAGGATTCTTTTAAATAGTATAAAAACAACACAATTTAAGCGTTATTTGTTTTGTGAATTACATCGTCTGCAACACCTCAGTTGCACATGGCAATTTAAGAGACAAACACTCATATAAATATGCCCAACATTGAGCCGGGGGGAGAGGGAGAACACATGTATATCTAATTTCAGAATTTAAAAACTTTCATAAAGTAAAATTGTTTGGAATGAAATAAACAGGAACTAGGTGGCTCCATATATGCCCCGATTTTTACATGAACAGATCATTTAGCGCTTGGTCCTCCTGCCCATTTTTAACAGTGGTTTTTATAGATGCAATGAATGTGCTTCCGTCTTCCTCCTATTAGCCACCTCATATTATGGTATGAACCTCCCTAAAGTTGAAGAGTGGTCCCAACTGCAAGACCAAATGCTACAGTTTAAACATACTCAAAAATTTCAGCAGTCTTTGTGAAGAGCTGAGGGTGAGCACAATAGGACTAGTGAAAGATTCTCTCCCCCAGCCTGGAAGCTTGGGGGGATGAATAACTCCTCCCTCCTCAGGCCCAGTCCGCAAGGCCTGGTGCGTCGCCCAGATAGCAGAAGCAGGAAGACAGCTGGCCGGAAGACAGGTACCCCCTGGAGATTGAGAGGGGCCGTCAGGGTACCACGTAGCAGTTACAGTCAGACTGGGACACTTCCTGTTTACAGAAGACTATAAAACCCCTGCCCCATCCGCACTTGGGGCTGACGCCGTTTTAGGCCTCAGCCCGCCTGGGCTCATTACAACAGCGCGTTACTCCACACCGCCTTGTGTTGTTTGTTGGTGCGCTCTCGGGGTTCGGACCAATACAAGAGCCTTGCAACTAGGTGTTGGACTTTGGTGTTTTGCTTATTATGTGTCACTTAAATACGGTTTATGACAGCAGTTAATTAAATATTTTGTCTGTAAACCTGGGTTCCTGTCCTGGCCAATGCCACAACCATCCACTCAGCTCCCCAGAGGTGATACCTTGGAACCATTTTTTACTCCTTCCCCTCCCTTACCCCACACATCCAACTGGCCTCAAATCCTGTTGGCTGTACCATGCCAACATACCCAGAATCTGTTTCCTTTTTCAACTCACAGTCCTAGCAGATTTATACTTCTAAAACACGGATCTGGTGACATCATCCTCTTGCTGAAAAGCTTCAGCCACCTGCAGCACCCTGGGCAGAGCCCTCCACAAGCTGCCTCAATGCCTCCTCTGTCTTCAGGGCTTCACCACATCACCTTGTCCCTGTGCGTCAGTCACCAGGAGGCCCCTTGCTGTTCTGGGGCCAAGTCCTACATTCCCCACCTCTGGGCTTTGCTCCTGCTTTTCCCTTCACCCCACTGCTCCTCCTCCCCCTTGCCTCCCAAATACGGAGACCTCACTCCGCAATTGAAATGCTTCCTCCTTCAATGGAGCCCAGCCTGACCTCCCAGCTGGACAGAGCCACTTTTGGCCTTCTTAGCATCTTCTGCATTCTGCATTTGGGACAGAGAATAGTCAGGCCTTAGACTAGAAAGACTTTTCACATCTCTACCTTCTTCACTGAAATGTGGGCCGACAGTAGGTACACAGCCAGTAAATTCTGAACTAGTTCATCGCTGCATCTCTGCAGTGTGTAGAACTTTTCCTTGCCAAGAGTAGGTGCTAAATAAATTATCTATTGAATTAAATTGAACTGCTGCTTTCACTAGATCTAGTAGCCTGAACCAGAGTACAATGACTTTTGTCAGAGGGAAGATCCACTTAGGTTGTGCCATGCAGTCTATTTCATTCCTTGCTAAAAACGTGTTTCTGTTTTATAGGTAAGAGTTGCAAGCCCCAGGAGGATATTCCTGACAGAGTATCTAATTCAACCTTCTGTCCCTCCAGTTCTACCCTGCGCCAGGGTCAAAACTGCCACCCTTATGTAACTATTTATTTTTATCCCGACCATAAAATAGGACTAGAATCCCAAATAAAATCACCTACCATTTGCCATTTGATATTTCTTAGGGTGATTTTGACTCAAGACACTCTAAGAACCTCCAGAGACAGTGAGTGTCCCCTCCTAGCAATGGTATTTCACTGAGAAGTAGGAATTTAGGTCCCAGTTGCACTAAAGCCTCAGACGAAATCCTCAAAAAGCTACTTCTAAACTTGTTCTATGTCAGGACTCACTTCTATGTAATAGGAAAAATGTGAGAACTATGATTGGACAATTTTAATATTTTTTTAATTTTAAATATTGAGTACACAACACAGCTATATGGAGGAGCACAAAACTCAGATTCATATGGTTTGGGACCTTGTCCACACCCTTCCCTTACCAGAGGTGTGCTCTTAGGCAAATTACTTGACCTCTTTGAACCTGTTATCTCATCTTTAAATTGGGCATAATAATACCTATCCTGCCTAACCTAGAGGGTTGTGATAAGATGAAATAAGGCAATGTTTATAAACACATTTTGAAAAATACAAGCACTATATAAATAGTCTTTATTATTAATAATAACACCATTAAATACAGTCAGTAAGCTGACTTCTAATTCTAATGTAGAACTCAGCAAGACTCATTTGGGGAAACGTTATCTCCTTACTGGGCAAAACAGCCCTATCTAAACACCTCAAAGCTGGGAGCCAATCTATTCTCTCCCCAACAAGGTGCCACCCAGGAAGGTGTGTTGAGCACTTTAAACATGGCCAAGGAAAAACAATAAAAGATGCAAATACATTATGGTTACTTTCCACAGAACAAGCAAGTTAAGACTAGGTATGGTTGATGACATGCATTGTCCTATTCGTACATTTAAAACTCTTTCATGTTCTACGCAGAATTTGCATTTCAATAACAATGTGATAATGTCAAGTTATTCACAACATTTCAAAGGCTTGTCTTGCACACCTGGCATGTTGGAAGATCTGCTAGAGAACTGGATGTAGCTGTTTTCTAGCAGCAAAGGCAATTACATTGTCCTTTTAATTCTTGGGAACGGATGTGTTTGGGCAATATTAACAGGTTTTGTGTTTTTGACACAACAAAATATGAAAACGAAAGCATCACCCTCGGAGATATCCCTGGAGAATTAATTAACCAGCATATTCAACATGTTGAACTTCCCCTCATCACAACTGAGAGGAAACACCTTGTAGATAAAAGTTGACTTTTTAATAGAAACCTTTCCCTGTACTCTGAACATCCCTTTATAATTTAAAAAAAAAAAGTATCCAAAAGATGTGTTACCTTTTCTCTTGGCTACATGTGAATCTACTCTGCTCTTTCTAACTTTTGACATCTCCTCCTTGGACAAAGGTGGGATCATGCAACAGGGAGGACTTTTTTCTATTAAAAATAAAGCCATACTGCTATGCAGTCAGACACATACTCTAAAAATTATTTTAGACAACCACTACCCTGGAACACAGTACATCAAATATTACGAATCAATTTAATTTCAGTAATTTCTCATTAAGGTGCCTACAGATCAGTAAGTCTAATTGTAAAAGCTAAGCATTTATAATTCATAAGCATAATTACACTAAACTAGATGGGTTATATGCTATTAGGGTTTTGTATAAGCTACAAAATAATTGTTCACAGAGAAATATAATTCATAAATTGGCATTAATATATCATATCTAACCTTTATCAGACCCTCTAGTTAAAAGTTGAATGTAAATAGCACATTAACATCCTAATTCAGGTTTTTGATATTTGTTCTAAAACTCATGACACAGGAAAAAGTACTTTTAATCAAAAATAAGGCCCACTCTTTCCGGTGTGGAGTCTGGAGACAACGTGCAGAAATGGCACCTCGAAAGGGGAAGGAAAAGGAAGAACAGGTCATCAGCCTCTGACCTCAGGTGGCTGACGGAGAAAACATATTTGGTGTCCGCCATATCGTTGCACCCTTCAATGACACTTTTGTCCATGTCACTGATCTTTCTGGCAAAGAAACCCTCTGCCGTGTGACTGGTGGGATGAAGGTGAAGGCAGACCGAGATGAATCTTTGCCATATGCTGCTATGTTGGCTGCCCAGGATATGGCTCAGAGGTGCAAGGAACTGGGTATTACTGCCTTACACATCAAACACCGGGCCACAGGAGGAAATAGGACAAAGACTCCTGGACCTGGGGCCCAGTCGGCCCTCGAGCCCTTGCCCCCTCGGGTATGAAGATGGGGTGGATAGAGGACGTCCCCCCCATCCTCTCTGACAGCACCCGCAGGAAGGGGGGTCGCCGTGGTCGCCATCTGTGAACAAGACAAGACTCCTCAAAATATTTTGTTAATAAATTCCCTTCATGAAAAACAAAGGCCCAATTCTCTACAGTGTCTACAATATTCCCTAGTTGCTATGTTTAGTACTTTATAAAGGGTACACTTGGGCAAAGGAAATGCTGCTAGGTCCAGCACTTCTGCAGTATGCTTTTATTTGAAAGAACTGGGGCACCACTCAAAATCCCATTCAATCTTTGGAAGGAATGGCCTCGAATCCAGCCAGAAGCCAGTAAATATCAGCAATTTTGATAGGTAAATTCCTTTAAAATTAGGAATGGTTCCTCTGAAGATTCAAATACTCCACACCACTTACAAATTTCAGTTGTTCCCCAAGTGATATTTCATTCTTTGTATGACCATTCTGAAATGATGCAGAATCACATTTTTCCTTGTAATGAGAATCTAGTGTGGTTTGCATGGCAAGACAAAGGAAGCAAGTTCATGTCACTACTGGCTGAAAATACTCTACCTAAATACAGCCTCCAAGGCACACAAAAGAAAATCTGTAATCAGAAATCATTAATTAAGGTTAATTAAAGTCCACATTGTATTTGACTGACATCTACACAAAAAGTACTTTTTACTTTTCTTAAGCTACGTGTGCAATGTTGTGTCTAACCCGACACCCAAGAGTAATCACAATCTTGTTATCATTTGAGAGAATGAACTCAATTCAACAAAATTCTTTTTAATGAAAAAAGCTTTGATCTTACTCCCACTGTTCTCCTCCATTCCATGTCTTTTGTTGTTGTTTAAACATCTAGCCTATGCGAATACTGTAAAATGAACAGAACCTATTTTCTTACCCTGCCAAATAATCAGGGGTCCATAATACTGAATTTACAAATGCACATTTTCTTTGCTTCTCAGAGATATCTGAGGGGAGGTGGAGAAGGGCTGGGAGATAATTGAAGCCTCTGGGTGAGCCAGACCACATGATCAAAAACTGCTGTGACACTTAAAGTGTTTCTCCACAAGAAATTCCGGTGCCTAGAAGCCCGGTGAAACCAGTAGCAATTAAGGCCATGTTATCCTTTTAATTTACTTCACATTATTGGCCTCTAAAATCAATCCTTTAATGTGGTTGGGTAACGGATGGGTCAACAAAATAGGCACGTGCATTAAAAATGCTTGTTGATCTTACACAAAAATGTTGGCAGGCTGGATCTGGAGAAATTTAAAACGCTGCCTTGAAGCTCATTCTGAAATAAAAACTAGTCATTTTCTAGTAAAAAGGAAAAAAATGACTGATTTTCTAGATTAGTCCCATTTGTAAGGAATTCAAAGTTTCTTCTTCTAAATCAGCCTAGATTTTCACTTATGCTTTGCATGTCTTGAATTCAACACTGTTTGCTTCCAGTGTGAGATTATTTTATGTTTTAATCTACAAAGGAATTAAATTGCTTGGCTTAGACTGGTAGGAGTCCTTGAAAGTCCACTTGAGAAATGGAAACTGAAACATGAAGTGTACCACTATCCGTTGCACAAGGCCAAATTTGCCAACCAGAAGCAAGCTGTGTTCTGCATCACACGTGAAGCACATAAATCGCCAGAATGTGTGTATGTGTATCACCCTCTTACAGCAATTTACTCCCCAAATCCTTTCTTGACCAAGTCACACAATATATACACCACTGGAGAACATTCTCTAATCAACTCTAAAGTCACAAACCTAAAAAAAAATAGCAAAATATTGAAATTATTAAATAATTGAAAAATGTTCATATACTATTCACGAGTTGACAAAGCAGTAGACCTACAGTCCAAAATGTATGAGCCTTTTGTTGCAAAATACAGTAAAATGGTCTCTAGCTCCTTAGCAATGAGTGTCAAGTGTAAAAAAGGAAAGGTTAAACCTGAAGTAAAGCTCTACATGTTTCCATTGCCAAAATAACACACGGCACACAGCAATCATGATGTCATTTTATTTATTTAGTAATCTGCAAAGCCAAAGCCAAATTATGGAGCAGAAATTTTAAGCAAAGTCATGAATGGCCTCATTTACCTCCACATTTGTGAATAGTCTTAATGAAGAGTTTGCGTCCCTTTGCTTTCTTGTTGAAATATGAAAGTGACATCAGCCTCTGTACTGTATTTTTATTTATTTATTTTTTTTGCCAGCAAGACTGAGCAAGAGGCAAATCCTGGATTAAATACCAGCTGGATGTGCACATAACAAGGTCCAGGGAGACACTCTCAGAAGTTGCCTCTTTTAATCCAACACTGAATTATACGAGAAGCGGTTTTCAGTCTTTCAGAGCACAACTGTCAAAATAACTGCAAGGCTTGCAAGCCCTAGTATATCTCAAACCTTTCCCAAGACACCCCAACACTATGTGAGGCACTGAAACTATGGCAACCGAATAAGAAAGCAGCCTCCATGATTAACAGATGAAGATCCCAGCGACAGTGTCTAGCTAGGGCCATCATTCATGATACAAGAAGAATTAGCACAGAATCCGTCTCGAAAACCATTAACAAGTATTCTTATAAAAATCAACTCCACTGCCATTCTGCCAATATACTTGAGTTTAGAATGCTACAAACAATTTGGTTTCTATTTATCGCTCACTATGCAGGAATGAGAATGTTCTTAGAAACTCAGATGCTCATGTTTTTAAAATAGTGAAAGGCTTAATAGAATGGTTTTCCACCTGGGTATTTTAGGCCTAAGAACAAATACATTGAAAAACCAAAATATGTGAATGAAATCAAGTGGCTCTCTGGGTAGAAAGGAGGAGGGACAGTTGTTGAATTGTTTTGAGTGTTTTTTTGTGGAATGCAATTTTTTGTAAAGCATTCCATTTTCAGGAAAGGAACGTTTCCATTCACCAGCTCAATCAGTATTCTCTCAGTTTCCTCATTCAAGGACAGTAGGAGTCTGGGGGAGGGGCGGGGAAGTGCTGAAGTCGCTGCAATATTAATGAAAAGACTGAATACTTTTCTTTAAAAAACGAATCAGGAATAGGAACAGGGAAAGAAGAATGGATCTATCACAGCTTGTCTGTAAAACCCTCATAGAACATTAAAACATAATTAATACAATCTTTATTTCTTCGTAGTCTCTAACAATGTTTATTTTCCAATGGCATGTTTTCATTGTATTTAATGCCAGATCCTGTTCTGTTCTATAAATGCTTCTAATCAAATCATGGCCAAAGGCTGGTCTTTGAAGCGTAGAGGGGCAGAAGGGCTAAGAAAGGCGTAAACAGCACCAACTTTAGAGCTTCTTCTGCTAAATTTTTTTAATTGGCATGGATTCTTTGAATTTAATGTTCTACAGATGACAATTATAGGTTAGTTGGAAATTCCTAGAAAGCACCTAGGAATATTAAAAGAAAGCTTCAAGTCTAAAGGCTGCATGAGGAAGTATCTATTACTAACAATGCTTTCTAAGCAAAAGTCACCATACTGGCTGCTAAGAAGGATCTGAAACTTCGGTCCTTGCAGCATGTTAATTACTGATTTATCTCACACTCTTTCCATTCTGTTTCCACTTACAGAGTTTGAGAACATTTTATTTCCTAGTTGAAAATAACTGTAACTCTAAGCCATGGAGGCATTCCTGGAAAACATAATGGTAGCAGGGAATTGTGGTGATAACATCAATTTATTTCCCCTTCTGCTGTGCCTTTTAGAAGTCAGATTTTTCTCACTGATAAGAACTTGTATGACTATCATTTGAATCAAATTTCAGGTTTTGTAGTAGTGTGTCTGTCAGCAGAATAACTGCTATCTCTACTGGGGTCAGCCAATTATTTCCTACCTTTGGTGTGGAAGGCAGTAGTTTGCTTTTGCTCCCAAATTGATTTCAAGCTTGGCCAGGGAAGAGTGACCTGGCAGATGCATGCCCAACCTGAAGACCCTCTTGCAGAAGTCCTAGCCACAACCTCCTCAAGGGTTCCAATCAGCAGCCGAGTTTCTCTCCTAAGACAGGTGTGGTCCTTGGGAATTCAACTCATCCCTAAAATTGTCATTATGAGTTGCTTTCAGATTCTAAATGTAGGTGCAGAGTGTACATTTTATTATTAAAATGTTAATAAGTGATAGCTATCATTTTTCAAAAACTATCCCTTGGGCTCCTATTTGATATAAGGCTCTGCTTGTTATTATTATTATTTTTTATATATAGTGGTTTTTTCCTTCCATGTTTTGGGTGTGATATTTCAAATTCCAAAGTTTCCCTGTTTCCTGTTTCCCTGCAAGTGATGTATTCACATGCTTCTCAACTTAAAACCCATGACATTATGGCCTGTTTATGGTATGAATGTTTGTTTCTAGTCCAAAGGTTGTTTTCTTTTGCATCATCTCTTTATATTACAGATTCGTAGCCATTTCCTTTTCTACTATTTCCCCTGCCCCCCAGAATAAAAGTACTATCTGCTTTTTCAAAATCCATTCCTAGGACATTTTTCGTAACTACTGTTACTCAAGTAAAAATAATACCTTATGTTGAATGACTGCTTGTTGTGTGCCCGGCATTGTGACATGCATTTTACAGATGTTAGCACATTTATTCTTCTCAAAACCATAACATTATCATCATACTAGCACTTTGCAAATGAAAACTGAAGGAGAAAGGAAACTGGCATAAAGTCACACTGTTGGTAAATGGCAAAACAAATCCACGTGCATTGTCTGTCAAAAAAGCATGACCTCCGCAATGCCTCTAGAGTTGTCCACTACCTTCCCTCCAACGGTCCCTTCACATTTATTAACCTCACGCCACAAGATCTAACGAATTCGGCCTTGTTATGACAAAGATGGAAACTTCTACTAGTCCTGGTTCACCCTGACATATTAATCGTTACACTGATTTGAACTATTTCAGAATTTAACTGAGCAAAAACAATTATCTTACTTTTAAACTAATTCCTGGCAGAATGGTACTCCTATGACCTTGCCTGATTTAATGATAATGTTGAAAGCAATGTTTCCTTGACATGGTAGGTGTTCTAATTAATAAAGTTGCTATCCATGCTCTAGGTGAACTGTACAATTTCAATGAATTTGAACATATTATTTAGTTGCATAATGTGATTTACATTAAAACTACATGAACAGTGTATATTCTACCAAAAATAATTTAGAAGATGAAGTAGGATCTCTGTTATATCCAGGGTCCAGAGTGGGAAAGAGGGGGTTAACATCAAACTTCCCAAATTTCCACAATGCGTGTAATATTTCACTAAATACATTCACATTCATGATTTCGTATTATTTTCCCAGTAATCCTATAAGTTAGGAAGAATAGGTTTACTATTTATAATTTTCAATTAAAATAATGCAGCCACAGAGAAGTTAAGTGACTTGTCCAAGGTAGTGAGAGTCTGGAACTCAGGTCTTCTTGTCTCCAAGTGCAGGATCCTCAACAGCAGATATACTGTACGGGTACAGGGCAGAAACATGGGTTAATAAAGTATGCTGTATTCTCCTGATAGAAAGTTGAATTTTAAAACTACTATTAGCAAACTCCAAAAAAACATGAACGTTCTATGGCCAGTGGTTAGAATGCAGAACAAATGAGGCCAGGGTCAAAAGCTCAATCCCCACAAATGCTGGCTGTCTTCTTAGCTCTGTTTCTTGGCAAGTTGATTTTACCTAACTCAGACTCCCTCCAGCTACAACCAGGTGTCTCACAGATGTGTGCTCTTGGACACAGGAGGGGACTGGGTGAGAATGTGGGAATGAACAGGCTCCAATCCATCACTACCACTGGAAAAACAACACAGTGAATGTTCCACTAATGATGCATGAGCCATACCACCTATGTGCTTGGAAGATTGTACACACACACACACACACACACACACATTCATGCATGAAGTACACACACACACATGCATGCATGAAGTATCTCATTTGATAAAAACATGATATAGAAAAACAAAGGCAGACAAAATAGATAAAATAAAGACTAGTTGTTTGCAAAAATGATTCACTGTTTATTCATTCAGCAAACACTTGTTATGGATGGCCCATGATGTGCCAGGCACAGCTTTAGGTGCCAGAGTGAATAAAGCCTAAAAATGTCTATCCTTATGGCATTATGTTCTAGTGGAAGACAGAAAATCAACAAGGACAACATATAGTTTGTCAGACTGTGAAAAATGCTAAGAAAAAAATAAGGACTGCCAAGAGGTGGGGAGTGCTGTGGGAAAGAGTAAAGTAAATAAGGGGATCAAAAGGCTTCACTGAGAAAGTGACATTTGAACAGAGACCTGAAGAATATGAGAAGCAAATCATGTAGCTATCTGGGGAAAGAACCATCCCAAGGCATGAAAGAGTAAGTCCTTGCAAAGGACCCCAAGTATATGCCATGCTTGACAGATTCAAGCAAGCCCAAGGGGTGGAGGTCAGAGAGGTTGGAACCTGAGTGCAGATCATGTGGGGCTGCAAAGGCCATAGGAAGGACTTTGGCTTTTATTGGAAGAAGATGGGAAAACATCTGAGCAAAGTAGTGATCTGATCTGGTTTAGTTTAAAAAAAAAATCACTGCTGTGTTTTGGCTGCTGTGTTGAGAAATGGGCAGAGGCAGGAATGCTAGTGGGGAAGCTGGCATGAAAACCTAGCAGGAGAGGACCATGGCTTGGCCAATTTGAGGGCCACAGAGGAGGAACACCTGAAGGAAGCCTGCAGGTATTCCAAAGGTGGAGCCAACAGCATTGCAGCCACAATGGATGTAGGTGTGACAGAGAAGCTTCAAGGAGAACTAAATTTGGGGGCCGGCAACTCAAAGAATGGAGTTGCCATTTACTATGATGGAGAAGACTATGAGAAAGGCAGATATGGGGGAGAAAGATACAGAATTAGGTTTTTTAAACCTAAGTTTGAGATGTCTATTCAGGAGGAGCTACCTACCCACTAAGCATTGGTTATTTGTGAGGTCCAGGAGAGAGGTCTAAGCTGAAGAGGTTATTTGGGAATCATCTGTGTATTATGGTTTTATATGATACCCTCTATTGGTGTAAATGGAATTATTGTAATAAAGTTTTGCAAGAGCTCATCTGTTTCACAAAGCAAGATACCCTTGTGTATAGACTATATGCAGTAGTCCCATGGTGAGAAGTTGTCCTGAACTCCTCCCCTTGAGGTTTGTGTGGTATGACATCTCATTTGCCCATTTCGAAGGGATTAAATGCCTCCCTCCTTTCTCTATCTTACCATATCCCCAAGAGGCAACCATGTGGTCGCCAGCAGAGAATAGCTCAGTTGCTCTTGCAGCACATTTTAAAGCAGATGAGAAAAGCCTTCACGCTGAAATAGAAATATCTCAGAGAAAACTTGGCTCCAAGGCACCCCAAGAGAGTGGGGGGGGTTCCTGATATGGGAGGGCCCAGCAGAACGCCTCAAGGCATCACCTTCCTCAACATGCACAAATGTGGCTGCCATAACACAAAGCTTCTATATAAATATGTCAAGGAGCACTCCTCTACTCTAGGAGGACAGAAAATTGTCTAAACCTAAAGAAGGGTGTGGAGAGGGGCAGTGCAGAGATAGGCTTTCCTAGGCATTGCCTTACACAAATGGCAGATGCTTAATTAAAGCATTTGCAATTAGCTTAGCTTGTTCTGTGATTCCTTCCTGCAAACAAATAAGATGGAGAGACTATATTAGCTCTTGGCAATCTAGTTCTAAAAAAACTTTCATCCCATCATCACTCTTTTGTCCTGTTCTGAAAAGCGCTGAACCACAATGTACACAGAATAAACTATCTGACTTAACTCCTGGTTCAAAATAGTATTTTTCCTTCCATTTCATATAGGAGTGCAACTACCCATTTACTTTTAAAGCATAACTACTTATTTTGAATTTAATACAAGTTCTTAATTTGGATGCCTCATTTTTATTTGGTGAAGATAACAGTCTTCCTAATTCTTGCTACACTTCTGATTCAACACATTAGACTTCACTAGTGCAATGTTACCCGCCTACTCAAAATACAACTGCTATATGTGTTTAATGTTGGAAAAAGCATTTACTAGATTTTGGAAGAACTTGAGGGGTGTGTGTTGTGTGTAAATAAAAAGGTGCACTTATTGCCGCCTTATCATAACCACTCACTTGAAGGCATATATTTTTTTTTTCACTGTAGGGAAAATAAAGAAGTCCACTTTAAGTGGACAAACATGAACCATGTGTGACTATTTATTTCATTCATTCGACATTTACTTGAGTGTTCTATACTGGTTCTTATAAAATTTTTACCTATTTAAGCTTAGTTGTTATGTCCAATAAGTATATTCAGCTGATGGCTCCTCAGAAATGATTTTCGGTATCTGCTTAACATTTACATATGTGGATTATATGCGTTATTGAAAATGTAGCACATCTCTAAAAGGTGATAGCTGCAAAACCTAACATATGGGGAAGGTTGTCACCCACAAACACTGTACATCAGAAACATAAAGTAGAATGCTTCTTTACATCAAGTTGAAAAATGACTCATAACCAAAAGTAAGATTTTAAATTTGATGTTCGTTCTTTTCTGCTTTAAACTGGTTTGCAAAGTGCCTCATTCAAGAACGTCCCAAAACCAAAATAATAACAGGGAGTAAGGGTTACTCAAGATTCAAATAAAAGTTACCATACAAACAAGCATGGGTAAACCAAATTCAAATAGCTAGTGCAATTATTTTTTAATAGATAGTTTAGGTTAATAGGTGGAGACATAGTTCTGCCACTGTATTTAAGGTTAGGTTAATAATTAACTTTGGTGCCTGGAGTAGTTTAATCAAAGCTTACTGTAAATCATAAAACTGCTCCATGTAGACTAAACACAGCATTAAAAAGTCATACAAAATTCTTGCAATCTTGACCGCTGGTAGCCATTTGGGTACGGTATAAAAAAGTGTAGAGTATTTTTAGTCAGAATTAAACATAGGCATCTTTACTTTGGGGAGAAAACATAATTAAATAATTAATTAAACCACCAGTCCTCCCCGCCATCACTGTAGCATACCACAGACTTGATGCCCAAGATGTGTCCACCAGGGGAAGGACGACGAACAATTTCAGGACTAAAGAAAGACAAGGCAAAGGCACTCGACCTTCCCATCCTGGCAAGACTTAAAAACCAGCGCTGGGGGGCATTAAATAGCTTTTCTGAGACCTGCTGGCACAACACTGCAAGTGGGTTAAACGGCTTTTCAGATCTGAGGTAAAGAAAGTTGTGCGTACAAGGGCGAGTGTGTGCGTGTGTGTGTCCATGCACGCCTGTGTTTTAAACCTTTCACAGATCGCATTCAGTAGCGTAAAAAAGCTGAGCGTAAAAAAAGGAGCGATCCCACTGTGGCTGTGCCTGGCCACCGCAGTTCCAAAGCAGCCACCTTTCTCCCAAAGACCGACGCGAAAAAGCCTGCAGGGCTCCCCAGTGCGATACAGGCCGGAGACTCCCTGGAAGTGCTTGCCCCGGCTGTGAAGACAGCGCCTCCAGTCTCCCATTCCTCTCCCGCTCCACGCACACCTGGCTCTGCTTCCTCCCTCCCTGGATAGCCACGCTGGGAAATCGTGCGCAGGGAGCAGATGGCTCGGGATTCTGCACCTGAAGCTGCCTACTTGCAAGCCACTGAGCCCCGGCCTGTGTCCACACGCACCTTCCCCACAGCCTCTGTCCACAGTGGCCGCACCTGCCTCCGGGGTCCTGCTTCCCCATTCATCCCTTCCCCGACTTGTCGAGCAAGTACCGCGGGCCAGGAGGTTCCACTCTCCAAAGGGCCGGGATCTAGCTCCTAGCTGCATCCCGAGCTGTCCGCATGATTCCCTCCAGGTCCGGCTTCCCTCAGACTGCACATGCTGAGCCCCAGTCCGGTCGTGCCTGCCGCCCCTGGCTTTCAGGGAAACTTTCCAGGAGCGCCTGGTCTAGTGACCCCGCCGCTGTAAAGTGGGAGGAGGCGCTGGGCGGAGGGGCGGCGAGGGAGCGGGAAAAACAGCGGAATTCTGTTTCCTTTCCCGACGTCCACAAGCCCGGGACCGCTCCCTGGCTCCCCCCGTGCCGCTCGGGTCTTGCGAGGAGGGAGGAGACCTCAGGATCCTGTTTTGCACCATCTCCCACAGCGAGGAGCTGAGCAAAACGCGGAGAATCGGGACAAGAGACACTTCCCGCCCCAGAAGGATCAGGCAGGGTGGGTGGGCACTGCCCGGCTTACTCTCCAGCGCCCCATTGCCCCCATGGTAGCGCCCTAGGACACAGTGAGGAGTCGGAACAGAGCCCTAGTCTGGGTTTCAAACCCAGGGCCATCTTCTGCCAGGTCTCTCACCCTTCCCCCTCCTGGGTCATCTTTCCAGAGCGAGACCGCGCTGATCTGGGAGGAGGGCGTACCGTGCGCCAGCCCGGTGCAAAGGGCTCGGTGCTTCAGGAGGGACGCAGCCGCGACGGGCTATATCCTTGCCGCTCGGGTTGGGAGCTGCGGCGGGGGACAGGACCCATGGCGGGGGCGCCGCGTCACCCGAACGGCTGCTCCCGGACACTTATTCGAGCAAACAAAGCCCGGAACCTCTGGTGGCAGCGGCCACAGGAGCCAGGATCTCACCGAGAGACAGGGCGCGCGGGTGCCTAGAGCCATTACAAGTTTCTTGCACTCCACGGAGCCCAGCCCAGACCCCACACTGACAACAAAAGATTCTCTCCGCTTCCACACCGTCTCCGCGGAACCCCTTCTCCCACCTGGCACTGGACGAAAACAGCGCTGTTATACCCAACCCCCTCCAGCCCTCGAGGGCAGAACCCCTTCCCCTGCCTTCGACACACCGGGCCAGGGAGCTTCCGAGAATCCCACCATTTAGGGCCCGCTCTGCTCCCTGCTGGGCACGCGGGAGGATGAGCCTTGGGTCTCGCACACACACCCCCAGGAGGAACAGCCATACGCGCCGTCGCGGCCCGGGGCGGCGCCGGGCGTGTGCGCAACGCGGGTGGGAAAGCTCTCGACGTGGAGCCGGACGCACTCTGGGGCGCAGGGCAGAGAGGAAAGGCAGGCAGGGCTCACGGCTGCTCCCCCAGGACCGGGCAAGGCTCGGGAAACAGAGACACAAGACAAAATAAAACGCAGGCACCACAAAGCCGACAGCACGCGCTAGCCACGGCCCCGGGACCCTCAGGCTGGAGTCCAGCTGCCCGGGAGGTGGGGCGCGCCCGGGCGCCCGGGGCGTACCTTTTCGGTGCATCGACGGACAGGCGGCCGGGGCTCGGAGCGAACTGGTACAGCGTGTATCCCATTTAGTAATCCATTATCGAGGGGATCTCTCCGGGCCGCGGGCTGCGCTCTCTCCTTCGCAAGCCTTTGTCATTCCTACATGTGTGCTTGTCTCTTTGGGGGAAATAGTCGCGGCGACTACTTTCTGGGATGCAAACGCGATGTGTTCATCTCCAATGACGAGCGGAGAAGGGGAGAGGAAAAAAGAAGCCAAAAAAAAAAAGAAGAAAAAGAAAAAGAAAACCAACAAGGAAGAGGGTAAATGTTCAAGAAACTCTTCTCCAAATCCAAATTCCACTTGGATTCCACTTCGGTGAGTCCCCTTGGTGGTGTCTGCGCCGATTAACAAGTCATTTCAGGGCGGGGGGCGGGGTGGGGGCTGGGGCAGGGGTGCAAGGCTCTGGCCCGGCTCTGCGGCCGGCAGCGCGGTGCCGCGGGTGTGGTGATGCTGGCCGCTGCTACACGCTGCTAAGCGGGCATCGCGGGCGACCGGCACCGCGGAGGAGCGCCGCTGCTGGGTTCCGAGCGCCTGGGCAGCCGAGTGCGCGGGGAGCGGAGTTGGCTGCAGCCTCACCCCGTGCCGCTCACTACTCCTCTGTCACCGGAGAGGCCGCCGCTCCCGGGCGGAGCCAAGTCCCGGACTGGATTGCGCAGATCGGACTCTCCTTCCGCAACTCCGCCTACTTTGGCTGGCGTCTCCTCCGACCCAAAGGAGAGCTGTGGTGTATGTGAGTGCGAGTGAGCGAGGCAGAGGCGGAGAAACTACGCGGTGTGGCTGCAGGTGGAGCCTTGGACCAACTGGCCAGCGCCGCTTCCTTCCACCAGGATTCCTGGCCCCACCGCGCGCTAGGCGGAGGCTCAGCGGGGGCGACTCTGGCTGGAGCCCAGCCCTCACCTCCCCCACCCCCACATCTGCTCTAGCTAGGAAAAAAAAAAAGAAAAAAAAAATCCCGGACAGCATTGCTGAGTCCTGCCAAATCAGAAAAATAAATAAAAATAGACGTAGTGCAGGAGCGAGTTACAAGAAAGGTTTTGTTCATCGATTTTCTTAAATGGAAAAGTTTTAAAGGATGAGGGTAAGTGAACGGCGAGCTTTTCTGATTCTGATTACTGTTATCAAGAGGTAGATTCCAGAAGCGATGGACGCTCTACGTAGTTAGATGAATTGGATAGAAGCCGGTGCGGTTAAAAATACACTTGGAAGATAAGAACACAGCTATTAATTACGCACATACACACGTTAATAAAGCATGTGAAGTAAGCAAATAAACTACAGTGCAGAGAATGGCGTTTTTAACGACGGCGATCTATTTTAAAACTTAATGAAGTTCACATTTTGTGGACTGGTCTTAGAAATAAGTAAACTTCAGAAATAACACGCATACAATTCCAGTGAGAACCCAAAAGGTTTATGGAAGAAGAAAATCGCAACCACTTCCAAGGCGCTATTGTTATGATCACATGAAGAATGGCAGGCACAGCCTTCTTTCACCACTTGAACTTTCAATAGCTACAAAGTCTTGCAGTTACAGGCTTGTGCCAACTCGTCGGGCCACACCACGTTCCCCTCCCCCTGCCGCTGCGCCCCGAAATCAACTGCGCGCCGCGGCTCTTGCTCCCCAAGGGGGCTTCGCAGATGGTACGGATCCTAGTCGCAACCTTTAAACAAAGTAACATCGGGCGGCCCAGCAGTTCTCGGAGAGATATTTACTAGTCATGGAGTTGGCTGAGAAAAGCAAGTGCGGAGATCGGGGTCTCAGTCCCACTTAGGCCGAGTTTCTTTATATTGGAAACTGTACCTGTTCCCTAATTGGGACTAAGACCACTAATAAGTCCACGTTCCCTCTTTGGTCGCTTCTCTAAGTACAGACATCTGCTTAAGAGGCTTCACGAAGAATAAATGCACATGGGTCAACACCCATTCCCCCCGCACCACTACCACCACCTGGAAAAGGTAGGGAGAATGGTAGGAAAAAAAGAAAAAATCAGTACCCCTGCTGTTCTCCAGAGCTGTCAGCAGGGGCCGCTATCCCCACCTTTCTCGGGCAAAGGCCTCTATAGACCTGGGGTAGTGGGGGGCGCGGCCCTAGGTGCGCGCGCAGCCCCCGCGGCTTCAAGAGCCAGCCTCGGGAGGGGGTTGGGGAGTGTGGGGCGGTGGGTAGGATTGCGCTTTCCCGCGGGTTGGGTGGGGGCCGGCTCCAGGACGTCTCCTCAGAATCCCGCGGGGTTAGGAGAAGGATCTGGCGGCCAAGACGGCTGGATCCCCGGCTGCGCTATTTAACACCCAGATTTTGGCTGATGACTGCAGGGTCAGTGTGAGCTGGTCCCCTGGCTCGTCCGTGCGCCCCAGGCGCGGTACTGCAGCCCCTTCGAAGCTCCGGACCCTTCGGCCTCCGGGGTTTTTTGTCCCGCGCTCCACCCAACCGGGGTCGCCGAGGCTCCTTCTTCGCTCCCCGCCGCCGATTTACATGCTAATTGTGTCTGGGAAAAGTTCTTAAATTGGCAGAATTAGGCAGAGCAAACGAATTGTTTCACAGGCCGAACTAAATTAATTTCGGGTTTAGCTCCTTCCCTTAGAGAAACAAACAATTAAGTTGTTTTATTTGCTTTATGGATATATTGGAAATGCCCCACAACGAGTTTCAGGATATTGTTTAAAGGGACATTATATTCAATATTAATACTTGCATGTTTAATTTGTAGTAACGCTGAGCCAAGAAGCGAGCGATTAAATTTACCTAATTTAAAATTATAGAATACGAGAGTTAAAGAATTGGAGTCTACTTTTCACAGTGAAGAAATACCACCCAGAATCTTCCTGGCAATTACTAGATCCTAGTCTCACCATCCAAGTAGGAGCCCTTCCTTCTGACCACGTGATATTACATTTCCACCTGCCAGAAAAGATGCTCCCGGAGCTGGAAGAAAAGCCAGCTATTGTCAGGCTCCCGAAACCCCCAGGGGAGCACCTGTGGGGAAGCCAGGCTATGAAACCTCATGATGTCATTTCCCCATAAGTGCGCCTCAGACTCACTTCCAGAAGCCTGCAGTAAGTTTTCAGTAAAACCACTGCCCCTTCAAAGCCTTTGAAGTCTGCAATTTATACCCTGTCCCTTCAGGAAAAGAAAGCCAAAGAGTTAAAGAATCACAGAGTGATGAGAAGGTGACTTCAGTGGTTTTTTTTAAAGTGACGTAAAATGGAGTGTTTGAGGCCCTGGTCTCTGGAGGCCATCTGCGGTTAATGTAACTTAGCTGGTGATCTTGGGCAAGTCACTTATCTCTGTGAAGTCCCAGTGGATTCACCTGTAAATGGGGATTCTTATTCTACTCACTTCCCGAGGAGCTCGTGGATTACATTAGATGATCTTCGTAAATTCGGAGTCTAAGGCTGACACTGCTTTATAAAGATTAAGTGTCACATTGTCATCCTTGCCATCCTCCACATCAGTCCTACCATCACATTTTACAGGAGTCACATGGAAGCACAGCGGACAGAAGTGGCTTGACCTGTGTCAGCGATTGGGTCAGGGCTGGGAGCTACCTGTAACAACTCCCCCTCCCCTTCTTCTTCTTTTTTTTTTTTTCAATTTTTGAGACGGAGTCTTGCTCTGTTGCCCAGGCTGGAGTGCAGTGGCGCAATCTCAGCTCACTGCAAGCTCCGCTTCCCGGGTTCACGCCATTCTCTCTCCTCAGCCTCCCGAGTAGCTGGGACCACAGGTGCCTGCCACCACGCCTGGCTAATTTTTTTGTATTTTTAGTAGAGATGGGGTTTCACCGTGTTAGCCAGGATGGTCTCGATGTCCTGACCTCGTGATCCGCCCGCCTCAGCCTCCCAAAGTGCTGGGATTACAGGCGTGAGCCACCGCGCCCAGCCACCCCCTGCCCTTGTTAACTACATGACAGTTCCCGCTTTCCTCAGATCACCTGGAAAAGTGTGGCGGAAGATTAAAATAAAGCAGAAAGATAAACTCAGGTTCTCTGCAAAGACCACATCTAGCTGTTTGATCAGAATCTCTGCTTTGAGACAAAAAGGAGTAATGAACTTGGGAGAAGAAGGGGCTGCTGCTACTCACAGTTCCTTGAGGGTTCATGGGGGCACACTTGGGGAGCACAGTTTGTACATTCAGGCCATTATAATTTATAATCAAGAAATCTATCTGTACCCTCAGCCCCTTCTCCAAAGTTCCCTCCACCTCTTTGCCTTAAGTCAGTGGTTTTAAAATCCACTTGCACATTAGATGACCAGGGGAGCTCTTCAGTGATGCAAATCCCCAAGCTCAAGATTCTCATTCATCAGTAAGGACTGGGACCTCGGCATGGGTAGGTTTTAAAACTCCATAGATGATTCTCATTTGCAGCCAGGGATGAGAACCACTGCCACAATAAATCCTGGCTGTATTCTAGACCAATTACTTTTCCCTAGCCTTTTTCTTGTGGGGGCTGTTTCTTCTTCTTGTCCGTTTATTCCTCTTCACAAAGAAAGGTCCGTATCCTTGCTCCTCATGCTGCTTTCAGGCCATTTCTCCTCCTCTAAAAACCTCTGGCTGACTTTGGTAGCTAAACTCTACAAATACATTTGTGGTCTCATTTTATCCGATTCTTCAAAGACTTATTGTCCTCCTATGTGTCCCTCCACCTGTCATGACTCATGGTAGTGTTAACATCCATATAACCACTGACCCTCTGGCTTTTCCATTTCTTGCCTTCCTCATCTATGCTGTCTTTCTACTCCCCTCCTCCACCTACTCCAGGCTTCATTCTGGGCCTTATTATCAAAAATGCCCCATCTTCCAAATCACTAATTCTGACATCCTGCTTTCCAATCACTTCTTCTCCTTCAATCTTCCTTGCTCATGCACCCCCCTGCATTCACTGATTTCTTGAGGACCTCCAGATTTTGAGTTTTGCTTCTCTCTCGATCACCTATTCCCTCCTTATTTCATTCCTCTCTATGTCTAGCATAGCTTCATAGTATCAGTCCCTCTCTCTTGCAAATACTTTCAATTCTGTTGCTCCTCTATCTTTGGTCAACATCTATCTGACTAAAAGCTAGTTCTGAAGTATGTAAACATCAGCCGTCTCTGCTTCTGAACTGGGCAGCTGAAGCCTGCTGGAAAAAAAAATGTAGATAGATTGTTATCAACCTCAATCTCATCCAAAGCACCGCCTTATCTCAGTTCGTTTCTAACTTTCTCCCCGTAATCAGATATCTCACACTTCATACCTCGTACTTCCCTGAAAAAAACGCAGTCCATCAGAAGGGAACATTTTTGCTTCTGTACTCATTATTTTTTCTTTCTTTCTTTCTTTCTTTCTCTCTTTACTTTCTTTTCTTTCCTTTCTTTTTCTTTTCCTTTCTTTCTTTTCTTTTCTTTTCTTTTCCTTCTCTTCTCTTTTCTTTTCTTTCTAGATGGAGTTTAACTCTTGTTGCCCAGGCTGGAGTGCAATGGCACAATCTTGGCTCACTGCAACCTCTGCCTCCTGGTTCAAGCGATTCTCCTGCCTCAGCCTCCCAAGTAGCTGGGATTGCAGGCACCTGCCACCATGCCCGGCTAATTTTTGTATTTTTAGTAGAGACGGGGTTTCACCACTTTGGCCAGGCTGGTCTCGAACTCCTGACTGCAGGTGATCCACTCGTCTTGACCTCCCAAAATGCTGGGCTTACAGGCGTTAGCCACTGTGCCCGGCCTGTACTCATTATTTTCTAAGTGTCTCTTCTTATGAAGGAGGCAGTGTCCCTCCTCCAGTAGGAGGCCAGTCCCTCCTTATGTTCCCAATAATTCACAGGTTCTCAGAAATTCTGTCCTATTGTCTCCAGACCCTCTCCTGCATCTGCCCATCAGCATGTAAGCAAGCTTCGGTCTTTCCCATCTTAGAAACAGTCCGCCTTGGTCGCCGGGTGTGGTGGCTCACGCCTGTAAACCCAGCACTTTGGGAGGCCGAGGCAGACGGATCACGAGGTCAGGAAATCAAGACCATCCTGGCTAACACGGTGAAATCCCATCTCTACTAAAAATACAAAAAAATTAGCCGGGCATGGTGGCAGGCGCCTATAGTCCCAGCTACTCAGGAGGCTGAGGCAGGAGAATGGCGTGAACTTGGGAGGTGGAGGTTGCAGTGAGCCGAGATTGCACCACTGCACTCCAGCCTGGGCGACGGAGCGAGACTCCGTCTCAGAAAGAAAAAGAAAAAGATAAAGAAACAGCCCACCTTGGATCCCATTTCTTTCAAGCTACTCTCTTCTCTCCTCTCTTCCAAAGCCAGACAGCCCCAGAGATTGTTGATAACCAGTGCTGCCACTTCGTCCTCTTTCATCTACTCAATCCCCTTTTGCTAGTCTTCAGTGACATTCATGACAGTAAATACAGTGGGTATTTTAACGTTTTCATTTTATTTGAATTATCAGCAACAATTGTTTCTTGTGACATACTCTCTGCTCTTGGCTTTGATGACACACTACTCTCTCTTGGTACTCCTCTCACTTTTTTTTTAACTTAGTTTTTCTTTTGAGGAAATTGAAACATTGTCAAAGAATAATATAACCAACATCCCAATTTTCATTACTCAGAATTAATGACTGTTAATATTTTGTCATTTTTGTTTACTGTCTGTATTTTAAGAAATAAAACATGGTGGATAAAACTTAACTTCCTCATCATCAACATCTCTTTCTTACTCTCATTTTCTTTTTTTATAAGTAATGATATTATGAGTTTTCTGTGCATCCTTACATTTTGTTTCTGTACTTTCACATATACCATATGTATCTGTAACCAATATATAGTAATATTTTTGGTTGCTTTTTCTCCCAAATTAACATTAAATTCTATTCTCTCTTGTCCTCTTATTCATTCTCCAGATTGTAGTCTAAGTGATCTTTGAGAGATGCACATCTGATCACATCAAGCCTCTCTTAAAACACCTCAGAGGCATCCATAGACACCCCTAAACCCTAATACAGCCTTAACATTGTGCATGATTAGTTTCTTGCCTACCTCTCTGGTCTCATTTCTGCCGTGCTCCCATCACTGTCTCCCTTTCTTGCAGCATCACTGGTGTTTCAGTTCCTGGAAAGCTCCATGTTTCTTGTTTGTAACTACAGGCCTGCCCTTGTGCTCCTGCCTGGAATACTGGAACTTCCCCTCTCCCTGTTTACCAGACTAACCTCTACTCATCCTTCAATGTCCCTGCCTCCAACAAGACTTCCCTGATAGTCTAGAATAGATCATATTCTCCATTATGTATTCTCAAAGTACCCTGTGAATTTACCTCATAGTGCATATCAGACATTACAGCTAGTATTAATATTTGGTGCAATTATTTGTTGAATGCTTCTCTTTCCTGTTAGATCACAAGTTTCTCAAGTCTTCGGACTATATCTCTGTCATTTATCTTGTATCTCCAGCACTTAACTGAGAGTAAGGGTACATAAGTGAGGGCATGAGTTAGTGAAAGCAATTAGTTCCTTTTCAAGGATTCAGTAGGATAAGGAATAGATCCTTGGATGGAATAGGACCATTTAAAAAGGAAAAGGGGAAAAAAAAAACTCTAGACATATATCATGCTCTTCAGATTTTGAGATTCCAGTTCTAAGGATAAACAAAATCTAGGCTTTCTCCCAACACAGAATTTCGACTATAACGTGTCTAATTTGCTTTTTGAATGGGGAGAAAAAGATTTATGGATGAAAGTGACGAGTAAATATAACAATTTCAAAAACAAGATGCTTAAAAATAAGATGCAATAAGAATATAAATAGAACTCTAGAAGGCTTGTGGAAGGAGATAAACTGCAATTTGAATTCACTGGGAACAATGTCAGAGCATCTCCAAGGACCAGCTCTCCCAGCAAGCTAGAGTTTGCTAACAGTGATTTACTGTCTGCCCCTCCATGAATAGCTTCATGGTGGGACCCCACCCTGTGTATAACAATCATTCCACTGTACCACAGTGGAGTTTGTCTCCATTCACTTCTGATATCAAATTATTGTTTGGGAAATTAAGAGAATGTTAGATGAGAAATAAGGTAATGAATGAACAATACATGTTAAGTAAACCAGAAGTCCATTTTTTTCCTCCACAAAAGCTCTTTACATTTAGTTGAAATCTCTAGTTATGTAACACAGAGTAAAGACTGTGTTTGGCCCTGTTTTCTTCTTTCTGTTGCAAAATAACTTCTTTTAATTGCCCCACCTACTAATATTTAGACTTAAAGATATCTACTGGGATGTGAGTTTGTTTAAAAATGCAGTTACCTAAATGTAATTTATACTTTTCATAACCAGATAAACTGGTTGATTAAGTACCACTTTGGAATTTGCTATTTGGCCAAAAGAATGATGAAAATTAAAATATACTTGTTTTTGAGAACTGCCTTTCAAGGCCTTTGCTTCCAGGTAGTGAAAGCCCTACTAGAAGAGAAGATTGTTCTGGCACATGCTTAAATATAAAACTATGCTTCAATTTGTTCCAATTCTAGTTTTTAGATTATGTGAGAAAACTCTGTACTGATATCAACTGAAAGATTTTTCCAGGCTGTTTATTATAATGAATGTGTATTTAAGAGTAATTTTATAACCAGAGAAATGAAGACAACTAAGGATGTTTTGTTTGCTTTAACATTGAAACTTTAAAACAGAAGACAGCTGTTTTAAACATCTAAACTTAGGCTGGATAATTGGGAACAATGAATGTTCTTAAAAAAGTGATATGCTTGGATCTAAAGTACGTTCTTAATGAAGTATAAAAAACTACATTGTTGAATATAAATTTATCATCTGAAAACTCCCCTGTATATATAATTATAAAATACAAGGATGGTTTCCCAATATCTTAACTTGATCTTGAATTTTGGATTTTGTGCCTGGGACAAGTCTCTAGTTAATTGTCCTATAAAATACTGACTAAACAGCTAGATTTAAGAGTGTTTTCAGATATAACTTTTTGTCTGGAATGAGCTTAAATGATACATTTCAAAATAAGTTATATATAATACAGTACTTTCCAAAGGTTTCAGATTATTCAGTCACTAGTTACCAGTGCCTGATTTGTACTTCACTAAATATAAGACAAGTGGAACAACTGATGTCAGTTTCTTTGTGAAACCTCTTAAATATATCTTTATTCATAACCAAGTACTTATTAACATAAACTAGAATGTTACATTTTAATATTTGAACTGAAAACCTACACACCTGTTTTCTTAAAAACTACTGTATTGTGTAATTTAATTGTATTATTAAGACTCTTATAAAAACATACATGTTGATTTCCTCATAATTCCTCTCCCTTTCTTTGCATGCCTCAAAGCAATTGAGTCATTTCCTTTCTCCCAGTCACCTTTTAAAGCCTTTACTTCTGTTGAAGCAAACTTTTGAAAGTCCCTAAACCTTTACTCCTCCTCACTGTTACTGTTCCCTTCTATTCTCTGCTTTCTGAACAAGATTGCAGACTTGGATTTTTAAGTTATTACAGTCCAATGTTTGACTTTTTTTTTTGGCTAGATTCCCTTGCTTTAGGGAATTTCCTCTTTTTGTTTAATTCCTTAGTCAATACATTACTTTTTTAGGTTTTTTTTTTTTTGTAATCTAGTTAGCAGTTTTTCTTACAAAACACAGCAAATAAACTTTAATAAGATGGTGTATGACAGTGTTAATTCACTAACTATGGATCAAGAATTAGCCTTAGACTCTCATGTTCCTTTCAGTGCATTGTTGATGAAGGTGACTCAAGATGGAGTGATACTTATGAACATTGCTTCTCCTGATCATGTAACAACATCCTCCTTCCGTCTGCTCAGACCTCACAATCTTGAGCTGTCCTTGACTCCTCCTTTTTTCCCATTTGTCACATCCAATTCATCAGCAAATCCTGTTAGCCTACCTTCAAAATATATCCAGAGTCTGATCACTTCTCCGTTTCACCATTATCTCGCTGGTCCACACCACCATCATTTTCATCTGGGGTTGTGCAATAGCTTTAAAACTGGTCTCCCTGCTTCTGAACTTACCTCACTAGAATCTAATCCCAAATAGCAGCCAGAATAATCCTTTAATTCATTCATTAAAATCATGTCCATCCTCTGGTCACAATCAGTGTAAAAGCCAAAACCCATACCACCTGGCCACTTTTGCAGCTCTCAGGCTTTGTCTTCTCCACTTTTCCCCCTCGCTCACTCTACTCTGGCCACCCTGCCTCCTGCCCATTCCCACCTCAGACTCTTGTTTCTCCCTCTTCCTGCAAAACCATTTCCTCAGATATCCATAGGGCTCACTCCATCATCTCCTGCAGGTCCTTGATCCAGCGTCAGTGTCTCAGCCAGGCCTTCCCTGACCACATAAATAGCAACTCCCCATACTTCTTCCTACTCCCCTTACCCTATTCTACTTTTCTTCATAGCACTTATTGCTATCTGACCTTGTATGTATTTACCTGTTTGTTTAATGCCTGTGTCCTACCACTTAGTGGTAAGCTGCATCGGGGCAGAAATGGACTCCTTCATTAGCCACCATAACCCCAGCAATTAGAACAGCACCTGGCACATCCTATACCTGCAGTCAATATTTGGTGAGTGAATGAGTGAATAACCACACCTTACCACATTTAATGCCAATCACATTAAGACCACTGAGGCATGTACTATAAACTAGGTAATATTTAAAACAAATGAGCAGCTTTCTGTCAAGAAATGCTCCCAAATGTAGAGGTTTTTAAAAATGTACTTTATTTGTCTAATGTTGCAGTAGACAGCCTGTGGTACTTTTTTTTTTTAATCCACTTTGTTGGATGATGCTACTTGCTGGTTACTTCAGAAGGTCACTTCCACAGACCACGAGGAAAAGGAGAGCTAGCTTTATGTCATCGCCTCCATCTAGGCATCTATGATCTATGTTAGTCAGCTGGAGCTGCTAAAACAAAATAACACAGGCTTCATGGCTTAAACAACAGAAATGGATTTCCTCAAAATTCTGGCGACTAGAAGCCTAAGATCCAGGTTCTGGGCAATTTGTGTTCTGGCAAGGTCTCTCTTACTGACTTACAGTTCAACACCTTCTCACCATGTCCTCACATGGCTTCTCTTTGATGCATGAGAGCAGAGAGAGAGGGATGTTGAGAGAGAGAGTTAGTTCTCTGGTGTTTGTTCTTAGAAGGGTACTAATCCCATAGAATCAAGGCCCCACCCCATGACCTCATTTAAGCTTCCTTACTCCTAATACAGTCACACTGGAGGTTAAGGTGTCAACATATGAAATTTGAGAGAACACAAACATTGAGACCTTAACAGCCTCCCTTTCAGGCGTAGCTGAGTCCTGTGGTATCCCAGGCCCGCTCTTGCCTGGGCTGGCTTACATAAAGGAGGGGCCGGGAGGGCTAGTGGCTTGAATCTCACATTCAGAAAAGTTCTCTAATGATCTATTTTGACCTTTTCTTCAAATAATGTTCACATACACCATATACATTAAAATGTTATATATAACGTATTTATATGTATATGAAATATATAAAAAAATGCATAACATACATACCCCAAAGCATTGCATTTTTATTTTACAAATTAAATATTAATATTTGCACAGGTGAAGCTTGTTTTAGCACTTCTTATTTTTTCATGGAATGGAAGGATGAAAGGTCTGGCCCTGTCTCAATGTCAGAGAGTCCTTTCCTTCTAGATTTGGGCACAGTGTCCACCAAGCTGGCCATCCTTATTAACCTTATCATCCCAACATTGACCCTTCCTGGCAGAAATTCTTTCCTATGTTTTGATGTCTATACAGCTGTGTGCTTCTTGTCTCCTAATTGTGACTCCCACCCATCTCTTGCCTTTCAAACCTCCTTTTTATAGTCTTTTCTTCTCTGGGGCTTCTCCAAAATGAACAAGGTCTCCCATATCCTCAGTGTCTTCACTGACTCATCTTTCTATCTCCTACTTCACCCCTACTATGGCAGGCAAAAGGATCCCAAGCACTTTGTGGCCATTTTTGGGTGACAAGGACTTTATCAGTTGTCAGGGTAGATGCAAAAACATGAAACCTGCTCCACCACGATGGAGTTCACAGAGAAGCCCCTACAGGGGCACAGAGACCTGGTTCTATAAAATGAGGGGCTCTGCTGAGACGTTGTTTGGCTCTTGGGGAGGCAGCATATGTGTGAAAAAGCAAAGGCTTGAGACCTAGAAAATCCAGGTGAGCCCAGGCAACCCTGAGCTTCTTTTTTTCTTTTGAGATTATGTGTCTGAAATCTCCAAGCCATAAGTGTTTGGAGTACAAAAAGGACCCTAGTGAATAAACATGGCAAGCATGCTCTTGAAGCTTTATGGGGGAATGTGTGATTTCCCCATCAATTGTCCCAGTGTCTTCTGCATTGGCGTAATTCAGGCCTGGGGTCAACTTTCCAGGATGACTGTGAGAGAGCCCATAATTGAGGCTCACATTTCCTTGGAATCAAACCGGGGTGTGGGGATCAAGGTGCTTGCCACAGACACCTTGCAACTTTCTTTGATAATGAATTTGGGACAAAGACTCTATTTTAAAAAATACACACGAGAAAAGTAGTGATAATGGAAAAGAGAAGATAAACTGAAAACATGCAAAGTTTTAAAAAAGACAAAAGTAGGAGATTATCAAAGCAGCACCCTTCTGGCCTGAAATCTTCCCCAAACACTGAAACAATGGCCGTGTGGATACTGTTCAAAGAGCTTTGGAGTGTTATCCCATTCAGTTTTTATAATAATGATTCTAATATGTAAGTATTTTTATGATTTTCATTCAACAGACAGGGCAAATGAGGCAACCAAATATTAAGAAGACTTGGCCAAAATTTTATAGGTGTGAAGTAGCGAGGCAGAGTCAGCACCCACACACCTACTGCTCTGCGTGCTCAGGCAAAGAGGGTACGCGTCTTCTATGCAGTTGGTTCCTTGTTTCAGCCCTTTGGGAAAATACACATAAGTCCAAAATGTCTTTGAGGCATGTGGCGTTTAAGGTTACCGCTAATTTAACAAAATATAGGTTGGTCCAAAATGTGTGTAATGTTATGGCAAATCTTTCTCTAACACAATTTTAGCAAATTGTTTACATTTAAATGTGTACTCATTCAAACAAAAACCAAATTATAGGAAAATCTTAATTACAAAGGAGATAAAGCAGAGGTTGGTAATTTGATTTATGAAAACGATTATTTGCTTTTGAGAGGGATCAATGTTGAAGAAAGCTCTTGATTCAGGCTTAATGTCTAACCTGACTAAAATTATACTTACAACCTATGTCTGTTGCATGAAGAATGAATGCACCATAGGTTCTGCGCTTCCAAGTGTGTGGTCAATTTCTTCGGGACAGTGTTGGGCATGGCCGTGTACACCAGTTGATTTTCCTCTTGAGCTGGTTCCAGAAACAGTGAAATACAAAAATGTTTTCTCTTCTTAGAGTATGAGCTTCTAACAACAACAACAACAACAACAAAAATCAACCTCCTGCACTGGGATAACTGACTATCCACTTGGAAAATAGTAAACTTAATTCCTATCTCACGCCACTTTGGGAAATAAATTTCAGATGGATTAAATATCTAAAAGTAAAAGAACAACAAAAACAAAATATCAGAGTTAAAAATATGAGGGTTTAATGAGTACATGAGATAATGCAATTATGATCTTGGGGGAGAGAAAGCCTTTTTAAGACACTAAAAGCAAAACCTGTAAAGGAAAAAAATAGAAAGTGTGACTATTTCCAAAATAAAAATTTTCCAAGGCAAAATATACCATAAATAAAGTAAAAAGAAGGCACATTAAGAGAAAATATTTGCAACCTAATTTGCAGACAAAGGATTAGCATCTAGAATATATAAGGGAGTTATACAAATTTAATAAGACAGTGATAAACAATTTGATAGGAAAAATTGGGAAAAGCACATAAAGGGGCAATACTTAGGAAAACATGAAATTGGTCAATATATATCCCAGATGTTCACCTTCAACATCAATCAGGAGAATATAAATTTAAGCAGTAATATAATATTTTCTTGTACTCATCAGATTGGCAAAGATATTAAAGGTTGATAATACCAAATGTTGACAAATATATGTTGATAATGCCAAATGTTCAAACAGCCTCGTAAATTACTAGTGAGAATATAAATTGGTATAGTCACCTTAGAGGACAATTGGACAATATCTATTAAAATTGATAATGTGCATATTCTGTTACCCAGCAAGTCATCTTTGAGAAACATTCACCTTTGTACACAAAAAGGCATGTATAAAGATTCTCATTGCAGAATTGTTGGTGATTGAAAAAAAAAGAAATGACTTAAATAATTATCAATATGGTGATAGTTATTTAAAATAGTTAATAGACTGGGTGGAGATCAGTCAATGGTTACAAACTCACTTAGATAGGAATAAGTTCTGTGTTCTATTATATAGTAGAGACTAGAGTTAACAGTAATGGATTGCATGTTTCAAGTACTTAGAAGATAGGCTTTTGAATGTTCTCATCACAAAGAAATGATAAATGTGTAAGGTGATAGATATGCTAATTACCCTGATTTGATCTTTACACATGTACACATGTAAGAAAACAGCACATTGTACCCTGTAAATGTGTACAAATTATATGTCAATCATAAAAAATAAAATAGTTAATAGAATCTGGTAATTATGTATTAGAATATTATGCAGCAGATAAAAAATAACAAGCACCCATATACTACTATGAAAATTTACCAAGATACATTTTACAAAAAACAAGTTAAAGAAGCCCATGCACAGGAGGATTTTTTAAAGTGCACAGAATAAAAATAACTTCATAAATCTATGGGTACATTTTATTTTCTGTTTTAGAAAAAAAACTGAATACATGCTTATACTTAGAAATTGATTATGGAGGTCAGACAAAAACAAGAAATGGGGAAAGTATTCCCTATTTAATAAATGGTGCTGGGAAAACTGGCTAGCCGTATGTAGAAAGGTGAAACTGGATCCCTTCCTTACACCTTATACAAAAATTAATTCAAGATGGATTAAAGACTTAAACGTTAGACCTAAAACCATAAAAACCCTAGAAGAAAACCTAGGCAATACCATTCAGGACATAGGCATGGGCAAGGACTTCATGTCTAAAACACCAAAAGCAATGGCAACAAAAGCCAAAATTGACAAATGGGATCTGATTAAACTAAAGAGCTTCTGCACAGCAAAAGAAACTACCATCAGAGTGAACAGGCAACCTACAGAATGGGAGAAAAGTTTTACAATCTACCCATCTGACAAAGGGCTAATATCCAGAATCTACAAAGAAAAATCAAATAACCCCATCAAAAAGTGGGTGAAGGATATGAACAGACACTTCTCAAAAGAAGACATTTATGCAGCCAACAGACACATGAAAAACATGCTCATCATCACTGGCCATCAGAGAAATGCAAATCAAAACCACAATGAGATACCACCTCACACCAGTTAGAATGATGATCATTAAAAAGTCAGGAAACCACAGGTGCTGGAGAGGATGTGGAGAAATAGGAACACTTTTGCACTGTTGGTGGGACTGTAAACTAGTTCAACCATTGTGGAAGACAGTGCGGCGATTCCTCAAGGATCTAGAACTAGAAATACCATTTGACCCAGCCATCCCATTACTGGGTATATACCCAAAGGATTATAAATCACGCTGCTATAAAGACACATGCACACGTATGTTTATTGCGGCACTATTCACAATAGCAAAGACTTGGAACCAACCCAAATATCCATCAGTGATAGATTGGATTAAGAAAATATGGCACATATACACCATGGAATACTATGCAACCATAAAAAAGGATGAGTTCATGTCCTTTGTAGGGACATGGATGAAGCTGGAAACCATCATTCTGAGCAAACTATTGCAAGGACAGAAAACCAAACATCACATGTTCTCACTCATAGGTGGGAATTGAACAATGAGAACACTTGGACACAGAGTGGGGAACATCACACACCGGGGCCTGTTGTGGGGTAGGGGGAGGGGAGAGGGATAGCATTAGGAGATATACCTAATGTAAATGTCGAGTTAATGGGTGCAGCACAACAACATGGCACATGTATACATATGTAACAAACCTGTATGTTGTGCACATGTACCCTAGAACTTAAAGTATAATAAAAAAAATTAAAAAACAAAAGAAATTGATTATGGAAGTCAGAAATGGGGAAAAAGCATCTAGGTACAGGGGGATATTGCTATGGACTGAACATGTATGTACCCCCAAAATTCATATGTTGAATTCCTAACCCCCAGTATGGCTGCATTTGGAATAAGGAAGTAATTAGGGTTAGATGAGGTCAGAAGGGGCAGGATGGGGTCCTAAGTCGATGGGATTATTGTCCTTATAAGAAGAGACACAGCTAGGCACAGTGGCTCACGCCTGTAATCCCAGCATTTTCGGAGGCCAACGCAGGCAGATCACCTGAGGTCAGGAGTTTGATACCCACCTGGCCAACATGGCAAAACCCTGTCTCTACTAAAAATACAAAAATTAGCCAGGTGTGGTGGTGGGTGCCTGTAGTCCCAGTTACTCTGGAAGCTGAGGCAGGAGAATCGCTTGAACCCAGGAGATGGAGGTTGCAGTAAACCAAGATCGTGCCATTGCACTCTAGCCTAGGTGACAGAGTGAGATTCCATCTCAAAAAAAAAAAAAAAAAAAAGACACTAGAGAATTCTCTCTCCTCTCCCTCAATCCCTTTCTTTTTCTCTCTCTCTTCTTGCACAGCAGGGAGGAAAGTCCATGTGAAGACACAGTGAGAAGGCAAGAAGGCATCCATCTGCAAGTCAGGAAAAGAGCCCTCATCAGAAACCAAATGTTGTGAGAACTTGATCTTGGACTTCCCAGCCTCCAGAACTGTGAGAAAATTAATTTATGTTGTCTAAGCCACACAGTCTGTAGTATACTGTTATGGCAGCCTGAGCAGATTATGACAGATGTCAAAGAGAACTTCAGCCTTAGCTGATATGTTAGCTGTAATCTTTTAATGTTTTAGAATGAGAGTGTATGTATGTATTACTCATGTGACTAAAACATTAACTTTTTAAAGTCAACTTTGTCTTCCCTCTTGCCCCATAACCATGCTTTTCCCCTTTATCTTCCTTTGAACAATATTAATTAAGGCCTGTTGCAGACATATGCATTCTGAGCCTTCCAACAAAATTTTTCAAAAAGACCTCTCTTCAGGTCAGAGTCCCTGAAAATAAATCTTCTCACCACAGAACTCAGGGGTGTGTTTATTTATTTTTGTTTAATAAAATATTTATTGAACTTTTATTGAAGTTCAATTAACTTTATTTATTATAAAACAATATTATACTGATATTGTCAGAAATTTAAAGACAAGACAATATCCTCATCACCCCTGCACTGGAAACACTGACCTGATTTCTATTTTTAGGTGTTACTTTCTGGGCTATCTATACGCTTAGCTTTTTTTTGGTAGTCATCAAATGGTTTACATAATTTTGTACATAACTTTTTTCACTTAGCATAAAACCTTTATAGTTGCCATTTTAATGGCTACTTAACATTTTATTCAGTTTTAATTGACTTATCTATTCCCCAGTGGTCGACATCTAGGCCATTTGCAACTTGTTATTATAGATAATGTTGAATAAACATTTTCATATACATGAATTTTAAAATTTGAGTTATTTCCCTAAAATGAGTTCTCAGGGGTATTACTAAACCACACGATACAAGCAGATTTTATGACTATTGATCAAAATTACTCAATAGAGTTCCAAAGCCTCATGCCAATTGATGATGCCACCAGCAGTGTGCAAATATACTCCATTTTCAGCATGGGTAATACAATGTCAAAGTTTTTGCCGATGTAAAAACTTCAGAGGGGGATTCCTCAGATCATCTAAGACTGCTCGGTAAGCTGATTGAAAACCATAGCGATACATAAAAGGGCATGGATTATCTTTTCCATCTGGGCATCCATCTCCTTTCTCTAGGAATAGCACATTGAGGTCTTCTGCTCTCTCAATCCCTGTGGTTTGACAGGACCCCAGCCCCACCCTCAGATTTAAGAATTAGCATATGACCCAGCTTGGTCACTGTCTCTTTCTCCTTCTCTCTTCCTTAATTTCTCTCTATCACACACACACGCACGGGGTAAGGGGTGGATCCAGCAACAACCAAAGCAGAGCCAGGAGGAAAGAGTAAGTCCTGGTGACAGTGTTCGAGTCCATCCATCCAGCTGGCAATGATGCCAGACTACCCCAGGATTCAGAGCCACTATACAGAGTTGAGCCAACTGTGAACTGCAAAGCATTCCCAGCCTAAGGGGTAAACAGGTGCTGAAATCTGTTGTGTGCATCTGGGAGTAAGGGTATGTCTATTCAGAGAAAGAGACTTGTTTATTGTTTTTTGTTCGTTTGTTTCTTTTTCTTTTTTTTTTTTTTTTTACTAAAGGTCCCCATTGCTTGCCAAGCCAAATGCTCACTCTGGAGCCCCTTTTTTCCATTCTCAGAAGGTGCTATGCAGGCTGCCAATAGCTTTGCAGTTATGGGAACCAATAAATCTCCCCTCTTAACTGAAGTCAGTTTGAGGTCTCTTTCTGTCACTTAGAACTGCATGAATCCTGATTAATACATCAGAGTAAGGGATTTTAAAACTGGGAGAGATCTTAAAAATTCCTGAGTACCTAGTGAATACTCTACAGATGAAGAGACTGAGGAGTTTAGCAACTTGCCTGAAATTATTATACCTCTATGTGAGCAGCAGGATAGCACTAAGAGACCGGTTCCCAAGTTAGCTTTCTTTGTAACAAAATATACTGCCCTTCTGTTTACTACCTCTGATATTATTTTATAAGTTTGGGTTTGAGAATCGAATCCTGCAAAGGTGGTTTATCTCTTCTCAGCTACTCTGGCTACAACGTTGCTGTTCCCAAGTCAATATTGGCCCCTTGGGTATAACTTTGTGACTCAACTACCAGTATTTCTTAATGACATAAAGATTTGAAAAATAAAACATAATATGTGATTTGGTAAAATTATTGCTGTATATAAGAAGTCAACTCAGAAACTGCCAAAACACTTGCATTAATTTGTGAGAACACGATGATTAAGGAAATTAAACACTTGTACCCTTTCGCCTAAGATTTCAAGAAATAATTTTTAGATATATTTACACCTATCCTTTAGCTGTTATTAAATACTGTTTAATTTGTGTGTGGTTATTTCCCAAGCCTAAGCAGAAAATTCATCATAGGACTTAGGAGACTCACAGCTAAAGTTCCAGAGTGGTAGCCCCAGGCCAGGGACCAACGAAATGCTAAAAGACCTTAGTATGTCTTCTGACCACGCCCCATTTGGTTAATCACTCCCGCTTGCTTCTGATGTTCCTGAATTTTATTTATCCTGGAGAATCTGTCTTCTGCTCCATATGCCTGCTTAAGCTGAAAAAGCAGGGCGCTTTCAGCTTTTTGATCAATATAATGAAAGGCTGCCCAATTTCTCTGGGATTCTGTCAAAGCCTGTTGTAGTCTCTTCCCAGACAGAAGGGAGTAATTTTCTTCCACCAGACAGCCTTCTCTCAACCCACATTTGCCCTGTGACAATATTGAATCTGATTATCTGCTAAATTCTATAGATGTCTTCTTGTTTTGAGGCCTAGTGTTTTTGACAGTGAACTTTGAACAAATTACTTTTCAAGGAGTAGGTCCTTTGCCTTCTGCTCATTGTGAAACGCATCTCAACAGAGCTCTCAAACTAGCTCCTCCTCTTATCTCATTTTGCCAGTGAAATGGTATTCAGAGAAAGGCATGGAGTGGGTGTTATCAACCCGGAGCTGGCCTTCCTCTCACTAGGAGCTGGACCCTGCCTCTGAGCTTGGATTTTATCTCATTCTGTATCTCAGGAAACTTCCATTATCTATGCATCTTTGTATCATGTTTTAATCATGCTGGAGTCTCACCTACCTAAAAAAAAATTCTTAATCTAAAATTTCCCTTTAGATATGGCCCTACCTTATTTTCTCCCCTTCAGCCCATATTCACTAAAGATTTGTCTGCATGCACCATCTCTACTTCCGGATTTACACCATTCCATATAGGCCCCCTTTTGAAAAACATTTCCATAAAAACAGCTTTGGCTAAGGGCATTAACCAAAGACACCTAAATGACCCAAATACAGTAGATCCTCCCTGAGCACTTGTTTATAATTTCCCTGCTGACTCCTTCTCTTCCATCTGGTCTCCAAACATTTGGGATCTGTAATGGGCCCCCTTTGCCTTTCTCTACATTCTTATTCATTCCCATGATTTTAAAGACTATCCATATGTGGTGACTCCTGAATATGCATCCTCAGTCTGTAGCTCTTCTCTGAGAATCAGCTCCATATGCTCAATTGCCTGTTTGATACCTCCATTTAGATGCCACATAGACATCATCACCCAAAGAGAACTTTGCTTTTCTCCCCAAAAACCTGATTCATGCTTAGACTTCTCCATCTCTGTTTCTCGAATAGAAACTCAGGGACATGACTTGATTCCTCTTTACCCCTCATAATTAATCTATCATCAAATCCTGTCTGTACCATTTCCAAAATATGTCACATCGCTCTCTTCTTTTCTGTTCCAGTGCCACCAGCCCTCTTGAAGTCACTATAGTTTCTCAATTGTTTTGCAGCAACTAACTTGTTTCTTGAGTCTAGTCTTGCTTCTGTCTAACCCATTATTCATACTTCATCCAGAATAAAGATACAAATTTCTTTATCATGCTCTGTTGCATAAAACCATTTAGTTATTTGCCACTGAACTTAAATACTTGGCTTGGATAATCCTCCAGAATGTAAGCTTCCTGAGGACAGTTATCACTACTGCCTTGTTCTCTATTTTATCCATAGTGCTTAACATCATATTTAACACACGGAAAGCATTTGATAGATATTTTTGAAAAAAATGAATAATAAGTACTCACCATACTGTATATGGGGTTTTTAAAATGTTTTTTCTAAACTAGTATGTGAGCTCTGTGGAAAGGGAAACCATGAATTTTCTTCTTCAACCCTTTATATCTAATAGTTAGCAAAAGGGTTTGTAATAATTATAAAATAATTGAAAATGATGGACGAGCTGTACATGGCAATAGAGTTGTATCCAAAAATGTAGTGCAGAGTGTAAGAGGTATGAAAGAAATTAGATATCTAACACAAAAATATCTAACACACAAAATATAATATCTAATACACAAAATTTAAAAATACATGCATACAGACAGCAATATACATTTTGCAAAAGCACAAACACAAAGATATACATTACACACATCAGATTGGCTGCTTATAAAAGAATGTGGATGGGCTTGGGAAATAAAATAAAATAGAAAAATAACTGAAGTGAGGGAAAATATTTGTTAAATGAATGATGAATGGATTCTGCAGGTGGAATGAAACTCCAAGGTGAGTAAGCATGAATCTTTAAGGGACGGCAAAACAGAGAACTGACTTCATTTATAAAAATCCTTTTGTTAGTTGGGGATTTCCTCCGAGGTTTTGAGAATAAAGATGGAAATGAGGTTGCAATGGCCTGGTCAAGTTGTAATATTCTCAGAAAAGTGATTCCCAGATCTGACGTTGCTGATCTCTAGGAAAGCTCCAGGCATGCCAACACATTCTTAGAGTTTATTTTTAACTCAATTTAATTAGGACAAGTAAATATATGTCATGTAGCACTCATAAGAGAAAAACGGATTATCACATTATATTAATGAGGCTAGGCATTCAAAGTGTGGGACAATTGTCTTACAATCAAAACCTCAGGCTCTGTACTATATAATTTAAGATTTTTCCAAGGTCATCATATGATATATTTGTGGCTCAGCCTGAGTATACAGTCTGCACTTTTCTGTTTGAGAACCACAGCCTCCGGCACTTAAAGCACCAGAGGAGCCAAAGCAAAATTTAAAAATCTAAATAGACATTAAAGAACAAAGAAAAAGTAAGAAGGCAAAATTGCAATAAATCTCATTATAAATAAATACTAGTATTTTATCAAGGAAGGCCAACCTCACTATCACACTATCATGGGCACATACGTGACACACATACACACTCTGTTGTATAGCTTAAATTAGACAAATGTAATTCTGAAAACATTGTGCAACTGCAACTTTTCTTATGAGGTTTACTACTTGGTAACTGCAGCTGTGTTGCATAATTGATCATGAAATATTTATAAATTTGGGGGATTTGATTTCCAAAACTCATCAATGATTCTCACATATCAATTTAATTGCAATCATAAACTTGACTTCAGCATCTGGATTACCACATCCTATGTTTCTTCATCATCTTAACCATTCTACTATCTTCATTTCCAAACAGAGAAGGTATTAACTGGGGATCAGACTCCATTTATAAAATATAACCAACACATTCTGTAGTGAGGAATATAACCTGGAGTGTTTTTACTTAGTTGCAGTATCGAATTTGTCACAGGTAGTTTATCTAAATAATAATAACTAGCATTTCTTGAACACTATTATGTGCTGGATTTGGTTAATCAGAATGGTTGATACAAGTGGTTCTCAAACTTGAGTGTGCCCCAGAATTCTCAGGAGGGCTTTGTTAAAACACAGACTGCAGGTCCCATCTTCAGACTTTCTGAGTTAGCAGGTGCTATGGTTTGGACATGATTTGTTGGCTCCACAAAGTTTCGTGTTAAAATTTGGTCCCCACTGTTGGAGGTGGGGCCTGGCGGGGAGGTTTATGGGTCATGGGTGTGAATCCTTTATGAATAGCTTGGTGTCATTCTTGAGGGAGTGAGTTCTCACTCTGTTCCCATGAGAACTGGTTCTTGTAAAGAGCCTGGCTCCTCCTCCTCTCTCTCTTGATTCCTGCTCTTGCCGTATGGTCAGCTCATCCTGCCTTTCACCATGAGTGGAAGCAGCCTGAGGCCCTCACCAGAAGCAGATGCTGGTACCATGCTTTTTGTACAGTCTGAAGAACGATGAGCTGAATAAACCTGTTTTCTTTATAAATTACCCAGCCTCAGGTATTCCTTTATAGCAACACAAATGGACTAAGACAACAGGTCAGGGTTGGAGCTTGAGAATTTACATTTCTAACCAATTCCCAGGTAATGGTGATATTGCTGACCCAGGGACCACACATTGAGAACCACTGGTTTCTACTATGCTGCAGTAGGAACTAAGCTCCAAAGTCTCTTGCTTTTGCTAAGTCCTATGTGGGTGGCAGCCCTCCCTCATCTTATGGCTATGCCATGTGCGTACACAGCTTCCATGGTAGCTGCAACCTAGCAAGAGAGGGATGGAAGAAGCATGGAAACTCCTTGACCCACCTGGGACGTGGATCCCTTGGCTCCCCATCCATTAACTAAAACTCATCCCAGGGGCTTCTGGAGATCCCACGAATATTCTTTCTGCCACTTGGGTGCTTTACATTTACAGTCCTTTCTTTTCACCACAAAGCTGAAAGGCAGGTGTGCGTATACTGGATTCAGAGATAGAAAATTTGAGCCTCAGGGTAATTAACTACCTTCATAGATCACACAGCTACAAGGGGTGGCGGAACCAGGATTTAAATCCATGGCTGTCTAACCACAGAGATGGTGTGATATCCTCTTCAGACCACTACTCCAAACATGCTAAAGTGGCTAATTCAGCTCAAGGTTGGCATGGAGTACACTGCCTAAGAAATGCATCTGACATCAATAGAAAAGATCCGCAGTTGAGGGCTTGTAGCAGGCTCCTGCCTCAACTTTCTTTCCGTTTTTCACCTCCAAGACAGAGTCTTTCTCTGTCACCCAGGCTGCCAGGCTGGAGTGGCTCAACCTTGGTTCACTGCAGCCTCTGCCTCCTGGGTTCAAGTGATTATCCTGCCTCCGCATCCCAAGTAGCTGGAGTTACAGATGCGTGCCAACATGCCTGGCTAATATTTTTGTGTTTTTAATAGAGATGGGGTTTCACCATGCTGACCAGGCTGGTCTTGAACTCCTGACCTCTGGTGATCCACCTACCTGGGTCTCCCAAAGTGCTGGGATTACAGGTGTGAGCCACAGTGCCTGGCCTTTCTTTCTATATAGAGTCTGCAACCTGAGAGTCTTTCAAAGTAGAATGAAATGATCTGTGTATTTTCATAGTGTCTTATACTCATGTGGTGGCTAGATATTTTGAGGAAAGAAATCCTGAAGAGAGACAAAAAAGATATTTAGAGAATAAAACACTAGATGATGGCAGAAGAAAGGTCATCACAAGTCATTATAGATGGAGTTCTTATTTGGAAACATTGAGGAGAAGTTGAGAATGCCCAGCTCTTAGTCTAATTGGTGGTTTTGAGAAGCTTCCAGCCATGCACCTCTTTTCCCTCTTCCTCTGTCTACAGCTTGATCTCATCACAAATAATATCTATTTTGAGTTTTAAATACAAATTTTAATTGAGTGACTTGGAACACAGTGATACCTACATAACATGTGTGGAAGAGTTTGAACACAATGTTGATGTTGTGTTGAGAAAAAAAAAATCAAAAAAGTAAGTTGAAGGGTGCTGTTGGGTGTCTCCCACAATGCTAGGGTTTCCCATGCTTCCCAGCCTTTCCTGAATATATACCCACCGCAGCCCCCCATCCCCTCACCCCTACCCATCTTGCTTGGATAGCTCCTACTTCCTGCTTCCTCCAAAACAAACTAGATCATTCACTGTGCTTCCCACCACTCCTAAGCCAGGCACACTGTCCAGTTGATCTGTATCACATCATATTACTATAGTGGCTGTTTCATTTGTGAGATTCTTAAAAGCAAGGCCTGTACCTTTTACTCGGGAATCCTTATTTCTAAGCATATTGCCTACAGCATGGAATAATGAGTGAATGAAGCAGATTGTTTAATTAGATTCACTAGGATTCATGTGAGGTGGCCAGACAGTCACATGGTTCACAGCTGAAGAAAGTTACAGACAGTTCATCTTTTTATTCTTTGAAGGTCATTAATGGTTTAAAGAAAATGATGATTTTCCAAGTGCACAGAACCTCTGAATGTAGTTAAATAAACATACTGTTACACTGGAAACAGAAATGTCAACTCAGATCCACTTTACTAATTGGGCCTATAACTCATTTAAGGTCGATTTCTGGTACCAATTAAAATCAATTTTAAAATTTCCTTTTCTCTATTCCTTTTTCATATGGCAACCACCTTTTGGTTTACATATCAAGAGTTTAAATATTGACCTTAATTTTTCTGAGAGTTGATTTTTTTTTTACAGCTTTGATCACAACTAGATTGACTTCTTCAGTCACATAATTTGGGGAGATTTGTCAAGGTATGCAATCCATGTATGGACACTGAACTACTGGTAATTACCCTATGGGTAGGACCTTTCACTTGAGGATGTTGTCTGAACAGTAACATTGCTCAGAACAATTCTGAACTTATATACAGAGGACATTTTCATATGGATCTAATAAAAAGCCTTCTTGAAATATTGTATTTTCATTATTATCAACCTAGACCATTGCTTCGTCACAGAAATAGGTCAAATTCCACAATCCCACCACTGCTGCTACTGCTACTACTACTATTGCTACCACCACTATGATTACCCACTACCTCTCTTACTCCACGATGACTACTATACCTATACACACACTCACACATACGTGAACACACTCAATTCCACAAGCACCCAAATTATCTTGCAGTGGGGTCTGGTTTTAATAAGTATTAATTTATGTATGTTTTCAGTCATTCATTCAACAACGATCCACTGAGTGTCTACTCTCTCCGGGTAACTTTTACCTATGAGAGATGAACGAAGCAGAGTCTCCATCCTCATGAAGTGTAAATCCTGTTGCAAACAATAGACAAGCAGACAAACAGATGAGAAAGCAATGCAATTTCCAGTAGTGGGAAATGCTATGAAGACAAATAAAGCAGAGTGCTGGAGTCAGAAGTAGCCTGGTGGAGACTGGGGAAGGCAGGTTATTTTTAAGTTTCCTATTGCTGCCATAAGAAATTACCATATACTTGATGGCTTAAAATAATGCAAATTTATTATCCTACTGTTCTGGAAGTCAAAAGTTCAAAATGGGTCTCACTGGGCTAAAATAAAAATGTCAGCAAGACTACATTCTTTCTGGGGGCTCTAGGGGAAAAACTGTTTCCCCGCTTTTTTCAGCTTCTAGAAGTCACCTGTATTCTTTGGCTCAGTGCCCTTTCTCTGTCTTCAGAGTCAGCAGCCTAGCATCTTCAAATCTCTCACTTACTCTCACCCTCTCATGAGGACCCTTATGATTATGTTAGGCCCATCCCAATTATACAGGACAATCTTCCCATCTCAATATTCTTAATCATACCTGCAAGGCCTCTTTTGCCATGTAAGGTAACATATTCACAAGTTTCGGGGATTAGGATGTGGACATCTATCAGGGCTGCTAGTCTCCTTCCTATGGGGTGATCAGGGAAGGTCTCTTTGAGGGTTTCACCTTACAGCAGAGACCTACATGACCTGAGTGAGCCACTGGAGGACCTGGTGGGAGGCTCTTCCAGGAAAGAGCAAGTGTAGAAGTCCTTTGGCACATATGAAGTGCCAAGCAGAGAAAAGGCCCATGTGGCTGGTACAGAGTGGGGAATGGGGATGGGAAAGGGGAGGGTCTGGGGTCCCAGAGGAAAGCTGGGGCTGCAGATGTGGGCTTTGCAGGTCCTCCTAAAATGCAATTGGGGATTTCATTCTGAGTGGAATAGGAAGCTTACTGGAAGATTCTTAGAGCGGACAGGCATGATCTCATATATTTATAGAACTCAATGAACTGGTAGAAATTCCTTTCTTAGCAAAGGGTTTAGGAGCATATTGAACTGCTTCCCAGGCTCTTTGGTGAGTCACTCAGTGAAGAGGGCGATGTGTCCTAAACCAGAAAGGAAGAGTGAGATGTCATGAGAGTCCTCTGCCCTCCCTCCTCTCCCTCCTCTGAGGGGCTGAAATCCTGTGTTGACGGGTCTGGCTGGGTGTTAAGAATGTCAGGTGGGAAGTAGAGTGGAAAGTGATAACTTCTTAATACATACTTTAGTAGAGGAGCTGAGATGATCTTGGCTCTTTTTCTTTATTTTTATTTTTTCCAACATCAGCAAAGAACAAAAAGATATCTAAATGTTGGGAATATAAGCTTTCTGGCACAGACCTGAGGAAGCATGTAGTCTATAAAATAGCTTCTTATATATAATTAATCTAATTAAAAATTACTGTCATCCCTTTCTATCCCCCAAGATATTAAGATAAGTTAGCTATCCAGAAATATCTTTATAATATTTTTGTAATGGCATACTTGGTAATGTAATTTTACCTGCAAATTAAATTGGTCTGGCATGATTTTCCAGTCATACAACCATACTGGTTGTTATTTTATCATCACTACTTACATTCTTCAAGGATTTTTGTATTAAGTATTTCCATGATCTTGGCTGGCACTAAAATTAAACTGATGAATTTAATGTTATAAGCATAACTTTTTTCTCTTTAATTATAAAGGATTTTAGGAAAATGGTGTGTTTGTAGTGATCTTTAACTAAATGGGAAACTAAATGTTTGTATGAACATAACATAGCTCCCTACCTCTGGAGATCATACAATAATTGTTTTAAAATCAAGATACTTTCTATTTTCTTTTTGAAGCTCTTTTTTTTTTTAAGCATGAAGTCAGCAGCTTAGGACCAAAGACAATAAAATTCACAGTTTTGCAGCTGCTATTCTTGTTTATAGGATCTGGGGCTATAGCTAAACCTACAGTTTTGTTTGGAGAAGAAAGAGCCCTCCCTGGGAATGTGCAAAAGACAACCTGACAAGAGCATCACAGATTAAATGCTGTGTTCACAGCAAGACTTCATAAAGGCAGAGCATCCATCAAGAATTTAGGGGAGCAAGGAGAGATGATTGCATTTATCTTGGCAAGGTCCATGTTATTACAGCACAAGACTGTAGCCCAGTGTGGACCATAACCATGCCTCCTGAAATAGCCCAAGTCAAGGAAAAGCATAACTGCCATAACTGTAAATAAGTGGTCCAGAGAAGTCTGCATTATATCACAGGGTTTTTACATACAATTGTAACATCAAACAGATTGTTAAAAATCAATTGAAATTAATAAAAAAATGACTAGATAAATAAAGCTGTCTCTCTGTGACCTTTCCCTTGAATTCTGCCATGGACGTGGTGTGGTAAATTGTACACAAAGCAGGCTCCCAGCAATTAAGAAGCCATTTATGCCTTATAAAGCCTTGAACATTGGGTTTTAATTAAGAATTTCAATTATTGTAAAGCAAATCATTTTTCTTCCTTGGATAAAAGGGATTGAAAAGAAGACACTCTTAAGAAGTTTTGACAGTTAAGATTGTGCTAGAGGAACTAGAGAAAGTTAAGAAGAAAAACATAGGAAAGAAAAGAGGTGAGAAATAGAGGATAAAATAGAAGAAAACCGTCAATGTACTGAATAGGAAGAAACAGAAGCAGCAAGTTTATCTTAGAAAGGTGAAAGGGAGAGTGTTTTCTCACATGTTAATATTTAGAACATGGCTAATGTTTGCCTGTTCTTATTAGCTGAAATAAGCTGAATGCCAAATCTAGATGAAAAGTGAAAAATGTAATCCGTTATCCAGATGTTTCCAAATATCTGGATTTTTGGCATCAAATAGTTAAAACATCTCAATGATCAACTGAACTTGTTGTTTTGTGTTTATACATGTTGACATTATTAGAAAGCCAAACTTTGCCTGGTGGCTGTCCACACAAAATAGGAGTCCAACTCTGAACCTGTTTAACGTATAGTTACACTTTACGGCAGATTCTTCAAGCATGCTTTTGCTTGGGCTCTGGTGCAGTGCTATGCCACCACTATCTCTGTATATTAGAAGGAGACTTAATGTTAGGCACATTGTCATCACCCTGAAAAGAGGTGACAGTGTTTTGAAAGATATTGCAAAATACTTGGAAAGGATAAGAATGCTTGTCTTTCAACAGCTTGATCTTCACTAGTGTTCAAGTATTTTAAAAATCATTTTAATTTGGAAAAGATTGAAGAACATACTCTGAAACTAGTGAGAAAACAAAACAAAAAAACACACTAAAACAGGGGTCTTCAAGTGCTTTCCATAAAAAGCCAAATAGAAAATGTTTTGGGCTTTATGGGCCATCTCATCTCTGACACTACCTCTCAACTCTGCCACTATCCCATGAAAGCAGCCCCAGACAATACATACATGAATGAGCATAGCTGTGTGCCAATAAAACTTTACTTATGGACAATAACATTTGCATTTCATAGAACTTTCATGCATCACAAGATAGCCTTCTTTAGATTTTTGTCCAACCATTTAAAATATAAAAATGACTCTTAGCTCTTGCACTATGCAAAAACAGGCAGTAGGCAGCATTTGGCATGTGAGTCACACTTTGCCAACCTCTACCCTAAAACATGAGAGATTTAGATAAATAATAATAATGCAATAATAATAGTAAACATTTGTAACATGTTTAAAATGTGCCAGGACTATACTAAACACTCTACATGTTCTATAGCAATTATGTCCTCAAAATAGCCCCGTCAGACAGATACTGTTATTTTCTTCAATATACAAAGAAGAAATGAAAATGCAGATTTCAAGTAACAGAGCCACTGTATCCAGTTATGTGGATTGCATACTGTGCATGGGTGCCCATTCAAGGGATTGAGTCAAAAATGATCCCTCCAGTCTCCTTGGACTTCATCTGCACAAAGGGGTACCTGTCTCTAATTTGCACCAAGGTCCTAGGGCTAGTCTTTTAAGTAACTTGTCCAAGGCCACATTTATCAAGTGTCAGGGTTGGGATTTGAAGCGAGGACTTTCAATCCAAAGACTCTGCTAAGCTGCTGAGGCAATTTCCTGCCTACGTTTTGAATGTATTTTATGTTCTAGAGGTAGTTTTTGCACAAATCTTGTTTGTTTCTTCATAAGTTCTCTCTTAGTTACCTAGGGCTAATAGATTCAGTCACTCTAAGGTGACTTTGTTCCTGAAATTAGACATGTTTGTCCTCATAGTTGCTTCATGCAACAATGTGTCAAAGTATCAGAAGACATAAACAGCACTAGCACCAAACATTATAAAAATGAAAATATTGTGACATTGCAAACACTTGTTTCCTCTTTACTTCTGTAATTCTTTCTCAACCTAGTCAAGACAACGTATTTTCAAAGGGGCTAAGGTGAACAGCAGCTTAAAATAGCAAACTGAAATATATTGTACATTTTTGCCTGTAATATTACTTAAATAAACTGTCATCCCCAGTGTGATCAGCTGATTGTGAGCTCAGCTAAACAGCATGCTAAAGTCATAATTCCAACTTGCCAAAGTGAATTCCATTCTTCAAAACATTTTCTTCCACTATTTCCTGTACACATTTCCTTCTCCATCTATCCCTAATGCAGGCCTTCACCTCCCTTTTTTCCTAGATACTAAAATGGCCTCCCCTATACTAAGCTTAGTTCGAATTTCACAAGCTATCAATAATCTATCATAGTGACTTTATGTTAACCTTAGAATGCTGTTTTAAAAATCATTTCACAGTCCAGTTTGAGGCTCTCCACTGGGGTCCTGTTTATGGTGTCCATATAAATGTCTGAGCCAGGCACTCAAGACCCTCTAAGGGTGGTCCAGCTTTATTTATCTAGTTGTTTACTATTCCCTCAGTTCAGTCCATCGAATGCATTTCCTTCTTATCCTCACTCTTGAATACATATGCACACGCCCATCTCTGAGTCCTTGCTCACGCTGTCCATGTTTGGAGAGCCCTGCTTCTTCCCCTGTGCATCTGTACTTTCACACCCTCTGCCGAGGTGCCATGCCACATTCTACCTTCTCCAGAGAGTTTCACTGGGTTCCCAGCTCAGGATCTTATCTCTTTCTACCACAGGTTCTATTATTCAGCTACTTTCTGTTTGGGATGTTCTCAGATTTGCTTTCCCTCTGTATTCTGTAGGCCAGAAGATTCTAAACTCTTACGGCAGGATTGCTGCATTCTCCTGCAGCAGCCATGAGATCCACATGCCAAACTCTGATCTGCAAACAATGCTTCATCTTTTGCTTTTTGTATCTCAACCTAAGATCTGATTATGATTTTCCCATTCTGTGGGGCCTGTGAAAAAACAAGCCAACAAGCAAAACACCACTAAATTTTAGCTTGTCTTGGGATAATCTAACCTCTCCCCTGGGGCTGTTCTGGCATCTTCCACAGAGCCAAGTGGTGAGGAGGTTGGAGACACTGGGTCCTCTGTTACGGCACACAGGGTAGGCCTGAGAGCTTGTCATCTCTGTCCTCAGTTTTAATGATCTTCTGCTGTTCCCATGTCATGCTGTGAGCCCAGGAATCTTTGTGAAGGCTGCTTATATTTCTGTCAATGTGCACAATGTAGCCATCCCTCTCCAGGCTGGCAGGCTTCCTAGTGGGCTGCTTAATGCGGGACACAATTCCTCTCTGCTCTTGAAACTGGTCCCAGACCTCCGCCTCTTCCACCCTTCCCCAAGCCCAGGGAACTGGAGTTTGGAGGAACTTCTCCATTCCTGTTTCTTTAGAATGTGAATAGAGAATCTCTTTCCCCAAGGGTTTAGGCTTTTATAAAACAAAGACACAAAAGCTTGTGGTTTGCCCTGTTTCCCACTCTTTCCTGTGTCTCTTCCAATTGAGTAGGGATCTGATCTTGTGCTAGAATGGGGGTGAGGTGGGAGAGATTTACTGGAAAGGGAAGAAAAGATGAGATACAGAGAAGAAGTAAAATAAATGAGTATTTAAAAATAGTAACCATCTGTATGCGTTTTTTTTATTTCCTACTTTATCTTATACACAACATTGTTGGCAATGCAGAAGGAGCTTAATAAAGACTTTCTCCATTAACTCGTAGAGCTCAGTCTTTGCATTTTCAATGAAAATGATGAGAACTTCCATTTCTGCCACCAGAATTTTTAAGGCATTCTTTTATGTTTTGTTTTCTTTAATTTTACAGCTGCATTAGGTTTAACCAACATTGTTACAATTTTAGCAAAAAGGCATCCTTTTTTTTAAATAGATGCTTTTTTCATCCTAATATAACATCCTTTTCTGTAGAAAGGCATGAGGAAGAAATGTAGAATCTGTTTACAAAAGGGAACTTTGGCTCTCAATGAAATCACCAGGTAAGTAGGTGGAGGTGAAGTCTGAGCAAGCAACTGGCAGAAGAACCCCCTCTGCTTACCTAATTCCTTGGCATAATTAATTCATTCACAAACAATGCCTATGTGGGTTCTGTCAGGTACATCCCTGTCTGAACACCTTGTTTCATCCAGATGAATCCTGGGTATTTCTGGTGGATTTTAAAGGATGCTACAAACAAAGCATACTCAGGGAACATTCAGTATCAGTAGATGGATACTTCTACATCAGCCTTAAAGGACCCAAATGGCAAAAGCAGCAGAGGGTAGTGGTGCCAGCACTGTAGCCAGACCTTGTGGCTTGAATTGCAGGTCTTATTAGCTGTGGGTCCTATGGCATGGGCACCTCTGGTCCCTCTGTTTTCTTCTTTGTAAACAAGTGGGGATAAATATACTCGTATTGCAAGACTATTAGGAAGAGCAAATGAGAAAATACGTCCTCTGCCTTGAACACTGCTGGACACATGGCAAATGTAATGTAGCATTAGCTATTATTATCATCAAATCTTTGTTCTCTCCTTTTTGTCTGCCATTCCCTTCCTGATTACACCTCTTTACCCAACAAAACCTCTGAAAAAAACACATCTAAAATTTTACCATTTACCATTCTGTTCAACATAATTGGAACTGCAAATGACTTCATATAACCTGTCATTTTAGGACACTTGGAATCATGTCCTGCTTAAAGCCATTGCTTTGAAATGGACAACTGCATTCTGATTTTTGCATTCCATCCAGGTCTTTATGCAACTGTATTTCCAGTCAGTCTTTAGTTATGTTAGTTTAAGCATGTTAGATATAAGGAATCAGAAGCCCAACAAAAAGTAGCTTCAATATAAAATAAAAGCACATATAGTGGTCTATATATCTAGAAGTCTACAAGTAAGAAAAAACTCTGGATTGTAAAATTCAGTGACTCAACAATGTCATTGAGGTTTCTTTCCATTTTTCCTCTGCCTACCACAATGGCAGATTGCCTCTGAGGCTAGCCTTACCTAGGTGGTAATATGACTTAGCCTTACCTCACAGTGGTAATTTGACTGCTGACATTTTCTCAAGATACTTGCTCTTACATATGTCCTTGGAGAGAACCAGAGAGATGCCCATTTCCAGAAGCTTTCAGAAAAGAGAAAGGATACTTCTCAGAGGTTACAGAAAATTTCTTCTCCAGTCTTATTGGCCCACATATTGTGTCATCCACGCTTGAAGCAATCACTGTAGCCAGGGGAGGGGAGCACACTGAGTAGGTTATGCCTGAACTACATACCCCACCCTCAGTGGGAACAGGGGACAATCAGTCTCCTTCAATGGGCAAGGACTCATGGGAGGTGTGGCTACCCAAAAAAAAAACCAGGACAAGTATCCAAAGAAGGGGGAGTGGACCCTATGGTGGTGTATTAGTTCATTCTTGCATTACTATAAAAAAAAAACTTGAAACTGGGTAATTTATACAGAAAAGAGGTTTAACTGGCTCATGGTTCTACAGGCTGTACAAGAAGCATGATGCTGGCATCTGCTCAGCTTCTGGGGAAGCCTCAGGAAGCTTACAATCATGGGGAAAGCAAAGCGGGAGCATGCACATCACATGACCAGAGTAGGAGCAAGAGAGCAAGGAGGAAAGTGCTACACGCTAAATAGCCAGATCTCATGAGAACTCATTCACTATGATGAGAACAGCACCAAGAGGATGGTGCTAAACCATTCATAAGAAAACCATCCCTTGGCTGGGTGCAGTGGCTCATGCCTGTAATTCCAGCACTTTGGCTGAGGTAGACGGATCACTTGAGGTCAGGAGGTTGAGACCAACCAGGCCAACATGATGAAACCCTGTCTCTACTTAAAAAATACAGAAATTACCTGGGCATGGTGGAAGGCACCTGTAATCCCAGCTACTTGGGAGGATGAGGCAGGAGAATTGTTTGAACCCAGGAGGTGGAGGTTGCTGTGAGCCAAGATCGCGCCACTGCACTCCAGTCTGGGTGACAGAGTGAGACTCCATTTCAAAAAAAGAAAGAAAGAAAGAAAGAAAATCACCCCCATGATACAATCACTTCCAACCAGGCCCCACTTCCAACACTAGAGACTACAATTCCACATGAGATTTGGGTGGGGACACAGATCCAAACCATATCAGGAGGCCATTTCAATATCAATTCTAATAACCATGCCACCTGACTAAAATCATTCTTCTGCTCTCTGCTAAAAATCTGATTTCACCTCTGCTAAAAATCTGATTTCACCTCATCATACTCAACACAGGACTGTTTCTATTTTTGTTTGCTTATTTGTTTTGTTTTGTATTAACAGCAAATATCATGACCCATACATGTCTTGAACACACGGAATTGTAACTGGCCACAGCATTGAGTCAAAAGACTCACTTGGCAAATTCATAGTGGAAATGACTATAAAGAGTAAAGTGCACACAAAGGCCTATTCATATATTTTAAAAGTAATTCTATATGGTGCCCTGCTTTTAAAAGTGGATTTTAGTGGAATTAGATTTGAACAGCTTGAACATATGTTTAGATACATTCAATTTTAGTTTCTAGCTAATTTGATGAACTAGCAGTGAATAGTATATGTCAAGGTGAACAGGTGCTTCGGCCTCTGGCCTACCAGCCCCAGTATGATAATCTGCTGTTCTGCTGTTGTCGATCTGTTCCCACCAGGTCTCACATGAAGGAAGATGTTCACCCTGAGGACAAGGCCCCTGCATGCATTCTCAGGACGTTCATGTTTTCTTTACCCATTCCCTTCCATTCAAATGTAAGTAAATAAGAGACAAATTTTTTTATAGGTATGAATTTGAATCAGCTCTAATTTATAAAAAGAGAAAGGTTGTTTTCAAACTTTAGTTTTTGCATTAGATAGGTTTGGCTAGTTATGCTGCAACAAGAAACAACTCTTCGGGGCTTGCCACAGCAACATTTTGTTTTTCACTCAATGTGAACTTATAGCGGAGGGGATGCTCTGCTAATCAAGACCACCCAGGCACCCAGCTGGCGGAAACACCATCTCAAAGCAGCTCACAGGGTCACAGAGCTGAGCGAAGGTGACATCACCAATCACAAACTCATTCTTTATGTTTTTGCCCTGGAATGACATATCATTTTTGTTCTCATTTCATGACCAAGATAAGTCACATAGGCCATGCCATGTGGGGACAAGGAAAAGCAATCTTAACATATGCTTTGAGAAGGAAAAATGGAGTATTTGTGAGTGTTCTAATTACCACTACAGATTTAAAAAGAGAAAAATCATTAGTAACAATGAGTTAGGATATACATCACTGTTCTACTTGTTAATTGCACCTCCTGCTAGCCAATAAAAGCTTAGTTGTGCCATCTCTTAAGCTGAGGAGGTTCTTCCTGGACCATATATTCTCCATGTTTACTACACGGAAAGGGGGCTTTTTGGATATTTTGCTGATGTTTACATATTGTTAAATTCTAGTTTAGCAAAATTTAACATTGTACATATATACCTATATATTGTAGCATATTGTATAGATAAGCACAGGGCCACTCTATAATAGGTTCAAAACCAAAAGATAAAAATAGTTCTCCCATAACACAATGAATAACCAGACTGAAAATTCCACTTAAATGGTTACCTAATATTAGTCTGTATAGCATCGTCTTCTTTCTAGAAATACCTACATATGTATATTTATAATGCTTAGGAAAAACCTGGAAGTAAATTCATTAAAATGCTAATTATATCTGGTTATAATAGTAAATAGTATATTAATTTTTATTTTACTTTTCTTTTATCCGCATTTTCTAAATTTTCAATGATGAATGTCCTAAATAATAAAATTATTATCTCATTGCATTTGTGGTCAGGTGAAATAACTGAAAGCAACTGTGATAGGCAGGATTCTGAGATAGCCCCAAGATCCCAAGATTCCTCCCCACAGTGTACCTTGTATATAAGGAACACACCTTGTATAATCCTCTCCTATTGAGTGTGGGCGGCACTGTGAATACCGTGGGATATTGCTCCTGTCACTATGTTATGTTATATGACAAAAGGGATTTTGTGGATGTAATTCAGGTCCAAAATAAGTTGAGTTTGAGTTAATCAAAAGAGATATTGCCTTGGGTGGGCCTGAGCTAATACAGAGACAAGCAGCAGCAGAGGCCATCCTCTACTGACCGTGAGGAAGTAAGCTGCCCAGTTGGTAGAGGAGGGGACCATGGTTCAGCATGAGAAGGTGGCATCTGGGAGGCCTGACTGACAGCCAGCAAGAAAACTGGAACCTCAGGAATATAGCTGCAAGGAAATGAATTCTACCAACAACTGGCGAGCTTGGAAGAGGGCTCTTCCTCTCAGGTGAGCTAGCAGCCCTAACCTGCTACTTGATTTTAGCCTGGCAAAGTCTTGAGCAGAGACCCCAGCTAACCCATGCCTGGACTGCTAACCCGACAGGATCAATAGATAATGAATTTGTGTTGTGTTAAGTCACTAAGTTTGTGGCCAGTTTGTTACACAGTAAAAACAAAACAAAACAAAACAAAATACACAGCAATGTCAACAACTGTCAGAAGATTGTTCTGCATAAAGTCAAGAAAAAGTGAGGATAAACACATATTTAAAAAAAATTTTTTTTCAAATGGAAATCAAAATTGCAGTTACCTTTGTGGGAAGTTTGTTATTGGGAAGGGGCAGGCGGGAGCCTGCTGGAAATGTTCTACATCTTGATCCAGGTAGTGATTGGTGCAGATATTAAAATTCATCGAGATGTATACTTAATGACCTGTGTGCCTGTACTTACATCCCAATAAAAAATAACGAACTAAAGCCAGTGAGCTTGACATCAATCATTACGAACATTCTCTTAGGTAAGTCTATGTGTCTTGAGCATGATAGGCACTCAAGAAATACTTTTCTTTATTATAGTAAAATACACATAACATACACTTTGCTATTTTAATCATTTTAAGTGTACAATTCAGTGACATTAAGTACACTGGCATTGTTGTGCAACCAGCACCACTATTTATCTCCAGAGCTTTTTCGCCATTCCAAACTGAAAGAAATATACTTTATTGTTGAGACACCTGGCTCTGTTATTTTTTTTTTTCTATGCAAACAAGTCAAGGAACAATACCAGATGATTATCCAGGCACTTCTCATATTATGCTTGTTTTTGTGTGAAGTTAACATGAGCACTGCTATGCTTCTAGGTTTTTGTTAAGTAAAAATTCTTGGAAGATGGCCATTTATTTTACCCAATTTTATCAGCTTAGTTTTTTATAATCCCTTGCCAGCCCCCTCATCCATCACTTCCTCGCTCAAACCATATTCTCCATTATAACAAATTACTTGTGATTCTCAGAACACACTAAGACCATTTGGCCCTTGCCCGTGTACTGCACCCACCCCACCCCCCGAAATGCTGTCACACCCTTCCATGCTTGGCAAACTCAATTCAGGAAATTGCATTGAGCACTTGCTCTGCGCTGGGTGCTGGGTACCCACTGATGAACCTGCCTCAGTCTTGTAGGGAGGTGGGCACTTGTCCTTTAAGTCGTTGTGCAGATACCAGCTCCCTGTGACACCTTCTCTGACTGCCTTCCTTCTATGCCCCACTCTCCCATTGCCATCTCTTGAGGCTGTCTTAGAAATGTGCGCATACAGCCCCCTACTTCAGAAATCTCCCTATTTCTTGACTTTTTAAAATATCCTGTCTCCTCTACTTAACTGAAATTTACTTGAAAATCAGGTTGTACCTAGTTCACTTTTGTGTCCTCTGCATCTACCATACTGCCGGGCCAATGGTTGACCCTCTTTTGATATTCATTGAATGACCGACTTGAGTGTTGGGTAAGAACATTAAGGTCATAATTACATTGGAGGTGCTAGCTAAAGATCAGGGCACCTTAACATCTGAAGGTCACTGAAAGGTTTAGTTAATAGTTGTGACAGGTAGAGAAAATGAGGAGGGCACTGTTAAAGTCTTTTCTGTATGACGGGCTTGTTAATTAAACAGCAGAATGTAGGAACCTGTGAACATTGACTCCCTCCCCTAGAAATGGGCTCCCTTTCTTATTAATTAAGTTGAATGCAGTACACTGTAAATCTCCCAATGCTTATTCCACTCAGTTCATACATACTAATGAGGACACACGTATGAGTGTGGTGGTGGAGGAGGAAATCATTTATTCAGCAGTAGGAAAAAACATAACATCAGGACGTGGACCCCCTGCTGACTTTACACACAGTTTTCTTAAAGATTTATATTGGCAGACTAGTTAAGTAACTGAGTGCATTAGATAAAGAGCATGTCATTGCAAAGGTTACAAGAGACTCTTCGTGTTTCTCCACTTAACATCCTATAGATGAGGGTGGAAAGTGTGGACACAATCTCTCCGGCTCTTTCCTCCACACGTAGCTACCATGTTTAAGTTTTCTACTTCTATCAAAAATTTACAACAGAATGTTCAGAGAACTTTCACCATTCCCTGTAACTATAGAAGACAAATTTTGGTACGAGATGACACAATTACGTTTGTCTCCTTTACACTGAGTGTATTTAACATTTTAAAATGTAGGCGATAGTCTCATTAGCTAAGAGAGAAAGTATTCTGAAAACATAATCTCAGATTTTATGACTGGGCTTATGTTATTTACTAACTTCCAGAAAGAGGAAAAAGGGTAAGAAAAGTCCTCAAGTTATTGTTTCATCTGCAGGAAACGACTTGAGCTCCTCCTGGAAGTGAAATATGCATTATTTTCTACAAGCCCACATGCTTGGTCAGCTCTGTTTGTATCCTGCCTGATGACAGTTTAATGATGGCAAAACTGAAACAGTGCATGTGAATTTCATAGTATATCCACCTACTCTATTGTGTTTTGAACATCAGTCCAAACAAAATTTTTAAAAACCTACAGAGAAAGCATTTGTATGTGTATATGTGTGTGTATGTATGTGTGTGTGAATATATAAATATGGCTTTTAAAGTATTTCATAAAGATATTGAAATGAAACAATCTTCTCATAAGAAATCGGGTGAGTTGGTATTACAGTTTTCTTCCTACCCTTTTTCTTTTGTGTATATTATGGGCATAAAGGTGTAGGAACAATTTACAATAGGCGAGTGCCACTGGGTTGATTAATTGGTTGAATGGGTTTCTTTTGATTGTGGCCAGAACAAAACCTGGAACTGAGGGCCAGAAATGGGCAGTGTCTTGGCCAGTGTCACATAGCCTGTTAGAAGCACAGCAGAGGCCAGCCCCTCAGCTCTCCTGATACCCAGTGGGTTGTCATTTCACTAGAGAAAGAGATGTAGTTGCTAAAATTTTCCCTCTTTCTTTGCTTTTCTTATTTATTTTTTTCCCATATGGTGTCTTCCATCTGTATCTTGATACTGTTTCTATTAGCAACAACAAAAGAACTCACTTTTGTTTTGATTTTTAATTTCTCTTGATGCATCCAAATCTTTTTCCCACTGGGTTCCCAGCTAACTCTGTCCACTCTTCTCGTCAATACTCTGTTCCTGGGAGGTCTGGGTCTGTTTACTATGCTTTCCTGGCTGAATCAAGATAGCAGGAAGAGTTGGAGTGCTGACTTTGTTCCGTTCTCTATTTTACCACAAAAGTAGAGGGAGGTGGGGTGGTGGGAAGAGAAATTTTAACTACGGGTGAGAAATTCTTTGCTTCCTTTTATAAGAGAGGGGGTTTTCCCATCACACCAGCTGCTGTGTAGTACTAACTCATGAATCAGATCACATTCTTTCACCACCTCGCCCAGTGACACCTTCCTCAAGGCTGGACCTCTGCTGAAGAGAAGCAGGAGGAAGCTCTGCAAGGTGTGCAGAAAATACTCAGCAAGTCTTGGAAGAAATACAATATACGGCCAGGCGCGGTGGCTCACCCCTGTAATCCCAGCACTTTGGGAGGCCGAGGCAGGCAGATCACCTGAGGTCAGGAGTTCAAGATCAGCCTGGCAACATGGCGCAACCCTGTCTCTACTAAAAATAGAAAAATTAGCCGGGCGTGGTGGAGCATGCCTGTAATCCCAGCTACTTGGGAGGCTGAGGCAGGAGAATTGCTTGAACCTGGGAGGCAGAGGTTGCAGTGAGCCTAGGTTTGTGCCATTGCACTCCAGCCTGGGCAACAGAGGGAGACTCAGTCTCAAAAAAAGAAAAAAGAAAAAGAAATACAATATACAACATGCGAGCAAACTGTCAAGCTTTGATTGTTGGCTCTTCCCCTCTTCCCATTGTAGGCCCTTGGGTAAGTCGTGACTACTTTGGACCTCATTTCCTCGTCTACAAAAATTACCTCCCTCACAGGCAGGATGTGAGGATTAGCTAAAGCATTTGGCATAAAGCCTGGTCTGGAGTTAATTATTCATTTTATCAGTAGCACCAACAGGTGGGACATAATTTCTTGGGAACATTCGCAGATTTTCTCTGAATCAAGAAGTCAAGAAACAGAGCTCTGGCACCCAACATCCTTCCCTCTCTATCCCCGCCACCATATACAAGTTTTCTTTCTTGGGAATAATGGTAGGAGAAAGAGTTTAGGCTCCTGGGAGGATGTCCAGATAAGACATCAGGGCCTCAGCCAAGAGGTCTGAGTCCTAGGTGTATTCAGGTCCTCAAAGAGAGCTTCAGTGCCAGGCTGGGCACTGAGGCAAAGCCCAGAGAGCCACCGCAGCACGGGTCCTTCCACCAACTCCATGGTTTACTGGCAAAGGACTCCTGCTGAGTTGAGGAGAGCAGAGCTAAGCCTGTGGAGCAATGGCATCACCTAATCCTTCCTGGTTGGCTGTGGCTCCCAGGTTCCCTCACCACCTGCTTGGGGGTAGGTTGTGCCTTCCTGCCATCTCCATGTACCTTGTGATATAGGCCCACTCCCTTCACACGCGAATATTGCCCTCTTGGGTGCTTCATGCTGCTGGTGCTCTGCTCCATCACCTGTATCCCCATATGCCCCAGGCTCCTGCCTCCAAGCACGCAGATGGCTTCCCTGCGGCATGAAACAGTGTCTTCCTTCATCCTTAGACTGAAACACTGGCATTTCTAAAGTCACTTCCGTATGTGCAATTTGAAAGTGTCAACGCTGGCTTTGTAGACAAAAACCCCACGTGGAGGTGGAGATGGACAACTCAGACAGCAAAAAGTAGCTGCAGGCTTTCACGTGCGTCTGTGTGAAGAGACCACCAAACAAGCTTTGTGTGAACAACAAGGCTGTTTATTTCACCTGGGTGCAGGCGGGCTGAGTCCGAAAAGAGAGTCAGCGAAGGGAGATAGAGGTGAGGCTGTTTTATAAGATTTGAGTAGGTAAAGGAAAATTACAGTCAAACGGGGGTGTTCTCTGGCGGGCAGCAGTGGGGTGGCGGGGGGGCGGTCACAAGGTGCTCAGTGGGGGAGCTTTTTGAGCCAGGATGAGCCAGGAGAAGGAATTTCACAAGGTAATGTCATCAGTTAAGGCAAGGACCGGCCATTTTCACTTCTTCTGTGGCGGCATGTCATCAGTTAAGGCAGGAACAGGCCACTTAAATATCACTTCTTTCGTGATTCTTCAGTTATGTCAGGCCATCCGGAGGTCACAGGGGATATGATGGCTTAGCTTGGGCTCAGAGGCCTGACACAGGCCTCCATGGATTCCCAGCTGCCCTGGAATCTCCTGTTTCAGGGGGAGTTCACAGGAAGCCATGTTAGGGCATTTCCATGTCGTCCTGGGCCCAGACTTCCAGCCCCGAGCAAGGACTTCAAGTCTTGGTCAACTGCCATGACAGGGCCTCAGCATGGCAGCTCTCACTGCAAAAGCTGGCAGGCCTTCAGAAGAAGCTGAAGGTTCCTCTGCCATTTCCAGTGTAATTCTCTGAAGCCCGGGCCCATCCAGTTTAACTGAGTAGCTCCCCTTCTCATACTCCTCCCACTGTGATGAGAGGCAGAATGAGGCTCGCTATAACACATTGTGAAACAGGTAAGAGGAGGCAGAACCGAGGGTACAAATTCATTTTTCTTGTTGCCATATTTCCTTGCTCGTTATAGTTTCTTTGCACCCTAGAGCTCTTGTCAGCGACCCATTTTGTGAATGGAGACATTTCTGCTTTGAAGTCATAATTTATCCTGCAAGAGCTGCTAAAAGAAGCACTTTTAAACTCAGATCTGAGCGAAGGCTGGGAATTGTAAGTCACCTACAAGCACTTGGGTAAATTGCAAAGAGTAGAGTCTTTACCTCAGGGAGTTAATTTTAACTTATTGCTTTTTCGTCTGAAGATGGTTTTCTCAAACATTTTCTCCCTCTTGCTTTCATTGCAAATTCTGGCTTAGGTTGTACAAATTAGTGGTCTGTGATTTATTTATGACATTTAGTTTGCTGTAAGTTAACTTGGACTATTGCATCATTAACTATCTAGCTAAACAACAGTTTTAAAAATTAGCCCATGGAAAGCCTAGGGAAACATTATGTATTTTTTGACCTACTCAAAGTCAATTACAATTACTACCAGCCATCCCTCTTCATAAGTCTTAGAGAGGGAATATGGAAGAGAAGTCAAGAGGCTTCACGCACTTGCATAAGCCTGGATTCAAATCATGTCTTTCCCTGTGATCATTTCTGTGACCTTGGGCAAGTTACTTAACCTCTCTGGGCTTCAGTTTCCTCAACTGTGAATGGAAGTAAAGCTTCTGCCTTCCTCCTAGGGTTGTTGCAAGTAGAAAATGAGTCACAGATGTACAAAGACATTAGAAGGCTGCCTGCAACATAGAAGCAAAATGTAAGTACATTTTATTATCAAACTGTCTTCTAAATGTGTTCAGAATATGTAAATACATGGAGATGAGAGACATACAGAAAGTATTTATTTGTAAAAACAGGTATCTTTTGCTTTTATGGTTTGATTAATAATTAAATGGCTATTCAAAGCAGATCAGATTTAATGCAAAGGCATTCATAGTTTTACCCACTGAAGGTGTTTTGTTTTTTGTTAAATACAATCAGGTGCATTATCTATTTAAATCTTCTGGGTCTTGTGACAATGCTGTTTTGAATCCCATGTTTTAAAGGTTGACAGAAAATGTCTTCAATGTGTGAGTTTGCATAATAGAAGCTATCTGACTGAATAGGGCTATATTAAGTGGCCAGCGTCTCTGGAATCTCCTCACCACTCTTCCATACCTTCCCACACACTCTCAACAGACACATGTGGCACACTTACTGTAAGCGACAGAAAAGAAAAGTAATAAAAACACATCTCTGTCTCCATATGTTATTGCATTTTCTACACACTGCGTTTTCAGAGTAACTATCTTGTTGTTAAATTTGCTTGTAGCTGACAAAGCTATTCAGGAATAAACAATACCCTCTGTCAGTTGATAGGTGGCCAATTTTCCAAAGAGGATTCTTTTGGAACCCCTTAAAGTATTCCTTTGTTGCCCGGGCGCGGTGGCTCACGCCTGTAATCCCAGTACTTTGGGAGGCCGAGGTGGACGGATCACGAGATCAGGAGATCGAGACCATCCTGGCTAACACGGTGAAACCTCGTCTCTACTAAAAATACAAAAAAAAAAAAATTAGCCGGGCGTGGTGGCGGGCGCCTGTAGTCCCAGCTACTGGGGTGGCTGAGGCAGGAGAATGGCGTGAACCCAGGAGGCGGAGCTTGCAGAGAGCCGAGATCGCGCCACTGCACTCCAGCCTGGGCCACAGAGCGAGACTCCATCTCAATATATATATATATATATTCTTTTCTTGTAACCCACAGAAAGTCACAAGAGAGCAATTGAAATGTGTAATTGAGTTTTATTAAGAACCCACTGGAACAGGGATAACTGCTTTCTTGCTTACACACACACACTCCTTTCCCTTCATTCCTTTATTTTTTTGGGGGGTGGCGGGGCTTTCTTAACAAAGAAATAATTTGGGCCGGGCGCGGTGGCTCACGCCTGTAATCCCAGCACTTTGGGAGGCCGAGGCGGGTGGATCGTGAGGTCAGGAGATCGAGACCATCCTGGCTAACAAGGTGAAACCCCGTCTCTACTAAAAATACAAAAAATTAGCCGGGCGCGGTGGCGGGCGCCTGTAGTCTCAGCTACTCGGGAGGCTGAGGCAGGAGAATGGCGTGAACCCGGGAAGCGGAGCTTGCAGTGAGCCGAGATTGCGCCACTGCAGTCCGCAGTCCGGCCTGGGCGACAGAGCGAGACTCCTTCTCAAAAAAAAAAAAAAAAAAAAAAAAAAGAAATAATTTGGAGCTAAATCTCTACTGATTGGGGGCCACTTCGTCTTCACAGTGTGGATTTAGCAAGGCTCTATTATCATATCCATTTTATTGCCAGAAAGTCCAAGGGATTTGGCCAATTTTGGTATAAATTAGATTGATCACCTGGCAGTCACAATTCAGCCACATGGATTTAAGCAGCTCTTTAATAGTTTGGGGACCCCTAAAGGAAAGGTCATGCAACTCTAATTTTAGAGAATGGGAGATGGGAGTAGCCAGAGGGAAGGAGGTTTGCAGTCTTAACCTGGAGGCTCCAAGTTCTGTTTCCAGCGCAATTCTCTTCCTTCAAACCCCAGGGAAACAGGTCCTCCTGTTTCTTGCTTTCAGAGCCCACATGATATCTTTCACGCACATCCGTGTGAAGAGACCACCAAACAGGCTTTGTGTGAGCAACAAGGCTGTTTATTTCACCTGGGTGCAGGCTGGCTGAGTCTGAAAAGGGAGATAGGGGTGGGACCGTTTTATAAGATTTGGGTAGGTAAAGGAAAATTACAGTCAAAGGGGGGTTGTTCTCTGGCGGGCAGGTGTGGGGGTCACAAGGTGCTCAGTAGGGGAGCTTTTGAGCCAGGATGAGCCAGGAGAAGGAATTAGACAAGATAATGTCATCAGTTAAGGCAGGAACAGGCTATTTTCATGTCTTTTGTGGTGCAATGTCATCAGTTAAGGTGGGAACCGGCCATCTGGATGTGTACGTACAGGTCACAGGGGATATGATGGCTTAGCTTGGGCTCAGAGGCCTGACAATATCCTTTTTTTCTTTTTCTTTTTTTTTTTTGAAATGGAGTCTCATTGCACTATTACTCAGGCTGGAGTGCAGTGGCGCGATCTCGTCTCACTGCAACCTCTGCCTCCCATGTTCAAGCGATTCTCCTGCCTCAGCCTCCCGAGTAGCTGGGATTACAGGCGCCCACCACCATGCCCAGCTAATTTTTTGTATTTTAAGTAGAGATGGCATTTCACCATGTTGGCCAGGCTGGTCTCGAACTCCTGACCTTATGATTTGCCCACCTCAGCCTCCCAAAGTGCTGGGATTACAGGTGTGAGCCACCACGCCTGGCCTGATATCCTTTTTTTCTAATGTGTATCATGTTGCAAACTTATATTAACTTTTATGATCACCTGAATACGCTCTATCTCTACCAGGAGGGCAGGAATCCCATGAGAGCTGCGAGGGTGTTTTACTTACCACTCTATTCTCGACATCTAACCAAGTGCCTGGCATACAGTTGAAGCTTAATAAATAATGACCAGTGGAGTGCTGTCCTCTGTGCACATTTTTTGTGCCAATTTTCAGTGTCTTCTGAAAGACACTGACTTTCAACTGTTGCCATTGACTGAGGTCATACATGATAGAGGTGGCTGAAATTACCACATAATCTTCTGGTCAGGCAGGGAGGCATTCCATCGATCAATAATTTTAAAAGGAAGTATTAGATTCACACCATTTACTTACTTTGTGCTCAGTGCTAGAAACTGAGGGAAATATTAAAAAGTCTGTCTCTTTGGCCAGAGAACTTCAAAATCTAGCTGGCAAAATGAAACTTACACAAATGTCATAATTAAATGCTAATTTTTTTTTTTTAAATTAAGACTTACTCTAGGGGAAGTAAAGTTTCAGAGAATGGAGTGATGAAGGTGTTCTGAAATGAATGGAAAAGGTTTACACGGGATTAAGATTTAAACAGGAAAGACGGTAGGCTTAGAATATGTCAGGGTCAGAGGCAAGACTTTCTATGTGGAAGGGAGGGGATAGGGTGAGCAAAGACACAAAGCCTGGCATGAGCATGGCTTAAGTGAGCAGAACAGAGCCACTGACCAGACTGGAGTGCATGAGAGAGAAAAGGAGGAGACCAAAGTCAAATTATGGAGTACCCCAAAATGTGCTGTGTGATCTTGATAGCAGCCCTGAATCCAACCTGGTCAGTCTGAGATTGTGATACCCAGCGTGGGAGGGATGGTAGTATGGGCAGTGGTAGAGCTTGGAGAACAACGAAGGAGTTTATCCTAGCTCTCCAATCCACATTCTCCTCTTGGTTTCCATTTCACTGCAATTAATTTTTTTACTTTAAAGTGCTCAATTTTTTTACTTAAAAATAACGCAAGGATGAATCATTCTAATCTCCCTATGAGGCAGTGGTTCTCAAAGGTGGATGTACATCAGAATCCTCGGGGATCTCATTTTACATGGTGATTCCTGGAACTGCCTCCTACCCCACAGCCAAGTTATGATTTACTAGAGTAAGATTAGGGTCTAGGGGTCTGCATTTTTGCAAAGGCCTAAAGTGGTCTATGGACAACATTTTGTGGATATGGCCCTAAGGGGTAAATGACCTAAGGAAAGAGCAGGAAAAATCTCAGAAGTTGGGTAGCCAGAGAAAGGCATAATAGAAGCAAACTGCACAGTGACCTGGATGAGATTGGAGACTATTATTCTAAATGACATAACTCAGGAATGGAAAACCAAACTTCGTGTGTTCTCACTGGTATGTGGGAGCTAAGCTATGAGGACGCAAAGGCATAAGAATGATACAGTGGACTTTGGGGACTTTGGGGGAAGAGTAGGAGGGGGACAAGGGATGAAAGACTACAAATATGGTGCAGTGTATACATGGATGAAGGGTGCACCAAAATCTCAGAAATCACCACTAAAGAACACACTCATGTAACCAAAAAAAAAAAAAAAAAAAAAAAGCATGCACAGTTAGTCACAATGACACTGATTTTTGCTAAAATTTAAATGCCACCCAGAGCAATTCTTCTCTTTTCCATCATCTAGGGGCTTAACTTAATCTGATGAGTAGGGGTGATACGTATGATAGGTATAGAAATTATCCAATTTCCAGAAGCCCAGGTAGTGAGCATACTAAAGCTCACCTTAATCCAAGGACGTCCTGAGAGCAGCCACTTGAATTTATGCTTTGCTATCAGCTGGGCCCAGGGTAGCTCATTTTAAACTACAATTAGTAGCAAATTACAGTCAGACTGACTTTCAAAAGTGCTGGTTACATTGTGCTAGGAAACAATTTAAAGGATCAGATTGGTGCTGCCACTAAATCAAACAAGCTCATCTAGCTCCAGAGACTTGGGCCTCTCAATCCTGCGAAGTCTACAAGTCAGCATCTCTTTTAGCAAAAAGCTTAGCTCTAGGCTTTGGTATTCTAATCAGTGCTCACTCCAACAATGGCCTGATCTGCTTGAGGAGGGTGCAGTAAACTGATGGGCAAAAATGCAGAAATGGTGAAAACATGTATTTGTTCTCCACCTCCGGATGGTAAACCTTTGCAGGACTTTTGTAGTACCTGACCCAGTTTCTCTGTAGGTTCTCTTCAAACTCACTGGGGAGTGAAGAGACCTCAGAGGAGACACAAACTGTCTTCTGTCAGCTGTTCTTTCATTCAATACATAGCGAAGAAAGCCGGACAGTGCAGAGCGAATTTGTGCCACTGAGCCCTCCACAAAGTCAGACGGTTTGACTGTGGGAACTGGAACACCTACAGCTGATACGGTCTGGGACCAAGCTGGAATGTGGGGTCACAGTGAGGGGTGCAGTTTTGAATGGGTTGAATGGGTTGAGTGAACTTACTCAGAGTTATAATTCGAGAAAATTGTAAAAAGTTTTCCAGTTTTTACCACACAGCTACAGGGGGAAAAAGCCTCTGTAATACGTATTTCACTAGAAATCTTTATTTTCTTTGTGTTTCTCACTCTCTCACAGTTTTATAATGACAGCATGGCCATTTCACCTGAGTTAAAAGCAAAGAAAAGAACCCTACTAGTGAAGGAAACACATTTGAGGCCTAATCCCGCTCCTTTTATTTTTATTTTTAATCTGCAAGCAAATAATGTTTGGTTTTATTTTCTGTGATCCTGGCCGGATAGAGAGCCCAGTGTCCATGAGGGGATGTGCAGAGCCATCTGTCTGCAGCAGAAATGAGCACAGTCCGGCTGCATTGGCTCTTCCATGCGCAGGCACAGACACCTCTCATGCCTGGAGCTGAGGAAATGAAATCCCCCATGTCTTTGATTTACCAACTAAAGGCACCAAAGGCAACCCTCATTTTCCTCAAGGACAGGCAACCCTCAACACGAGATGGGGGAAAGAATGCTGTTGAACTAAACTGAATTTAAATAAAAGCCAACACCCTTTCCAGAAATGCAAGAAATTTTGCTTGTTTAGAATATCTACTGGGCATTGAATGGGCAGGTCTCTAGCAGTTGTCCGGGACCACCTAGTTTCTGACTACCACCCAGGCATCTCCCAGTCTCCAGTTCAAGATAACGCCTATCCTGCAAGACATCTTGCCCATTCTGGCCAGTGTCTGGTATTTTCTTCACTCCCTCATATGCCTCATAATAAAATATCCTGCCCAGCTCTTTCCTCATTTCACCAGTGTCAGCTAGAAAAGAAGGGTAAATTCAGAATGACTGATTCAAGGAGTCTGGGCTCTGGAGCAGCCTGGAGGAAAGCATCTATATGATGGGGATCTGCTTGAACCTCTGCTCCATGCCCCTCTCCTGCCTGCCCCCTCCCCTGTAGTTTGGCTGAACAGCCATTGTGACAGAAACTAAAGAGGAAGAAGCATTTCCAGCCTTGATGAAATTTTGTTTGTGTGTACATTGCTGAACTTGTTACCTATCTGTTATGGGAAACGGTCTCGATCCAGACCCCAAGAGAGGGTTTTTGGATCTAGCACAAGAAAGAACTCAAGGCAAATTCATACAGTAAAGTGAAAGCAAGTTTATTAAGAAAGTAAAGGAATAAAGAATGGCTACTCCATAGACAGAGCAGCCCTGAGGGCTGCTGGTTGCCCAATTTTATGGTTATTTCTTGATCATATGCTAAGCATGGGGAGGATTATTTATGCCTCCTCTTTTTAGATCATATAGGGTAACTTCCTGACATTGCCATGACATTTGTAAACTGTCATGGCGCTGGTGGGAAGGTAGCAGTGAGGATGACCAGAGGTCACTCTCATCGCCACCTTGGTTTTGGTGGGATTTAGCCAGCTTCTTTATTGCAAACTGTTTTATCAGCAGAATCTTTATGACCTGTATCTTGTGCCAACCTTCTATCTCATCCTGTGACTTAGAACGCCTAACCATCTCAGAATGTAGCCCAGTAGGTCCCAGCCTCATTTTTTCCAGCCGCTACTCAAGATGGAGTTGCTCTGGTTCAAACGCCTCTGGCATATCTACCATTTGTCGAGTGGCATTTATGCTGGCTAGATCCTATGTCTTCCTGCATCCTCTGGGATTGGGGCCTCTGAGGAAGTTGGAAGGAATCCCTGTCAACCTCTCCAGGAAAACCTTCTTATTCTTGTAGGTGTTCTGGAGACTGTGATCCCACCTCCCACAGTCATTCCTGTGTCCGTTTACTTCTTTTCTCTTTCTCACAGATCAATTCAGTTTTTCATCAAATCTCAAAATCATGCAACCCAACCTCCTTATTTTATAGATGAGGTCACTATAGTCTAGGAAGCTTGAATGACTTTATGTACCACTAGATGTGTTCCTCTTATTTACTCCTCTGTCCCTTTTTTCTTGTCTTGCCTTAAGTGTGTGTGTGTGTAAGACAGAGAGAAAAAGGGACAGAAAGAAAGGCTGATTTATTCATTCAGATTCATTGACTATTTTATGCAAGACAGAAAGCACTGGTATTTTTTGAGCTCTTACTGTGTGCCAAACTAGAAGCTTTTTGTATGTTATCTTTTCTGAGCCTCATACCAGCTCCGTGAATTAGGTGTTATTATCCACACTTACCACATGAGGAAATGAAGGCTCCCAGAGGTTAAGTAATTTGCAGAAGATTGTACTTCTGGGGAGATCTGGGCTTGGGCTCCACGTCTGACTTAGCCTAGGACTGTTCCATAATACCACATCTCTAGATCTCTGTGTAGAACACTACCTTGGACTCTAGAGATAAGAGGCTGCACGGTGGGGGATGAGGGGCAGACTGAGGCTTGATCAAGGGGAGAGGACATAGGCAGAGCGGTCCCTGAAGGATCCCGACACATATGAGAGGGGATATTCTGCTGTTCAGTAGGGCACTGCGCCTAAGCCATCTACCCTACTTCTCTCTTTTGAGGCTATATATATACATATTTTTTTTTTGTAAGAAGTGACAATGGGAGGAAAAAAGGGATCTTGCAGAGGTGTTCAGAATGACAGTACTAGGTGTGATGGTGCTGCCTATGTTATCTGATTGCATAGATGCTACCAGGAATATGGGTGGGGATGTGGGGCTGGAAACGAACTGTGCAAACATCTTCACTCTGTAGTGGGATGAAACTCTCAGATCACCCTGCTGGATGGGCAAATAAGAAACCAGAGGACATCATTTTCTTGTGCCCTTGGTGGGGAGGGTGTTCATGGAGCAGCCCTTTCACTCACATTTTTCTGGGCATCTTTTTAGGAACTGGTTTTCTCTCCAAGTGGCCCTCTGAATGGAGGTGGGGAAAGAGATGTTGAGAAGGAAATCTACAATTATTGACAAGGACAGCAGGTCAGGCACAAGGCCCACTGGTTTACCGGCATTTTTCAGAACAAGGAATGAAGTACGTGCTTCCTCTCTGCCCAGATAAGCAGATTTGGAGCCTCTACACTGGGCTGCTAAGACTGGAGTTCCATGAGCTAAATGTTTTCTAATGTGGACTTCTCTCGGAGAAAGACCTCTGGAGAGAAAAACACCCTGCTGAAGTTAGAACATGACTTTTTCTTTTCTTTTTGCTTGCTCTGTGCCCTAATTAATTCCATTTGTCTTTGAAGGCATTGGGACTACAACTCTTCCCACTTTCTCTTTTTCTCTAGGGATTTAACTTTAGCTCATTTTAAGATGGCAAGTTGCCTAAAAACTTTTTCCCCATCTTTCCAGAAAGGTTTGCAAACTGGTAGAGCTATTTAAATGCAGGTAATCTGAAGATATGCTCATGTGTTCTGTTCATACACACTTTTATTTTTTTAAGAATAGTACAAAGTGATTTTTAGGAGTTGAGAGGGAACTAATGAAAGTTATTTTATTATTTTTCATGAAAAACAAAGACCTGGAAAGGGCAGAAAGTCTCATAAGAGTACATCAGACTGGGATAGAAGTTTCTCTAGGTTCTCAGTGCTTTTGATTACCATAAATACACACTACCCTTTTCCACAAAACATTGTTAGAAACACTGGCTTACTCCTGCTGTCTTGACAAAGGTGGAAGAGTTAGTTCACTGACATGAGGTTGACTTGCAGGATTACCACCAAAAGAAAATCTGTGAAAGTGTGTCTTATCATGGACGGGACAGGCTTTTACGGATATCTTTATAATTCCTTCACTATGTTCTGTTTTGGTACAGCTGGGCCTGACCTACTTTGTGCCTTCATAACAGGATTTTGCATAGGTAATAACAAGTAAACAGATGAGGAGGCTCTGATGTTAAAACTCATCCCTGAAACTCAGCAAGGCTTCTCAGCTCCCAGTCCCCAGGCCAGGTTCATACATTTTATTTGTGTATATGATGTCTGGTGCTGAGACAAGGAAAAAAAATTAAAACACAAATTCATCAGAGGGACCCTTAGTGGAGCTTGGTTAAAATTGGAACCTCTGAACTTCCCGACACCTCCTGCCGCAGAAATAACCAGATCATCACTGAGCTGCGAAAACAAAGGAAGAGCTCTCCTCCCCGCATCAACAGGCCAAAAGGCAGACTTGAGAATACTCGCACAGCTCACAACATCACTTATGACGTCCCAAACCAAAACAAAAGCAACTCGCCAAGCAGCCAACAAACGGAGGAGAAGTCGGCCTCCAGCGAGCCTTGGTGAATTGCCAAATTTGGCTCTGGCTGTTTGCCCATGAGGAATTACGTAATTCTAAAATGAGGGCTCTCAACTGAGAGTTTCAGCCTCTCATCTTTTACTCCCAGGATCTGGCAGCAAAAATAGGCGAGAATCTCACTTCCACTGATGCAACGAGCCTGCTGATTTTGATTAAGTAATTCTGTTGTTAGGGTAAACTGCGGATGACGTAGAAGGTAATGCTGTGTTTATGAGATTATAGAATGAACTTCACTCCTCCCTCTCCAAAAAGTAAAGTACCAACCCTCTATTTCATATTCTAAGTGATCCATGTCTCCAATTCTCTGAGGTCAATAAATATGAATATCCAAAGCAGGAAGCCCTGTTGACTTTCTTCTTCTACAGTGGGATAGCAAGCTCAGACTAAAGAACTGGCTGATATTTTACGGATTCACTAAGGAAAAGCAGAAGTAGAAGAACATAGAGGTTAGAAAGTTGAGGCTGGGGTCTGGTATGAGGGGGTGTTAATAAAATGACCCCTATAGACCAGACATCTTACAGGTGTTCTCTCATTAATATCCACAACTGCCCTGTAAAGTATTATTCTCATTTCACAGATAAGAAAACTGAATCTCAGAGAGTAAAGTGCTTGCTTGAAATCACACAGCTGGTGAGCAGTGATGTGGGGCCTGAATGACTCAAAAGCCTGTTTCAGTGGATTTAGGTGAAAGTGCCTGTGCTCTCATTAGCTCCATGGGAAGGTGTGATTGGGGTCTAAGGGTGTTTACCTGTAAAGTCAGTGCCTACACATTCCCTAGTCTCTGTGCTGTCCCGTACAGTAGCTATTAGCCACATATGGCTGTTTAAGTTTAAATAAATCAAAATTAAATCTAAAACAACTAATTTCCTCTGTCGCAGTAGCCACATATAGAGTGCTCAGTAACCACATGTGGCCAGTGACTCTCCTGGACAGCACAGACTTTTAGATCATTTTCATCTCCACAGAAAGTTTTGTTGGACAGCACTGGAGCTGGACAGCACTAGAACATTCTAGCTGTTAATGGGACCTCCCCTATGAGGCTGCATTTAGTTCTTCTGGGCCTGGAGAACCGGATCCATTGTGCTTACTGGAGCAGGAATGCTTCTTTCCTACTGGGTTTCCATTAAGAGGAATTTTCCCTAAGCATACTTCTGACCTCTCTCTGCCCCTTTACTCATTCTATTCCTGGGAAGTGGACGTCATTTAATGATTGATTAATCTGGGAAGAATTATTGGGAATGAGCTACCCACCGGAAACACAAGTTCTACTCTTCCTCCAGGGCTCTGCCCTGTAGTGGGCAGGATTTAGGGGTGACCTGAGTATCTTCTGTCTGCCTTTAATCCACTGTCTACTCTTCTCCACCCGTCTCCAGGCTCCAGGAGGCTGACCTGAATGACATACATCAGTGAACTCCTTTGGCCTCTGTCAGACCCACCAAATCAGAAAATCTTACACTCCTACAAGAAATTCATGGTAAGATGAAAGAGCCACATCTGGGGCTGGGCACCTGCAGGCACAGACCCATTCACCTGCCACTTTTGCAGTAGTGTCTTTCCCTCAGCTCACACCCACATCTCCGTGGGGGCAGGAGCCCCTAGGATCGGCTGATGAAGGAGGTAAAAGGCCAAACTTGGTTTACAGAGGGGTTGGCTCTTTATATGGGTATAAGCAGTATAGGGCCTGCTTACTACAGCTCTGTTCAGGGGTGGTCTGAAAGAAAGACTGAAGAGAAATTCTTCTAACAAGCAGAGATCTGGGAAGTGTACATGTTTATCCACTTCGTGTGCAAAGAGAAGTGGTGTACAGTAAGAACACATGTGGGCTCATTGTCAGTAAAAAAAAAATGGCTTGTCCAGTTAACCAGAGCCAGGAAGGAGAAAGTTTGGAGGATTAGGGTTGAAGAGACCTAGGGAAGAAGTGCGTGAAAGCCTCTTTGAGAGAGATAATGTGTGACAAGGTTTGTATCAAATATTAATGCTCAACAGAGAGTATCTTCCAGGGAAAAGGCACTACAACCCAGTAGGCAAAAGGACCCAGCCAGTTGACATCAGTCATTGGTCACTCTGATGCTAACAAATGGACCTCACACCATGGCAGCAGAGATGGAAGCTATGCATAGATCCAACAGCATGGGCGCCCTCTTACTAAGACTGATCTGCCACCCTGTATGTCCAGCCTTGTAGGAACATAGACCAATACTGAGCCACTGATTCAGCACATCCTCTGTGGAGACCAACCAGCCACTTGGTGGCAAGAGATTACATTGGAACCCTCTCATCTCAGAAGGAGCAGTGCTTCGTGTTGACTGAATCAACATGTGCACCAGATACAAGACTCCCTTTTCTGCCTGGAATAATCTGCCAGTATGACTCTCAAAAGGCTTAACTCACGGACATAGGATCCCATGTAGCACTGCATTGGATTGAGAGATAGAGAACTCAGTTAAAAACAAGGAGGTGTGGCAGTGGGCCCTTGACTATGGTATCCCCTGGCCTTATCACATCCTATGTCACTCAGAAGTTGAGATCTGAAAGAGTGAAAAAAAAGCTGCTTACTAGCCACTGAGGACCCAGCTTGGAGATGATAAGCTGTGAAGATGGGCGCTGTTCTCCAGACATAATATATATGTCCTAAATCAACAACCTTTCCCTAGAGCTGTGTCCCCAGTAGATAGCAAGTGCGAGTCTGGAAATCAAAGAGTAGAAATAGGCATAGCTCGGCTTATATCACTTCAAGTGACCAATGTAGGGAATTTATGCTTCTTACTACACTCCCAGGCTTTTGTGGTTTAGAAGTCCTAGTTTCTAAAGGGAGAACATTTCCACCAGGAAACTCAGCAGGAGACCCATTAAGCTTTAAGCTATGCTTACTGAATGTCGCTCATGCCAAAGCCTATCAGAAAAGGGAAATAGCCTTCATCCCAGCAGGAGTAATGGGCCCTGATGATCAGGAGGAGGTGGGGCTGCTGTTACTCCCTGGGATTCTCTTGGAACCCTCTTGCCTAATTTCAACAAAAAATGGACAAATGCAGTGGTCATGGCCTGAGAAAGGCTCAGATCTTACTGTTGAAGGTGGAGGTGTCCCCAACAGGTAAGCCTCTTAGACCATCAGAGGTGTTAGCCAAGGGTGAGGAGAATCTAGAATGAGTAGGGGAGGAGAGAAATGATGTGTGTAGTTACCTTGAAACTGCAGCATGGGAGTTGGGGGGGTTCTGGGGCTATAATTCCTGTCACTGGCCTTCCTCTTGTTAAGTTTACCTAGGAAAACAGGCCAGCGAGAATCTTGGAGGGGCTGTTCCCAAGTTTTGCTATAAAATGAAAGTGAATCCAAGTGGCCTGGGGCTGAATCTGAGTTCATGCTGTGGGCACTGCCCAGATGCCTTGTCAGAGCTAAGATCATTCTCCCAGCTACTGAGAGTGTGGGTAACCTGTGATGCTTAGCTGAGTCCCTCTCCAGGAATTGCCTTTAGCAAAAAATGAGCCACCTCTCTTCACCCAGACCACACTCCCCTCCCCAGGGAATGTACAGCCCAATTCAGTGTGTGGTCAGTGCAGAAGCAGAAAGGCTCAATTTGCCTGCATCTAGTGAGACATCTAGGAGGGTTCATCCTACTCCCTGAACTCCCCATGGGGTTGACTGAGGCCTTCGTCACAACTTCATTGCAGTTCATACCTCCCTTTGCCCCATCCCACTTCTTTCATTCTGCATGGGCATCGATCTTGATCGAGGCCACTCCCCAGAACACTCCCTGCCTGCATGTCTCTCTCAGGAGTCTGCTGCCTGGGGGTTGGATTTAAGACACATGCTGGTCTTCCCCTAGGAGTAATTTCCCTGTCCACACTTTTGATCAAATTTCCTTGAATTATCTTAATTTGAGTGTGCCCTCTGAATTTTGATGGGATCTGGACTGACGGGGCAGGGTATTGGGCTAGGGACATGACTGGCAGGTAAGTCTGCCTAATTCTGAGGCTCAGTATTAGTAGGACTCTTTACTGACACATGGAATTTGTATTCTCAAACGTACCAAAATCAGCTTACTAAAGATATTTTGGTCTCCACCTTAATTCTTTGTTTGTTAAAAGTAATGGCAAAAACCACAATTCCTTTTGTACCGACCTAATCAACTATTCAGAACCTGAATGGAAGCCACTCCTTGGTGGTTCCCTTAGAAACCTCAGCCCCATCCAGAGCCCTTGTATCAGATTTGGATGGAAAGGGCATGTGTTTAGCCCGTTCAAGGGTGACTTTTAGACAGTCCTCTCTCTCTCTCTGTGTGTGTGTGTGTGTGTGTGTGTGTGTGTGTGTGTGTGTGTGTGTAGGTTCAGCCTTTTCTCACTAAGACAGTTATTTTCACCCATAGGCAGGCACCCTGATGGGAGAGGCAGGATGAATGGATCTCTTTGATACTCAAAGTTTTTTAAGCCATTGATGTGTTATGTGTCTAAAATAATATTCTTTTTTGAAAAATTATTGTTTCATGATATGATTAATAAATTATTTTCTTTGTTAAATATCGATTAAAAATTATATTAATAATTATGTTAATAATTAAGAATTATAGATAAGGATAAAATTCCTTTTGACTGTTACAGCAGTCCACTCCCAAGAGAATAAACTGTTACCTTCCAGACCTTTTCAAAATTGACAGGATCTATTTAAAGTCCTGTATTTTATTTGACCAGAAAATTCTATTTTTCAGATGTTACATTTAAGAAAACTTCTTGAATGTACATGACAAAGAATGAACAAGCATATTTATTGCAACATTGTTTATAATAGCAATAAAGGTAAGCAACTTAATAGGGGACTAAATAAATTGTGGTATATTTTTACAATGACAGAGTATACAGTAGTAAAAACAGTGAGGTGGAGCCCTAAGTGCTAACTTGGAAAAAGCTTCAGGAAATATCACTGAGTGAAAAAGGAGATTGCAGAATGATAAATGTAATGTGATGCATTTTATCAGGGCTATTTAGGAAAATTATGGCCTAATAGAAATGACCTGGGCTGAGTGAGAGGAGCAGAAATGGGGAGAGTGATTATTGCCCCTCGCTTGCTTTGCCTCCTTTAGCCATTTCTTCCTGTTCTCTCAATCATTCTTTCCCCTCTTTCACTCCACATTCTTTCCTTTCTTCATCACTTCTTTTCATAGTTAAAATTGAAGCCAAGTCTACCCTCTAGGAATTGTATGTGTTTGTGCTCATTAACAACCAGTTGAACTCTGTTGATTAGCAATATGGTCAATCCAAACTGGTTGTTAAAGTGTCAAAATAAATGGATCCAATACCTGCACCCGGGCTCACATGATCTCGTTGATGAATAATTAATATAGCCTCAATATGATGCATTATATGGAAACCTGCCTGCTTTGGCTACTGTGAAAGCTTAAAAATAAACCAACCACTTGACAAAGTTACAAAAAAATATATAAAAAAGAAATTTGCAGTATGGGTTGAATGAATAATAAATATATAGTGTTTGCATTAAAGAAAGTACCAGTGGCATTGTACTTTGTGTTATTATTAGAGTGTGTAGATTATTTGATTTGAAGAATTCTAGTTTAATGACTTCCTTTTGCACTGAAGGAAATAGTGGCCCAGGGAAGTAAGGTCGTAAAGCAGGCCTGTTCAGTGGTCTTCCGGTAACACACTTTGTAGGTAATAGAGATGGTCATTCTCCTTTCCTTTCGGAATAGTTCCATCTCTCTCTGCTATGGTAGGAACCAAATGTGTGGATCCTCTTTTACTCATAGGTCTGTATCTGGGGCACAAGCCTTATGGCGTGGATAGAAATGGCTGACACAGTGCTGAATTGGCTTAGGAAAAGGAAGACCGATGCTGGGTTTCTCTGGAGCTCTGTGTCATAGTTTGAAGATGACTCCAATGCCAGAGCCTCTGGGAACAAAATAATATGAGAAATGATCACAGAAGCGGTCATTTTAAGCTAGAAGAAACTCAGAAGAAGGGTTACCAGATTCTTACAAAGCATCTAATTAAACATGAATTTTAGATAAACAATGAATACTTTTAAAGTATAATTATACCCCAGATATTGCATGGAACAAACTTATACTAAAAATTATTCATTTCTTATCTAAATTCAAATTAATTGGGTCTCAAGTGTTTTTATTTGTTAAGTCTGTCTAGCCCAACAAGATCTATGTTGAAATATGTAACTCAAAATGTCTTATAACCTGAAGAACACACTATTCTCTATGTTTCTTTGTCTCTTTGACCCCAACGTTTTAAATTATGACCAATACTTTAAACTCCAAAGGTATTGGATATTAGATCAATTCAAGGACAAATTTTGTAAAAACTGGAGTGTTCTGCAGCAGAACAGATTGCCTCAAAAATAGTGAATTCCTCTGCCAAGGATACGCCTGTATCAACATTTGTAATGACAAAAAACTGGGAGAAACATAAAAGGTCATGAATAAGCGACTGTTTAAAAAAAATTAGGGACACGTCTACGCAATGGAATTCTCTACAGATTTTTTTTCTAGCCTCAGCTGCTGTTATAATAGGACTGTCACCACTGTCATAACCTGACCAATCAACTAGTTTCCCAACAGACAAGCTGGTCTTTCTGAAACCTTAGAAGCATTCATCATGCACTTCAGAATGGTTTTCTGTCTGTACATAATGGGGATTTCCAAGCAGATCTTTAAGTAAAAAAAGCATAACAAGCAGTATGCATGTTGACATAGTTTGGGTGTTTGTTGAAATGTGATCCTTAACATTGCAGGTGGGGCCTGGTGGAAGGTGATAGGGACATGCGGGTGAATCCTTCATGAATGGCTTGGTGCCATCCTTGTTCCCCTCTCTCTTGCTCCTGCTCTGGCCATGTGACGCATCTGTTCCCCCTTCTCTTCCGCTGTGACTAAAAGCTTCTTGAGGCTCTCACCAGAAGCAGACGCTGATGCCATGCTTCTTATACAGCCTGCAGAACCATCAGCCAAAGAAATCTTTTCTCTTTTTCTTTTTCTTTTTTCCTTTTTTTTTCTTTTTTTGAGACAGTCTCACTTTGCCACCCAGGCTGGAGTGCAGTGATGCAATCTCGGCTCACTGCAACCTCTGCCTCCCGGGTTCAAGTAATTGTCCTGCCTCAGCCTCCCGAGTAACTGAGACTACAGGCATGTGCCACCACACCTGGCTAATTTTTTTGTATTTGTAATAGTGATGGGGTTTCACCATGTTGGTCATGCTGGTCTCAAATTCCTGACCTCAAATGATCCACCCGTCTTGACCTTGCAAAGTGCTGGGATTATGGGTGTGAGCCACCACACCTGACCCCTTTTTTTCTTTATAAATAAACTAACTGTATGAACCTCTTTAATATATTTATCTCCTAATTCATGATCTCTCTTCTATAGTTTCATTCCCAGGCTTCTTATCTATCCCTTGTTCTTTTGAAATTTATTTTCCTCTTTCTTAGTCTCAGATATTTATAGCAACCCAAAATGGACGAACATATATGTTAAATTCCCATTTGTGTAAATTCTAAAAAGCATAAACATAAATACAAGTGAAAACATAATAATTTTTCTGGTTAACTACCTGGGAAACCCTTAAGCATGTTTATTTTAGGGAAGGAGATCAGTTATTGAGGATAGGTGAGGAAGACTTACTATTTATTTCATACCTTTATGGATGGATTTAAAAAAACTTATTTTGCACATTGAAAAAGGGCTAGGCTGGGTGCGGTGGCTCACGCCTGTAATCCCAGCACTTTGGGAGGCCGAGGCAGGTGGATCACGAGGTCAGGAGATCGAGACCATCCTGGCTAACACGGTGAAACCCCGTCTCTACTAAAAATACAAAAAATTAGCCAGGCGTGGTGGCGGGCGCCTGTAGTCCCAGCTATTCGAGAGGCTGAGGCAGGAGAATGGCTTGAACCCGGGAGGTGCAGCTTGCGGTGAACCGAGATCGCACCACTACACTCCAGACTGGGAGAGAGAGCGAGACTCAGTCTCAAAAAAAAAAAAAAAAAAAGAAAAAAGAAAAGGAAAAGGGCTGGATATTTCCTTTGGGAACACTGCAGAGGCACTCCCTGGGATAGGGGGCAGGAGGGAGAGAATGTGTGCTAGAGGAAGGTCACCTCATATTTCTTTCAGTTTAAAGATTATATAAATTTAAACTTTAAGACTTGAAGAGAAGGCCCCATTAGTTAGTTCGGATAACATCATTGATGCTTCAGGCCGTCCTCAGTCACCCTTGCCCACTTATACGTTCAGGCTAGAGGGAAATGTCTCCTAATACACTCATGGCTAATCATACATATGTTCACCAATGAGTGTCTGTGGACCATATGAGGGTTAAAAATTACTCGACAGATGAGCCCAGTGTCCACAAATCCACATGCAATTATTGGCCTTAGGTTCAAGGCAAGCCCTGGTAGTTCACAACCAGGAAAAGCAAACTTTTTGATGCCCCGCTTAATAACAGCTTGAAACACGTGAAATTGCTATAAAGAAAGGTTGAATAGCAATAATTTGATATGGTTCAACAATACTATTTCTGAGCATCCTTTTCTACTTTCTCCCTTGATCAATTAGAGAAACAAATCAAAGTAACTAAAGTATGTATTTGTCCAGGCTTCCAAAACTACCTTTCCTTTGATATTACATGATCTATTATCTTAGATAGGGCAGCTATAACAAATACCATAGACTGGGTGGATTACAAACAACAGAAATGTATTCCTCACAGTTTTGGAGGCTGGAAGTCTGGTATCAGGGTGCCAGCAGGTCCGGGTTTTGGTGAGGACCTCTTCTGGGTTGTGAACAGCTGATTTCTGGTTGTATCCTCACATGGTGAACAGCAGAGGGAGAGTGAACTAGTAGCTCTCTGGTCATTTTCTTTTTCTTTTCTTTTCTTTTTTTTTTTTTTCGAGACAGAGTTTTTGCTGTTGTTGCCCAGGCTGGAGTGCAATGGCATGATCTCGGCTCACCGCAACCTCCACCTCCCGGGTTCAAGCGATTCTCTTGCCTCAGCCTCCCGAGTAGCTAGGATTACAGGTATGCGTCACCACGCCCAGCTAATTTTGTATTTTTAGTAGAGATGGGGTTTCTCCATGTTGGTCAGGCTGGTCTTGAACTCCTGACCTCAGGTGATCCACCTGCCTTGGCCTCCCAAAGTGCTAGGATTACAGGTGTGAACCACCACACCCAGCTGGTCATTTTCTTATAAGGACACTAATTCTGTTCATGAGGGCTCTAACATGAGGACCTAATTACTTCCCAAAGTCCCCACTCCCTATACTGTCACCTAGGGTAGGGGTCCCCAGTCTGTAGCCTGTTAGGAATTGGGCTGCACAATAGGAGGTGAGTGGCAGGTGAGAGAGAAAAGCTTCATCTGTATTTACAGCCACTCTCTATTGCTCGAATTACTACCTGAGCTCCACCTTCTGTCAGATCAGCAGGGGCATTAGATTCTCGTAGGAGTGTGAACCCTATTGTGAACTGTGCATGTGAGGGATCTAGGTTGTGCAATCCTTATGAGAATCTAATGCCTGATGATCTGTCACTGTCTCCCATCAGCCCCAGATGGGACTAGTTGCAGGAAAATAAGCTCAGGGCTCCTACTGATTCTACATTATGGTGAGTTGTGTAATTATTTCATTATATAGAACAACGTAATTGTATTAGTTCATTTTCATGCTGCTGATAAAGACATACGCAAGACTGAGCAATTTACAAAAGGAAGAAGTTTAATTGGACTCACAGTTCCACGTGACTGGGGAGGGCTCACAATCATGGCAGAAGGCAAAGAGGAGCAAGTCACATCTTCTGTGGATGGCAGCTGGCAAAGAGAGAACTTGTGCAGGCAAACTCCTATTTTTTTTAAGCCATCAGATCTCATGAGACTTATTCACTATCACAAGAACAGCATGGGAAAGACCCGCCCCATAATTCAATCACCTCTCACAGGGTTCCTCCCATGACGTGGGAATTGTGGGAGTTACAATTCAAGATGAGATTTGGGTGGGGACACAGCCAAACCATATCATTTCACCTCTGGCCCCTCCCAAATCTCATGTCCTCACATTTCAAAACCAATCATGCCTTCTCAACAGTCCCCCAAAGTCTTAACTCGTTTCAGCATTAACTCAAATGTCCATAGTTCAATGTCTCATCTGAGACAAGGCAAGTCCCCTGTGCCTATGAGCCTGTAAAATCAAAAGCAAGTTAGTGACTTCCTAGATACAACAGGGGTACAGGCATTGGGTAAATACAGCCATTCCAAATGGGAGAAATTGGCCAAAACAAAGAGGCTACAGGCCCCACTCAAGTCCAAAATCCAACAAGGCAGTCAAAGCGTAAAGCTCCAAAATGATCTCCTTTGACTCCATGTCTCGCATCCAGATCATGCTGATGCAAGAGGTGGGTTCTCATGGTCTTGGGCAGCTCCATGCCCATTGATTTCATAACATCTATTATTTACAATATTTATGTTAACAGCTAAAACTTACATAACACTTGTATATGCCAGGTGTTTTAAATTCTTTAAATCAATGTACTCATTTAAATTTTACGGTAACCTTATACGATGGTTATTTTTATCCCATTTTGCAAATTAAGGAGGCTAAGACATGCAGAGTTTAAGCACTTTGCCTGGTTTGGTGCAGCAGTAGATTTTGGAGCTGGGATTTGAGCTCAGGTAACCTTCTGCTGGTAACCACTACGTTACACTGCCACTCACTCCCCTTTTATCACCTGACAAGCCAACTCTGCCCACAAGACAAGTTGGTCTTTCTGACTCCAAGAGGCATATCTAGTGTACTCAAGAATGGTCTCCTGAGGCAGTATAGAAGTTTCTCCAACTGCAGTCAGGCCAGTGTGGCCCCATATCCAACTTTTCGAAATGTAGGCCCTCAGGCAGACAGCATGATTTTCATTGGCTTCCTTGCCAATCTCATGACAAGGAAACCGTGCCTGATAAGAATCATCTGTTTTCTTGGTTGCTGGTGTTCTTCAGGGCTCATTGCCATGGACTTCAACTTTCCCCAGTCTCTCCGGAGACATCCTGATTTTACATCTCCAAGAACATGTTCTCTACCCCTGCCCAACAATGAACTCCCTTTGTGCCTCTGTTTATTTCCTCTTTCCTAAAACAGTAGGTAGTGCTGAGGCAGCAGCAAGGCAAAGTGGCTGGCAGCTGCTACATAGATAGGAGAGGATCCACCACTCAGAAACTGAATGTTAATTCATTTTTCTGCAATTCAGTTTTTCACTTGTAGAATGAAAATAATAATACTAATATTATGAAATGGTGGTGTGATTCCACTAGCTCTTGTGTTCAGAGCCCAGCATTAACTTGGGACATGTGGTCAAAGACATGAGAAAGCCCCATGAGTCTGGTGTCTTTGTGTGAGGCTGGGCCTGCCATGTGGACTAACAAACAGATTTCCCTGGCTTACAAAATGTCCTTTTATTTAGCAAAACCATCTCCTTAAAGGCACCTGTGAATTTATTGATTAAATCTTGGTATCTGTAAGTGGGGATAAAGAAGCTTAGATGCCACTCTTTAATATTTTCTGCAATGACGATTGAATTCCACTAGGTTTGACATCTTGCCGCTCACGGGAGGGTATGAAATTAGCTATTTGGTGAATTTCTCCTTCCTCTTGGGGTTTGTCACCTATGCTGGTCTCTTCTGCTCCACCAGAGGTAGTATTCCATAACTCACTGGTTCAGAATTTGGGCAGGGAAGACAGATTCTATATTACAAGTTATGTTGAAGTGTTATAGTATCGGCTTTTTCTGAGCAAGATCTATCAGAATTCAATTTTCCCTTTGCTCCCAGACCATGCTTTGGCATGGCCAAAATTTCAAATGCTAATTAAAGACATGAGTTGCGTATATTTAGTATTGTAGTAGGTAATAGCTACCAAATTAGTGTGAACATTAGAGATTTGATATTTAAGATGTTTGAATAATTTGACACTAGAATATTATAGGCATTTATGCTGATTTTAAAAAATGTGATGGTGTAATAGATTTTTCATTTATTGTTGTGACTATTTTTTTCTTTAGGCTACATACTCAATTTTGTAATGGAACTAGGACAATACTCATTTTAGTGTGATTAAACTTCTGGCTTACTGATGAAATGAAACAGTCCATTCCTGCAAAAGCATCTCACAGTTTGTTTTTAAATGAAGTAAGACAAACATACAGGAAAGGCATTATAAGTGTAACCAGCACCCAGATAAAGAGGTATAACATCACCAGCACCCTGCTTGCTCCCAATCACTGCCCCCCACCAAGTAAACTACTACCTTGACCTCTCACATCATACATTAGTTTTTGCCAGCTTTTGAACTTCATAAAAATGCAGTCGTACCATTTGCACTTTTTGGTGTCTGTCTTCCTTTAGTGAGCACAAATATTGTTTCTTGACTCTGCAAATAATGTGATGGTTTCTGAACCAATTCGTGAAAAGGAAAGGAGGGAAGCAGGAAAGGAAGAAGGAGGGTGAGTAAGAGAATGGGAGGGAGACTGTGTTTGTGGGTACTGGTTATCTGTAGCTACTCTGAAAGTGATGCAGCTCCTGAACAATTTTGGGAGAATATCAGTTAGTTGTATTAGCCAGTCAGTGACTACCTTAGTTCTTATTTACAAAGAAAGTAAATTAGATTTGAAGGAATATCTTGTTGAACTGACTTCCTTTGGCTATGCAGTGGGGGTGTGGACACATGGTTTCATTGCCTGTGAACCTTAAGAAGGCCCCAGGGGGATTAGCTTGTACAGATTTTACAGCCCTGCCCCCGGGTCTCCTTTGCCTCGAAGCTATGGTCTTGGACTGTAGTCATCTGCCCAGAGTCTAAAATCAATTTCTTTTGGGACATAGACTTTCCTACTGAGTTTTCATCATGGTCTCAGGGCAAACGAATGAGAAGATAACAGCATCTTCACTCCTTCATTACGCATCCTCTTTGGAACAGTAGGGCTTTTTCAAAATGAGAGAGTCTATGTTTGTCATAGCCATATTCACATCACAGAGACGGGGTTAATGATGGAGGTGGCATGTTTGTCTTTTAGTGCCTCCCCCAATTCTTCAACTTCTGTTTCCAAGGACACATCCTTAGCATTCTCTTTTGGGGCCTGCGGGCTTTTATCATGCCCTCCATTCACAGTGGAAGGAGAAGTCAGGCAATTGTCTCAAGCTACTAAATGAGAAAGAATTTGAATCTAGCTGTCTCATTTCCAGTCTGATGACTGGACACTGGAATTCACTACATGGATGAAGTGTAGTGCTCATCATACACCCCTTTACTTTTCGGATGAGAATGGGAAGATCGTGAAACTCTTCCAAGGCCCAGTGTCCTGTTTGCCTCATCACTCTGTCTCTTCCCTCCCTTACCTCTTTGCCAACCCCAAACCAACTCTTCTCTGAGCTCCTACCAACATCTCAGAGCAAGCATATGTTTTAACTATTTGACTCCACTTTCTGGACTAATCATTACTGATTCCAAAGGTGGGACTTTTAGGCCAGAGAAGAGGAGACAATGGTGGCATGGCATTGCAGTGGGACAAAAGAAGCCCAGTGATGTCCCTCAAATCATATGATGTAAGTTCACCTCTATTCCATTTCTGTATAGCTCTTGTCTTCATAATATTTATTAATTCAAAATTATTCATTCAATGCCTATTGTTTTTTCTTTTTCTGAAGATAAGCTTCAGACAAGACAGTACCTATTATGCATCAGGCAGTATTCTAGAGGCTTAGGACACATCCATGAATAAAATAGACAAAAAGTCTTGACCTTGTGAGGCTTACATTCTAGCAGGAGTGATAGAGGACTAAAAATGTAGATATTATAAATAATAAATGAGTATACTAGGGTTACTCAGGGAAACAGAACCAACAGGATATATGATACAGAGACAGAGCAAGGTAAGAGGGATTAGTAATGCTGGGGGTCAGAGGTCACTGCAGGTTTAACAGAGTGCTCAGGAGGGTAGCATCTGAATAAAGACTTGCAGATGACAAGCCATTCAGATATTTAAAGGAAGAGCTGTCCACAAAAGGGATGATTCAAGGCAAAGGCCTTAATGTAGAAGCATGCTTAGAATATTCAAAGTAAAGCATAAGGCCAGTGAAGGTGGTAGCCTTCAATCAAAGGTGAAGTCAGAGAAGTAACCAGGAGTCAAATCACGAAGTGACATGTGGCTCATTGTTAGGACTCTGGCCTTGCCTCTGATTGAGGTGGGGCAGGGGAAGGGTATCACAGAGCTTTAAGTGACAGAAGACATGAAATAACAGACATTCTAACTAATCATTTTGGTTGCATTGTTGAGAACAAGCAGTACGGGAGTAGGGAGAGAGAAAGAGAGGTCAGGTCAATTAGAAGGCAATTTCAATAACCAAGACAGAAGATGGTGGTGACTTGAAACAGTGAAGAGAAATGGTCATAGTCTGGATACAGGACTTCTGGATACAGGACTTCTTGATGTTTAGGCAAAAGAGAAGTCAAGCATGACTTTCAGGCTGTTGGTCTAAGCAACTTGAAGAATGGAGTTACCATCCACTGAGGTGGAAAAAACTGCAGGAGCAATAGAATGGGAGGTGGACTGAGAGTTCAGTGTTGGATATGTTAAGAATGAAGTCTCTACTAGACTTGTAAAGTGGATATATGGAGTCTGGAGTTTGGAAGACTATTCTAGTTGGAGATATAGTGTAGGAGTTGTCTGTACATAGATGGCATTTAAAACTAGGAGAATGGAAAACTACAAAAATAGTGGAGGTAGAGAGAGAAGAGGTTCAAGATGTGTGCATGGAGTTGTCTGCATATAGATCACATTTAAAACTAAAAGAATGGAAACTTGACAAAAATAGCAGGTGTAGATAGAGAATAGGTTCAAGAACTGTGCATGCATGGAGTACCCCAACATAAAGACACAAAAGAGAAGAGTAGGAGGAACCAGGAAAGGAGAGAGAAGGAGTGTCAGGGAGATAGTGGGAGGGGTGTGGAAATGCATGGTGTTTTGGGAATGAAATGAAGAAAGTGTATGAAGAAGAGAATACCAACTGCCTCAAATTCTGCTGATGGGTCGAGCAACATGAGGACGAAAATTAGAAACTGGATTTAATACTGAGATGTCCCAAGGTGACCTTGAGAAGAACAGTTTTGGTGGAGTGGTAAGGGCGAAAACCTTGTTGGGATGAATTTAAGAGAGAATATGAAGAGACATAGAGGAGACAGTACATGTAAACAACTCTTTCAAGTGATGTCTTTAATGAAGAAAAGAAAAATGGACTAATGGGAGATGTCAAGAGAAGCAGTTTTTAAGATGGGAGAAATAACAGCATATTACTATGCTGATGGACTTGTTGGTGTAGAGGACACAGGGGTGGACTGCTGGGGCACTGTGGGGAAAGGAGATGAGACTTGGTATCAGAGCATTGGGACTGGTGTTAGAATGGACAGGCTGGCCCAGTTCTGCCCCAGGTGGGAGGCAGAAAGCCTACGTGCAGAGAGGGTGGTAGATGAGAAGGCAGAGGGTGTTTGGGGACTCTCTTTCAACTGCTTTGTTCTGTCAGAGAATTAAGAAAGTCATCAACTGAAAATTAGGGTATAGGAGAAGATGTTGGAGGCTGAAATAGACATCTTGAAAGGGAGCATCGTGAATGGACTAGGGAAGTATAGCACAATTGTCCGGCAGCATTTAAGGCCTATTTGAGCTTCTTGGTCATGGAACTCTGTTAAAATGAAACCTGTCAGCATGATTATGTGTTCCAGGGATTTCCAGCTGCACAGCTGATGTACATAAAAGGTGGAAAATTGGATCTCTTCTCCACTGGAAATTTTTTAATGCAGCAATTTAAATGTTTTGAGAATCAAAGAGTCACTTCAAACAATTATGCCTACCTGTTGAGCTTCCATCTTTCCTTCCTTTCTTTCTTCCTTCCATTTTTTCCTTTCTTGCTTGCTTTTTCCCTTTTTTCTTTCTCTCTTCTTTCTTTTCCTCCAAAAGAACTTGTGAATGTCTCCTAGTTGTATAATAATTGCACCTGAAACTGGTCTAAAACAGTCCACATTTCTTCAATAAACTTTATTGTGTGTTTATTAAGTGCCAAGAGCTCTGTTAGGTACTGTGGAAGACACAAAAAACAAAAAACAAAAACTCAAGAAGTTCACAGCAGAGTGGCAAAGGTGAAATATGTCCATAATAACTGCATATAAGATAGAAATTGGTGAGCACCAATTTGAAAAGTGTGAGACTTTAGAGAAGAGAAAGATTTCTAGTTGGAGATGGGGAATCTGGGAAGATTTGAGATTGTAGTTTTCAAAGATGGAATATCTCCTATCCCACATACTTTTCTATGATGAGACATTGGTAGTCCTACCATTGAGAGTTGGAATTGATATCTTCCCTTGAACCTGGATGGGCTTGTGACTCATATGTAACCAATACAGTACACAGTAGAAATAACGCTTTTAACTTCTGGGGCTAAGTCAGAAAAAGAGGTTCAAGTCTCCCCCTGTTTACTGGGACATCAGGTAAAAAGTCCATCAAGTGAGAAATTCAATTCCTCTGGGGCCACCATGCTTTGAGGAAGCTCAGGCCACATAGGGAGGTGATCTGTGGGTGCTTTGGTTGACATTCCCAGCTGAGGTCCTAGCTGATGGCCAGCATTGACAGCAGACATGTGAAGAAGGCACCTGCACATGATTCTAGCCCCCAGCTCTTGAGTCACCCCAGCCATTAGGTATTCCCAGCTCAGTCCCCAGACATCATGGAAAAGACGCAAGCCATCTCTGCTACACACTCTGAATTCCTTACCCTCTGAATCCATGAGCATAATACAATGGTCGTTTTACACCATTGAGTTGTGAAGTGATTTGCCGTGTAACAATAGTAACCAGAACAGAAGATTTCTTGAAAGAGAGAACATTCAAGCCAAGTTAACTTCAGATGTAAAAAAAGTGTAATATTAAATGAGCCTGGGTAATTGTATTCTCAATTGCGTAGGAAACTTTTTGAATTTCCCTTTTGCATTTGATGTTCTGGCTATTGAACATTCTTTTGTAGAAATATCTCTAGATGTCTATCTGATTCCAGAGCATTTACAAAGATTTTGGAATGCAGCTCTTTCTTGTGATTTGATTCTGAGATGACACAGCACCATCAAATACAACTTAGCAGAACCTAGCTTTTGAAGAGAGTAACTAACTTTCATACAAAAAGTTGACAACTTCATTAGCAGAGTTACCAGTACACATTTTATATAAAACTAACAATACTATTTACATGGTCACATAAAAAGCTTTGTAGGATATCTATCTATATCTATCATCTATCTATCTATCTATCTATCTATCTATCTATCATCTGCCTATTATCTATCCATCTATCTAAACAACAGGAACATATTAATGCATTGTTAGGCAATTTCATCATTTTGAGCAGTGGTCCCCCACATTTTTGGCACCAGGCATTGGTTTTGTGGAAGGCAATTTTTCCATGGACTGGGGCAGGGGAGGGGGATGGTTTTGGGATGATTCAAGCACATTACATTTATTGTGCACTTTATTTATATTATTATTGTATTGTAATATAATGAAATAATTATACAACTCACCACAATGTAGAATCAGTGGAAGCCCTAAGCTTCTTTCCTTGCAACTAGACAGTTCCCATCTGGGGGTGATGGGAGACAGTGATACCTGAAGTGTGTTGCTTATGTCCAGTCTACTCCATAATCTCGTTTTGGTTGCTGTCACTGCAGAAAACCCTGCTTCACAAAGATAGGATGTTGGAAATGGAAGCAGACTTTTCAGTGCTTCTGTGGTAATCTCAGGATATTCCATCTCGACTTTAATTCAGAACGTATGAAGATTTGAAGTTGCGTCAAACATACTTTTAAGGGCACCGCCATTTGCAATCTCAAGCAGTTGTCCTCTTCTACAACGGACAAAGTCAATTCCCCTGGCTTATTCACAAATGGGTGATGGATCCATTCCTTCCCAGTTCAGGGTCTTTTATGGTTGGGAAGCGTATAATCAGGGTTCTCCAGGGGACAGAATTAATAGGATATATCTATATATGAAAGAGAGTTTATTAGGGAGAATTGGCTCACATAATTACAAGGTGAAGTCCCATGATAGGCCATCTGCAAGCTGGGGAAGAAAGAAGTGAGTAGTGGCTCAGTTCAAGTCTAAAAGCCTCCAAGCCAGGGAATCTGACAGTGTAGCCTTCAGTCTGTGGCTGAAGGCCCGAGAGCCTCCAGCACTCACTGGTGTGAGTCCCAAAGTCTAAAGGCTGAAGAATCTGGAGTCTGATGTCCAACCGCAGGAGGAGCAGGAGGAAGCATCCAGCACAGGAAAAAGAAGGCAACCAGGAGACTCAGCAAGCAAGGTGTTTCCACCTTCTTCCCCTGCTTTGTTCTAGTCACGCTGGCAGACAATTGGATGGTGCCCACCCACATTGAGGGTGAGTCTTCCTCTCCCCATACACTGACTCAAATGCCTATCTCCTCTGGCAATACCCTCACAGACACATCCAGAAACAATACCCATCATCCAGGCATCCTTCAATCCAATCAAGTTGACACCTAATATTAATCACCACAGAAAGTAACGTTCAAACTCTTGAAAGCTGAGATAGGTGATCACGCACCAGCTGGGAGAAAGAAGGCCTTGGCTCAGACTCTTTCTTTCAAAATTTCTGCTAATGTTTGAAACATGTTAGAAATCCCAAAGTTCACTCATCAACCCATTGTTCCAGTTTGGTTTTGAAAGCAGCCACTTTATCTGCTGACTTGAACACAGTTGTTGTTGTTATCCCCTGAAGTGACAGATTGAGTTCGTTGAGCAGGTTGAATGTGTCACACAAGTAAGCAAGTTTTGCAACCCATTCTGTGTCACTGAAATGTGCTGCCAGTGTTGCCTGTTTTTCTAAAAGAAATCTCTGGAGTGGCTCTCATAACTAAAAAACTCTGGCCAGTGATCTGCCTTGAGAAAGCCATCTCACTTCTGTGTATAAGAGAAGACATGTGTGCTCTGTATCCATCTCCTCTCAGAGCTGTGCAAACAGATGTGAGTTATGCGTATGCACTTTATTGTGGTTGATAATTTTAATCATATCCTACAAAATGTTGTTAAGTTCAGGTGACATTTTTTGGCTAGCCAGCATTTTTCTATGGATGACACAGTGCATAGACTAATATTCAGAGGCAACCTCTTTGAACCAAGCAGTGAAACCTGAAAGCTGTTTGGTCATGGCAGCTGCTCCATCCATGCATACAATGACACAGAATGACCAATTCCATTTTCCTAATGTGTAATCATTCAAAGACTTGAATAGTTCTGCAGCTGTGGTGTTAGTTGGCAACAAAAGCACACATAATATACCCCCATGCACATCCTCCTGAAAAATATATTGCACGAAAACAAGCATTGTTGCCTTGTTGTCAACATTGCTAGACTTGTCAACCTGGAATGTGTACCACAGTGACTCATTAATCCTCTCTAACAATTGTGCTTCAACATCCTCTGCTTTTTCATCAATTCATCCAGTTATGGTGCTAGCTGAATGAGGAACACAAGGCATATTTTGAACCGCAGCCTCTCCTAAAAGTTCACAACAAATGTCCTTAGCAGTGGGCAGGATCAACTCTTCACCAATAGTAAAGGGCTTCTTAGCTTTAGCAATGTGGTTAGCCACTAAGAATGATGCTTTCAGTGGAGACACATTTGATGAAATGGTGGCCTTCAATAATTGCTTCTGTTCTTTGTGTTCACAGTTTTTTTTCTTTTGAAAAATTCCACAGGCTTGTCTTTTAATGCAGGGTGCTTGGTCTCTATGTGGCGAAGCAGTTTTGAAGGTTTCATGGCTTCATTGAATAGCTGGTTGCCACACGCTATACAAAGCAGGTTTGGAGAATGTGAATCACCTGTTGCAATGAACCCATACTTTAAGGAGGACTCTTGGTATTGTCAAGTGCAGCTTTCTTTTTGTTGGCAGTCTTAGAGTCTTCTGCTGTCTCATCATTGGGTGTTTCCCCCTTTTGGAAGAAGCTCTCCAGTGATATTTGCTTTTTACTCATTTTGGCTAGGGTTATCTTGTGGACTTAGCAAAACTGTGACTGAGACAAGTGCACAGTGCAGAAAGAGGCATGAACAGAAATGGCAAATAAAATAATGGGTGGGCCACGCGTGGACTAAAATAAGTGTCAGATTCTGACTTAAACCCTGCCACTAGATGCAGCTGTACAATTGAAGTACATCAACTCACTTGCAACTATAAAGCTTGGCACCAGATGCAGTTTAATTGTCACTTGTCACTCACTGATAGGGTTTTGATATGAGTCTGCAAACAATTGACGTATTATGGTGTCTGCACAGTCAAACCTCTCTACTAATGTTAGTTGGTGTTTGCAGCCACTCCCCAGCACTAGCATCACCACCTCAGCTCCATCTCAGATCATCAGGCGTTAGATTCTCATAAGGAGCATGCAACCTAGACCCCTCACATGCACAGTTCACAACAGGGTTTGCGTTCCTACGAGAATCTATTGCTGCAACTGATCTGACAGGAGGTGAAGCTCACGCAGTAATGCGAGTGATAGGGAGTGGCTGTAAATACAGATGAAGCTTTATTTACTCACCCGCTGCTCACCTCCTGTTGTGCAACCCTGTTCCTAACAGGCCATTGACCAGTGCCAGTCTGTAGCTCAGAAGCTGAGGACCCTGTCATAGAGTGTACTTACATACGTAGATGGTATAGCCTATTACACACCCAGGCTATATGGTATATGCCTATTGCTCCTAGGATATAAACTATTACTGTACTGAATACTTCAGAGAATTGTAATACAATGGTAAGTATTTGTGTATCTAAACATATCGAGGCATAGAAGAGGTACAGTAAAAATATGGTGTTATAATCTCATGGGACCAGCATCATATATGGAGTCTGTTGTTGACTGAAACATTGTTATGGGCACATGACTATATATGATTTTTATAATTTACTTTTAAAACTAATTTTTGTTGTCACAACACTCATGCTTTTATTTTTTCCTTTAATTGTTTAAACTTTTGTTGACTTACCAAACCAAAGGGGAGAAATTTTTTTTTTTTTTTTTTTTTTTTTTTGAGAAGGAGTCTTGCTCTGTTGCCCAGGCTGGAGTGCACTGGCACAATCTCGGCTCACTGCAAGCTCCGCCACCCGGGTTCACGCCATTCTTCTGCCTCAGCCACCCGAGTACCTGGGACTACAGGCGCCCGCCACCATGCCCGGCTAATTTTTTGTATTTTTAGTAGAGACGGGGTTTCACCGTGTTAGCCAGGATGGTCTCGATTTCCTGACCTTGTGATCCACCCGCCTCGGCCTCCCAAAGTGCTGGGATTACAGGCATGAGCCACCGCGCCTGGCCGCAAAGGGGAGAAATTTTAAGTATGGTGGCTGTATACTTATTATTGGCTCATTTATCCTGGGCTATTCTGGCTTTTCTTGTGCAGTTGATTAACAGGTAATCAAACGGTTTGATTTCCGTGATTTCCTCTGTCTACCTCCCTGTGACTGCACAGATCTGTTCGTGTTGCCAGGCTGATTTTATAGTCAGGGTGCTCTGTTTGCATGTCTCTGGGACCAACAGTAGCCAACTCAAGGAAAAACCAGGAACAAAAAGAGGCTGCTTTTTTGGGATTTACTGCAAAGTAGTAGGAGAGTTTATGGAATCAAAGAAAAGGATGAAGGACTAGACCTGGGCAAGAAGAGAACCAGAGCAGCTCCAGGAATATAGGAGACAGAAAAAGTCTCTTCCAAGTCCTATCCTGGAGGCAAATGATCTCCAGCTGTTCTAGGGCTGCACGTATTCTGCTCACAGCTCACATTCCAATGAAGTGTGACTAGGGAGTGTGGGTCCCTTGATGAAGCTCCCTGCAGGTCTGCATCCAGTGGAAGAAATTTCCCAAAATAAAAACTGTACCTTTTTTTTTTTTTTTTTTTTTTTTTGAGATGGAGTTTTGCTCTTGTTGCCCAGGCTGGAGTGCAATGGTGCAATCTTGGCTCACTGCAACCTCCGCCTTCTAGGTTCAAGTGATTCTCCTGCCTCAGCCTCCTGAAAGTAGCTGGGATTACAGGCATGTACCACCATGCCTGGCTAATTTTGTATTTTTAGTAGAGACGGGGTTCCTCCATGTTGTTCAGGCTAGTTTTGAACTCCCGACCTCAGGTGATCCACCCACCTTGGCCTCCCAAATTGCTGGGATTACAGGCTTGAGCCACTGTGCCTGGCCAAAACGGTACCTTTTAACATCAGAAGGGAAATGGAAGTTAGGCAGCCCAAACAACAGATGTATAGTCTACCATTAGTTCCTGCAGTCATCTAAATGGCCGGTAGCAGATTGGATCTTAAAGGCATTTAGGACATTCATTCAATACAAGTGCATCTTTTAACTAGCGATATATCTTATTTAAAAAAATCATCTTCATACCTACATTTGGAAAAGAATTATTATTTTTAAAAACAGCTTCATATTCATTAGCTGCTACTATACTTAAAAACTTGTTGAGGTAGATAGAAACAGAATTAACATGCCCTCTTCTGAGTTGAAAACTGGAGGTGCTGGATATTCAAGGCACTTGTCCCAGGTCACACTGATGCCTTAAAATTATAATCAGGGCTCCAGCTGAGTTTCCTTATGTATAGTTTCTGCACCTCCTGCCCCATCTAAAAAAGTCTCAGCATATATTAGGAAGCTGCATGACAGAAAGAACAGTGCTTTGGAAAGGTGAGATTCAAGTTTGGCTTCAACATCTGTGAGCTGGATGGTCTGCTTACCTGAGGCCTCCTGGCTGTCTCTCTCCCATGGATGACAAAAGAATAAGATGGCATAATAGATAAGACTTTAGAAAGTGTCACACAATTGTGAAATGTTATGATTTTCCTCATTCACACTCTAAATTCTCCTTATATGTGTAGGCATTTAGTGACATTATCATTGACTACTACACCATCTGCTAGTTGAGCATGTGAGCAGTATCAATGCAAGGTGTATTCTCTATGCTTATCAATATGGTTGAAATCAATGAACTCAGTGCTTCAAACCTGAATCACATTTTCTTCAATTTGTGTTGTTGCTACCTGCTAAGAATGCAGTAGTAAAGGTGTTCAATTTCCAAAGAATAATTAAGCAAGGACACTGTGTCCCATCTTTGATGAAATGCAGATTTCACATTAAAATCAGATCCTTCATTTTTAAAGGTTGAATAGAATAACACCTAAAAAAAGAATTCCAACTGGTTAAATTTAGGCTTCTGAAAAAAAAAAGTTTAATGTAAGATTATTCTTGGTACAGAAACATTTTCGCTTGGCTGTGAATTGGATACATTTGAAAATCATTTTAAGCTCTTGCTTTTGGAATTGTGTGTGATCAGGGAGATCATCAAACAAATGTCAATAGGCATGGTAGACTCAGTAACACTGCTTCCCTCATTCTAATGAGCTATTTTATGAGAATAGGTTAAGGTAGTTTCTGCTTTGGAAAAGGGGGTCTTCTGATTGCAGGTATGTTTGCAGTGATTGGTCACAAAAGGCTGATAGTATTATTGTAGGTGTTGGCCTCCCCATTCAAGCTTGGCTCACTCCAGCGCCTGGAACAGACACTTGTCTTGCTTATTTAAAACTTATCTACCTATCCCTATGAATCTGAAGTACCATATGGCACATGTAGCCTTTTCAAGAGACATGCCAACTGATGTCTCTGTTGCATATCTTATGCATATAATTATAATAATAGATTAGATTTAATGAACTTATTCTATGTACCAGATACCTGGCTGATCACTATACATATTTATTTTTACCTCGTGCCATGAACATAGAAATCATTGAAGAAGATAAAGTGACTTACCTGGCCATTTTATGGCCATTTAGCACCTATAAACTTGGCCATCGCTGGCTTAGAGGAGGAAAAAAATATTTAAAAAAAAACATTTTTTCTTCAAACATAGAAATTTTTGTTTTCTTGCTGCTTTGCCAAAGAAAGAGCTCTAAACAAAAAACGAGGATAGTTCTTTCCCATCCTATCCTGTTGCGTTATCATCTCCCAGATTGGATGAAGAGGGTAAAGACTCATGCCAGCCCCTCTAATGCCTCAAACCCTGTGTGCTGTAATAGACTCAAAACAGGAAAGAAAGGAGAACAGTTCTCATCCCTGTCCCATGCCACTCCTGCCAGACAGAACTGTTGGCATATGCCCAACTGGGCAGGCGGCCCTTTTTGTGACTCTTTCCTTTGGCTACCCGCGAAACCTGGTCATGGCGTCAGCCTTGGAGGACCTTTCCCGGAGAGCCATGAAGCCACTAGGCTGCCTTCCCTGCTGTGGGCCTTGGGGCTTCAGTCATGGCTCTGTTGACAGGAGAGTAGCTGAATTATAATAATAACCTTTCCTTCCACCTCACGGGGGTGTCGTTAGCATGAGATGACATAATAGATGTAAAAGTTTTTTTGAACAGTATAAAAATATAAGTCAAAATAATAAAAGAACGAAGAGCATTATGATTACAATGATGTCAGAGTGCTCCATCCCAGGATCGTTTGAGCTGTCAATGACAGAACAAATTCTCTCTGCAGGCCCCAGGGTTTTCACTCAAGGTTTTAGCAGATTTGTCTAAAACTAGCCACTCTCTTAGTCAGAGAAACAGAAGAATGGAAAAAGTTCAGTGAGCTGCTATTTGGGGCCAGATACTACCCCAAAGTTTCTCTCACACATATACACACACATTTGCATATCCACAGGTACGTAAGACATACACATAGGAAACATGTAAATGTTGACAGAGGGGAAAAATATAATCCAGATGTAGTGGCAACTTCTCTGCGCCTATAGATCTGGGTCAGATTATCTTAAGCCCCAACTCTGCAGCAGGCATAGCACCCCTAAGTCTTTCCAAAATTTCTGCAGTTTCCCCAGGTGTCTAGTGGTTATGCCAGCTTTTATGGTTTCTGTCCTTGGGTTTCCATTTCTTACAGGCAGCAGACTCTGCTGCCTAACATGGACAACACAGAGAAGCTCAGGCTTTGATTTCAACAATCAACATAATCCGTCCCAAATATACTAGTAGATTTTGCTGGAATGAATAGGAGTTAAGTGGATGTGCAGGTGGGATTGAATTTACACAGCAACAGTGAGGTTTATGTGGCAACACTGATCAGTTCAGGAGGTACAATCCATGCTGAAATGTCTGTTGATCACCCCTTTCCAGGGGGTATTGAGAGCCTTTCTCCAAGCGCCTGCTCTTCTCCCTGTTCCTCCTCACTTCTCCCCACGCCCCACATTCCTAATCCCACATCCCATATCCCCATTTTAGAAGCCAATAACTGGTTTTCTTTCCCTGTCTCAAGCAGAACAACCCTCCCAATCCCTGAGTGGTGGGTGGGGCTACTTCTGTTCCACGGATGCTCTTTCAAAAACTGAAGGAGGCTTCCCAAGTGAATCTAGACAATAAATTGTCTTTGCCTCCTTCCACAAGTGTGAAATAATTACATATTACCCAAATCCTGCAGCCCATCAGGGCTGAACACAGATTACAAAATCATATTCAATACTGTTTAACAGTAACTTTAAATGGATCACTCACTGAAATCTTGAGGTTTAAACACAATCGTTTTGAAAATCTAGCTGAGCTCTATGTTGCTCTGTTATTCTGCTGAGAGAAGGAGGGGAGACGGGTTTATTCCTGTCAGTAAAAAAAAAAAAAAAAAAAAAAAAAAGATGAACTGTGTAAAAATAATGTAAGGGGAACACCCACTATTCCTGTCCCTTCTCAAATGTCACGTCACATTGATCCTGGTGAGCCAGGAAGTCACTTAATGCATTCTTTAAAAAGTCAGACTGTCCAGGGAAAGGACACCTTCTTTCACTTCCAATCAGCCAACCCATCACTCCTTTCCTCCATTTGTAAGTCTGTGGAGTAACTTAAAAGGCATGAGTCATGTTCTGAAAATCAAACATGCGCATGCAGAGCATGCAAAATGAACCGCGGAGAGAGTCGGCATTAGAGACACAATGCGGCCTTTGTGAAACATGACAACATCCCTGGGGACCGAGGCTTCTGAGTGTTGCTGAACTGAGGAGAGTAATAACAGGGTCCAGGGTTTGCCAGAGAGTGTGTCATAACATGGAGATTTTAGGAAAAGTGTGGAGTCCCTTTAATCAGCTCTGAGAGGAGCTTGCTAATAGTGCCTTTTTGTCAGTTGTTTATGTGGTGGGTGGGTCAACATCAGAACTTTACCCTTTTATTGTTATGAAAATTTGTAGACTGTTTATCTATTTTCTTTCCCTTTTCCAAGGAAACATTTGCAAAATGTTAATTACAGAGATTCTAGCTTTACCTTTCCTGAAAGATGAATTCTGAAACATTACTTTTACTTGGGATCACCTCTCTTAATTGGGGGACTTTAGTTTCAATGACTTTGCCTGTCACTCTGAGCAGGGTTTGTGCTCCAAAGGAATCTCTTGGGATCTACCATTTGTCTGGGAGACAGGGATATTATTTTGGGCTGTGAAGTCTGTTTGCTAAAAAAAGTGCTGGGAGGATACCAACCACACACAAATGTAGGAATTTCTACTTGTTAAGCCTTTCCGTCTGCAGGGGAGTTGTTGCATTATTTCTTACAGCTGTTGTTCAGTGAGAGAGTAGTACGTTTGAGTCTCTGATCTCATCTCCCAAAGTTTATTGTGAAACTTTCATATGAGCACCTGTGTTCCTGGATTACAAAATGACACCATTAGGCAATTCTTATTGTCGTGGATAATTGCCATAGAAAGGGGAATAGGATAGAGGACTAGAAAAAAGAATGAAAGTAAACACTTATGGGGAATATTGTGCTTTAGAAAAAGGCATTGCAATGTAATAGCATGATGATTTTAATCCCAGATTCATAGTGATTTAATGAAATAAGCAGCATCCATAGGCTCAAAACATATGTTTACAGAGGTAGATGGAATAGCAGATATTTCTGTTGTAGTGATTTTTTTGTGTCCAAAGTGTATCTTCAAAAGGCATATAGTCCTTTGAGTTCTGAAAATACCAATAGTTTTCTTTTTATGCTCGTTGTGTTTAGCACTCATTGTTTTATCTTGGAAGACACTTTCTATTTCTATGTACAGCCATCATAGTAGGATTTACATTTCAGCCGGCAGCAATCCCTAAGACTATAGAAAAGCTGGAAGGAATAAGAAGACTTCTTATTTTAGCTATCATAGATGATGATTGGGTTCATAAAGGACTTAAGATATAATGATAGGGAAAATTCATAACCTAATGCTTTCAAGTCAATTTCATGTTCCGCTTTTAATTAGAATCAGCCTTCTCTCTTTTTCATTTGCTATGTAACATACCTTTCCTTAATTTCTGGGGGGAAAACCCTCTCGAAACAGGGGTGAAAACTGTTGATTTAGAATCATGTCATAAAATAGAACTAAAGGAAAGGGGTGAACTGACTGCCTCAGACTGAAACAGAGCTCTTCAGGGTTGATCCCACTGATTGTACTGTTGATGGCAGAGAGAGAGCAAGGCAAACACAAAATTGTTAATGTGGCAACTAACACAATCCTAACCATAAATACTTGCCAAAGCCGGAATGCAGAATTTCAATGAACCCACCTAGTCTTTTATCCCACTGACATAATTTAAATCATGGGGCTGGTTTCCACACATGACTAGAAACCCCACCTCAGTGTGGTTTTCAATATAATGTTCACCTCATCATATATTGATTTCCAAATCTTTGGTCCCTAACTTTTCTTTACAAGGCTTTGGTTTTCTCCAATTACAGAATCTTGTTTAATTTATGCATGTAATTCTCAATGTTTCTTTGAGTACAGACCTCAGAAAGTGTTAGTGAATAAAAAGATTCAGCAATTGCAGTTTAACATTGTCCTGTCCCGAGCTCTTGAATTCTACTTCCTTCAGTCTTCATTTACCCCTACACTAGGATACAGTGGCCACTTTTTCCCCATGAACTTCTTCATGTTTTTTGACTTAAAGAAAAACTCTTATTTTTTGGTATTTTTTCAAATTTGAAGAAGGAGATTAGAAGATTCTGATGTTATTCTAAATGAATGTTAAAAAAAAAAAAAAAAGCCCAGCTCTCAGAAATGAAGGTAATATAGAACTGAATAAAAACCAAAACACAGTTTGAATAAATAAAATTCACCAGATTTTTTTCTTGGATATCAGCCTTTTTATGATTTTGGGCGCCTAGTCACTGAAAAGCTTTGTTCATTTTTTTTTTTTAAACATAGTAACATATATAGATATTGCAGTAGCTAATTGCAATTATTCACCCTAGACAAAGACAAAAAAATGAGTTTTTGTTTTTCTAATTTCTTAGCTTGTGTGCAAAGTTGCCATTCCAGATGGGGCCCATTATGTGATGTTGTATTTCAAAGGGAAACATTTCTTAAAGTTGCTGAAAAAAATGTTTATTAAGGAAATAAGAGCTGCTGAAGCAAAGACACGTGTTATCTATTTCGTCAATTAGTGGCAAAATTCTGGTAGTATTCCTAAAGAGCTGCAGGGGTTCTAATTGAAATATTCTAATCCTTCCTCTTCCCAACCCACCGAATACCATTGTCAGTAGGGGGAAAGAATCATAGAATTAAATTCTAGGTAAAACCATTTCTGATTTTGTAGCAATGAGAAAGGGTTGCACTATTTTTGGTTCTTGCATCATTTATTAGAAGTTTTTCTCAGTAGGACAGCAAGCAATTATCTGAAGCAGCTGGGTTATGTGAAGGACTGATCACATGTTATAACACACAGAGGAATTAAGGATTATGGAAAGATGAACAATGTAATTATGCTCATGGAGTGTCACTTATTAATTTTAAGGTGAGATTTGTAATAATTTCATAATAGCTATAACAGTCGGAGCAAATGTCTGGATTTGTAAGGGTCTCCAAGGTTTAAAATTGGTTCATAAATTTAATTTTGTTAAAATGTGGTTCCAGTTGCTAGAAAGTTTTTGTTTCAAGGAGAATGAAATCCTGCAAGCGATGAAGGCAAAATCTAAAGCTTAAAGTTCTTGTTTTAACAACTTTTATTCATCGCAACTCCATTTCCTTCCTGGGTTAGTGTAGAGATGGATTCATAAAGGATAGCTCACAACTATCTTGTATTTCCTATGAGTAATTGTGCAAAGGTGAAAAGATGACATAATCACAGCAATTAACTTCTTTTCTGGCTCCACTATGGTAATTATTAAGAAACATCACTTGTGGGAAGCCCAGCAATCACCCCAAAATCAGGGCTACCTCTGCTTTTCCGAAGTACCTTCCCTAATCTGTTTAGTATAGTTTCTCTCTGTTACACTTTTAATTGCCTCTTTCACTCTCTTTATTCCAGTTTTCTTATTAACATTATTGCTAATTAGGAATCTAAAGTAGGCCGCCTTTTCAAAACAGAAATGACGACCGTTTCTTTTCCAGGTAAGTGGGTGGTATTTGCAGCAAGCAATTAAAATGCACTTTACCCAATTAAAAAAAAAAGACTAATGATAACAATAGTTAAAAAACAACATCACAAAATGACGGTGAAAAACTTAAGTGATCTCGAAATTAAGCTATGTTAGTCAGCTGTTATGTGACCAGAAAATAATGCGTTACAGATAACACAGTTTTCTAAGCAGTGGTTGTTTGGCCATCTGACATAAAGTAAAAAATGAAAGAAAATAAAATCATAATTCTCCCAAGTCTATTATATTTTTAAATTTTTTACAGCTACTAGATAGCTATAGGGTTTTAATTTTCATTTTTGAGTATTTTTTTTTCCAAATGGAAATAGCTTTATTTTTTTTAGCCTATCAATGTAATGGGTACTCACTATTAATAATTCAAATAAAGTAAAAATTACCCCAAATCCCCAGTGAAAAACTGCTAAAATTTAGTGTCTATATTTACAGTACTTTTTATTTGACATATGAGTGTAGAAAACAGGTACAAATAAATGCAAATATATTTTAGTAAAAATTCATTTATTCAACAATATTTATGGAACACCTACTATGAACATGCAATAGAAAACCATAGTGAGCAAAACAGACATGGTCCTTTTACCCGTGGTGCCTACCAGCCTACCACAGGATAGAGATATGAATTAAAGAATCTTAAAACTGAATATAGTATCACAAATGTGGCAACTGCTACGAAGGAGGGGCACACAGTATAAGACCTTATATTAGGGGAAAGAGACTTCATCGGGGATGTCAAGGGAGATTTTTCTGAGAAAGTTATTATACTGGGTGTGGATTTCAAGGAAGAGTCAGAGGACAGATAGTACCTAGAAAAAGATGAGGATGAGGGGAAAGAAGGGATCTAGAGCAGCTGAGCTTTCCAGGCAGACGAAGCTGCTTGATTAAAGGTTTTCTGAGAGGAGAGAGCCTGTGCATTTGAGAAAGAAAGGCTAACATCCAGAGAATACGTTTGTCACATTAGAAGACAAGCCCAGAGTGGTGGATAGAAAGCAACACCTCAAAGAGCCTTGTGATTCTGCTGGGAACATGGTTCTCAACCTTAAGAGTAAGGGAAAGCAGTGACTGAAGGATGGAAGTAATATGTGTTTCATTAAGTTTCAGTGTGGAGGACTGATGGAGAGGGGCAAAATGCACGCAAGGGAATCCAGTTGAAGGCTATAATGGGTGAAGGGGAAGAGAGATGATGGCAGCATGAACTAGCGTCGGGGTGGTGGAGTTGGAGATTCAAGAACATGGCAATGAATTTTATGTGAGGAATAAGAGAGGTGTCTTTAAAACCTTTTGCTTTTTTGACTATAATGCTATTTTTTTTTTCTTATTGATTCACAGGATCTATTTGTCTATTTATATATTGTGGCTGGCTATTATTCCTTTTTTTTGTTATATGTGCCACATATTTTTTTTTGGTTTATTTTTTGTCTTTGAATTCTGTTTATGTTTTTTTTTCCATCGAGAGTTTGTTTTGCACAGTTTTGTCAATTTATTCCTCTTTGAGATTTTTGTGTCTCCTAATAATGCTTTTATGATAATATTTATTTGGGTTTTAAAAATCTATTTGAAATCTATTTTGGGGTTTAAACTCATATTTTCTAAATGGGTAAACAATTGTATTTATACATTTATCATTCATTACTCACTAATTTGAAATAAACTTACACACATGCAGACACACTCGCACACATGCATACATATAGCAGGTATTTGGTAAGTTATTCTAGTCCATCGTTCTGGCTGACTTTTCCTGTCTTAATTATGCACTGTTTTAATCAGGATAGCTTTATAGTATATATTCTTTACTCTTCTTGTGTGTTTTCTACAGAAATCTGGAGACCCAGCTTGTCAGCTCCGTAAAAGGAACTGTTGAGATTTTACCTGATATTGCACTAGATTTATAGATTAATTTGGAAAGAATCGACAGTTTTTACAAAACTGGGTCTTCCTAGATAGCAAGGTGATATGTCTCTTCATCAAAGTCTTCTTTTACGTCCTTCAGTAGAGTTTTACGATTTTATCCATATAGGTCTGAAGGCAAAAGTATTTTGTTTGCTTTAAATTATCTTGCAGTTTCCTACTTCTTGACTTCAGTCAAGTGTGCATAAATAAACCCATCTTTTCTGTTGAAAATATTTAGGCTGATAATTTTGAGGTTTGTATACAGCAGATAATTAAGATATCTCCCCTCTCCAAAAGGTTTGCCATTTGTTCCAGGCAGGAGCATGTGAGGAAGGTAATTTTTTTTTCTCTTGGAATTAATGCCTTTATGGAGAATTTCAAACCAACCTCTCTTTGCAAGTAAAGGCTTGCCTTCTCTAGTACAAAGTTTAATGTGGGCAGGAAATATGTATCTATGGCTGTATATCTACATCTTTAGAGACACACTCTATGATGATTTGGAAATATTCCAGTATACTTCCTCTGCTGATACATGTTCAAGTTCCCACTGAAAAATTACTCATTTTCACCCTTGTATGTTTATCTGCTTGCTGGTCTTTCTCTTGCCTGCTACCTCTTGGATTCATTGAAGGGTTAAGACAGTCCAGCCATAAGCCCTTAAGCAGTGACCCTAAAGTTTATCTTGTATGTTTTTGAAAGACATTCTCTTCTTTGCCGCCTCCTGCCGAGATAAAGAAGGAAGTTATTATTAGATGTTATAGTTGATAATGCACATAGAAGTATGCAAAAAAAAATCAAAGACTTCAAACATATTTATCTGTTTAACGGATTCAGCATTCCTTGTTCAAACAGCTTTGCTTAAAATTGTTCATTCAGCCTCCAAGTTAAGCTTGTGTCTGGTAGCCACAACTTGATTTAAGTTAGAGGCACGGTGAATTCCCTGAGAGAGCTGGCAGGGACAAAACTGAGTTTTCTCAACCTTTTCATTTCCTCCCTATTTGTCCTCAGACTCTACAATTTTGCTTGCATGTGAAGCTCCATCAATGATGCTCATGTCTTCATTTCATAGCTGTAGCCTGGGCTCTGCAATGGTGATGGCTTGCAGTTTACTATCTATTTCATTTGGGGTTAATACTTTCCTGTTATACTTATTGTTCAGCCCCACTCTCCTGCCTGGTACTGTAATACACTGCTTTCAGTATTCTCATGGGATCGCACAAGTCTGCCATCACTAGCTTGATTTTTAACAGGAAACTAGGACAACAAGAGCCTTGAGAAAGTGAATATGAGAAATGTATGCTTCTGTCTAGGGACATTAGTGCAAAATGAAAACAACACTATCTTCTATTGCTTGCTTCTGCCACCCCATTTTCACCAGTACATAACTAGAGCCCTTCCCTGCACTATTGGCATGAACAAAGAAAAATGGCTTCAGCTATCGGGGGCTGCACTTTGAGATGTGAAATATCACTTTCCTTGTAAACATATAATTGTCACCTGCTGGCTGCTTTCTTTCCTTCCACTCAATACTCAACTCTAAGCAAATTCTTGGTTCAAAGAGCAAACCTTGAGCCAAGAATAAATAAACCTATTATTATTATTATTATTAACAAATGACATTTTAAAAGAAAAACTCAGGAAACCTAGTGGCAGATAAATATTAACAACTCCTTCATGCATTAATTGAACTTAAGTGGATAACCAGTAAAGCTTTGTGGGAACCAGGTCCAAGTAGAGCTGGTCTTTGGGGAAGGGACTTCTGGTTCTTTCCAGACCTGGTTAATGATGCTCCAGTTAATAGTGACAAATTAATGGGACTATAAACAGGATTTGGGGGCTCCTAGGGAAGAAGAACATTTAAGTGAGAACCATAAATTTTCACTACTCTAAAGAAAGAAAGTACAGAAAGCCAGATATGATTTCTACTTTACCAGTGAGATAATGTCAGGTATCTGGTTTCTAGCTTTCTTTGCTGAGTCTCTCTTATGTTTCTCCACTGCAGTTAGCCAGTTGCTCTTGCTGACACCCCTTTCTTTACCCTGGGTCTTTGCTAATATAGTTCCCTGCCCTCAGATGCCTTCTCCTCCCATCCTGTATTGACAAGGATAGACATTTAGTTATTTCCAAAATTCTATTCTCTTCTTTCATAATAATAGACTTTGGGGTTGGCACATGGTTGCTGACCAAGAAACTACATTTCCCAAGCTCCTTTGAAGCTAAGATTTTGGATATAAATTAGATTCCACCAATAGAAGTTCTCTGAAGAGATTTAGAAGAAGAAAGACAGGGGCTTCTTTTGTATTCTGGCTATCTTCACTGGCCAACAAGATTGTGGGTTTCATGTGTCAGCTGCCAGTCTTCCTGATTGTCAAGGGGCAGTCCAGAAGCAGTGGTGGTGGTAGTCACATGTTGATCTGGTCTCTAATTCCTGAAAAAAGCACCTCATGTCCATTCTCTGACCTCCAGCTGCAGCAGGGACCTCAGACTAGACTGCTGTGGTTCTAGTTGTGGCTCTGAGTTGGCAGCTCCTCTACTAGGCTGGTTCTGGGTTGTTCTGAGAGTCATTCCATGACTCTCACCATTTCAGTGGCTTTGTTTTGTTTCCTGAAATGGCCCTATAGCAAATAACATTAGTTATATGCACCTTCATAGAATTTGAGGGCAGGAACATATTCACTGTTCTGAATAAAGCTGGCATATAATAGGCCCTCTCACAGGGAATGAACAGATTCCATATGGCAGGCATTGTGCAGGGCACTTCACCTACATCCTTTCCTTGAATCACGCCAACAACCCTAGGAGGTAGGCATCACTGATGGCAGTGGTAGCTGGTCTGGAGAGGCCGCTGGCATGACACTGGCTGCAGTGGGGAGGTGTGCCTGGGGCAGTGTGCTCCATGGAGCAAGCAGGAGCCTGAGACAGGCAAAAGCCCCTCTTTCTTCCAAGTTGGAGGGGTGGGAGCCCCGCCCTTCTAGGTGCAGCTGGAGCCACTCAGCCCTGGCTGCAGACCTGGGCATTTCTGCACTCTTGGGGGCCTGAGAAGTCTCCCTGTCCTCATAGGCTCGGAAATGCCTTCTCTTGCTGACTGGCCTGTCCCGCTGCCTGTCCTGTCCCTGGTCTGGGTGCCTGTTCCAATTTCAGAGCAAAGTTGTGATTGAGCTCGGGTGCTGTCACTATCCGGCCAGGTATGTACACACTTGGGACAGCCCTGACATACCAAGCCCCTGTTGCCTCAGCACCCTCCAGACTTTGGACACCAACAAACACTGGAGGGAGGCTTGGGAGAGGGACTAAGGGCAGCTTGGCATGGGTCCGTAGGCACCTCTTGGTGCAAATAGCCTGGGCATTGTGGGCACTGTAGACAGCAGGTTAATGGCAGCAGAAGGCAGACAGGCTTCTGGGCAGAAAGCAGTGGGTTCCAAGTGAAACCCCTGCTTCAGGCCAGGCATGGCCTGAGGCCTGGGGGCTGGGCTGCCAGTTCCACAGACTAGAGTGAGAACTTACAGTGCTTTTTCCAGACCTGCCTATGGCCACCCACAAACCAATCAATATTCACTTTCTCTCCTCTGAAGACCATAAAAACCCCAGACTCAGCCAGACTCAGGCAAACAATGGGACAGCCTGCCTGAAGAGAGGAGCTACCCACTGTGGTGTCCTCTGAGCTGTTCTGTCACTCAATAAAGCACCTCTTCACCTTGCTCACCCTCCACTTGTCCGCATACCTCATTCTTCCTGGACATGGGACAAGAACTTGGAACCTGCTGAATGGCAGGGCTGAAAGAGCTGTAACACGAACAGGGATAAAACATGCCCCTTGCTTGCCATGTTGCAGGCAACAAGAAGGAGAGAAGAAGAGAAGAGCTGCAGCCCTTCAGGGAGTCCAGACCCAGGAGCTCCCTGAGCCATGGCTGTGGCACCCTCTTAGGGGACCTGCGGTTCGTGGTGTCTCCAAGCTTCTAGGCACCACTGTGCTTCCTGGTGCCAGCCATGGAAGTTGTTTGTGATATGCCTGTTCCAGCCACACCCTCACAGGGAGCTGGCGCCCACTCTGGACCCCACACTTGCTTGCTCACACACCCACCGCTGCTCTATGCCTGGCTTGCCTTTGGCAAGTGTGGGAACCAAGTTGGTAGCATGAGCTGAGTGCAGCCTGCCAGGCCAAGTGGGCAGAACAAGCCCCATGGGCCCAAGCAAAACTCAGGCAAAGGTGCCACCTGCCACAGAGAGTTTTGGCCAGGAAAGCAACACCCGAAGGATCCTGTGACATCACCACTATTTTACTGAGGTCCAATCTCTGCAGTGAGGGTCAGGGTGTTCAATAACTTGCCTAAGGCCACAGAGCTAAGAAGCGAAGTCCCATTCTTCCTGTAAACCTTCTCTATCATTCCAGCTATGAGCAGAAAATGATTAAAAGTCAAAACTAAATGTTGCTGACTAGATTTTAACATAATTTATTTCATTTTCAAATGGGGAAAGTGAGGCTGAAAGAGGAAAATCTTATTTCTTTGACTCTTCATTGTAAACTCTCTGTTCTTCAATGCTGAATTAGACTACGACCCCTGAATTCACTGTGGAATTTTATGCCTCTCGCCCCACCACCCTCATTCTACTCTAAGGAGGAGTAGATGCTATGAATCAGTCCCTTCTAAGGACTAACAGTGGCTGAAGATTACACTATACTCTTTTAAAAATAAGTGAATAAAAGCACCTGTGCATGTATTGTGAAAATTTCAAAGGATCCCACAGGCAGGAGGGGAGATGAGGGTAGCCTGATTGCCTCTCTGGCTCTTTCCTGCATCCTTCTCTTCCACTCCTAGGGCTAAAAGTGCCAGGCTTGCACCCTCAGGAGAAGCCCAGGCCCCTTCTTGCAGGCTCTCCCATCCCTCTCACCTGCCAGCCCCATGCTGCCTAAGGCATTGCAGCCTGTCTCTTTCTAATTGGTTCCTTTTTCTCCTGCACTATATTCTGGATTTGCTTTCCCTCAAATCAGAGTGGTGAGACATACAATTTGGCTTTAGGTGAAATAGAGGAAGCCTTCTATGCTGTTAGGATTCTAGGGCACTTCAACCATCTAGCTTAGGTAAAGGCCTTCTCCTTGGGCCCAGCCTAGCTTCTCAGAGTTTACATAGGGTTTGGGGTGGAGGGGCAGAAAGTTAAAAAGAAAATATTGTTGACTTTGTGTTTTTTTTTTTTTTTTTCTGTGTGTTTGTGTGTGTATATACCCTTTAGGGACCTTTGAGGGAAAGGACTGGAGAGGCCAAGGCAGAATTTAGGTACCACTGTAGAGTCATTTCATTATCACCCCTTATTAACTCCCTGTATAGCCATTCCCTGCAAAGCCCTCCCTCTCATCTATGACCCTCCCCTGGCCTGAGTGAAGCCTGTCCAATGTGGAGGCTCAGCCCAGTTGTTCCCACCTCTGTAAGCATCTTTCAACCTGCCAGGCAGAAATAATCCCTTTGTCTTTGGAAGCCCACGAGGTCTGTTGACACAATAGAAACAGTGCTATAGCACTCACCACAGTGTACTGTAATGAGCTGTTTACTTATTTGTGTTTTTCACTACATATTGACCTCCTTAAGGAGCTTGACTTGATCTTATTTATCTCTAAGTTTCCACAGCTAAATAAATATTTGCTAAGTCAAATTGAATTCCCACCCCCAATTCATTGCAATATATCAGGTAGAGGGACGCCATAGAGTTCTTTGATTTTAAGGAAACCTTGATTGTAAAATGTACCTTAGATTTACTGTTTGGGGGGTCGATATGTTATTCAGTGTACTTGTGCACATGTGTACTAATGATGCACAAGAATTCCGGCTGAGAATTGAACTCTGGTTTGAACACTGGCTCTACCACTGACAAGCTCTGAGGCCCTGGGCAAGTGCCTTAATTTCTCTGTGCCTCAGTTTCCTCAATTGTAAAATGAAGCAGATGGATCTACCTCATACGGCTGGTTGTGAGGATTAAATGAGTTAACATATGTTGAGTATTTTGAGTGTATCCTAGCACACAGTAAATACTTTTTAACTGTTTGTACTGATATAATCAGAAACAGTAAAATGTAAATATATATACCTTAAATTCATATAAAATTTAATATTCTAAAAGCAGACTTTCACAAGTCTTAGTTCAGGACAGTTTCCATAGCAGTAGGTGCCTTCGTTATTGGCTGTTCTTTATCTGGGCACTTGAAGGGTTACTCTTTGTTCCATCCACTGGGACCTTGCATACTTTTCTTGTATTATCATCCTTTTTTCTTTTCATCAGTCTTGTTTTCACCTGAAGGGCTGGCCCAGTATCTTATATACTTTAAAATCAGCTGGCAGGGAGTCTAACAAACAGTAAGTACATAATAAAACAGTAAATGAACAAATGAATCACCAGTGGAACCCACACATAACACCTGGAATCAATGAATAGATAGTACATATTCGGATAACTGGAGTTACAGTCAACAAATTAACAAACCCTCACCTTCTTGTTCCACCTCTGACAGGCACATACTCATATTTTGGGGACAGACTTAAACAGGTACCAGATTATACATGCATTTTGTGCCCATTTTCCCTATTGCTGGCCTTATCTCTTATCTGAGCTGGAATGTGGACAATTTTCTCCATGCTCATCTTCATTATTGATCCAATCACACTTTTTTTCTCTGTTTCCCATCCTAAATTGCATTTCCTTACATGAGCCTTTGCCCTGCACATGACAACCTTTTACTTATTCAGAATTTTCAATTGACTGTTTATATTTTGATACTATATTCTTACTCATGTGTCCTGCTCTGTTAAGGTATGAAGTTTCCTACATTATTATTATTATTATGGTGGCATTATTATCGTGGCAGGAGTCCTTCATGTGCTACAACTGGAAACTATTTAATAAATGCTTTTGGATAAAATATTGACATTGGCTTGCGTGACTTGTTATTTGAGAGATAAAGAATATGGAAAAGGTAGCCAGTACAATTATTCAGCCTTCTATTTATTAAAAACCTATAAAGCCTGTGTGACAGGTATGATGCCAGGTGCTGACAGTCTAACTAGGGAGATAAGATGGAAAGGTATTAAAATATATCATTACTTGCAGTATTGTTGAACCCAGCATTGTAGGCCTTCAGCAAAGGGTCCATCCGTTGAGAAAGGCCAGAGTGTTCACAGTCAATTTTTGTGAAGAGAATGGAACTTGAGTGACCTTGAAGGACTAAAAGATTGAAGCTAGCGATGGGGAGGAAGTCAAGTATTCAAGCAGAGGAGTATGGCAGAGAGGCAGGAATGAGCATGCCGTATGAGGAAGTGAGACCAGTTTGACTGGAATGGAGACCAGGAATCTTCAAATGCTAGGCCCAGGCATTTGATGTAGACTAAAACAGGTTTCTCAGAGGAGAATGATGTAGTGGAATCAGTTAAGAGAAGATAATCTAACGAAATTTTGCAAATAGGATTGAAGAATAGAGGGCATTGCCTTGGGGAGGCCAGCTGGGAATCACATTGTGAATGAGTCGAGATGGCAGGATGGGAATGGAGAGAAGACAAGGACATGAAGATGTTTGGAAAGACATGCAGAGCCTAACAGATCATCCTTCTTGTGATTTGCTTGGAGTTCAGCATATGTTCTTGCCTGTGGGACTCCTGTGGTGGTTTTACTTCACGTTTCCCTATTTACCCCGGCCCCCATCTTACCCCATCCATCCTTTTGAACTATTCATATAGAGTACAGCCACACCACAGCATGACAGGTGGGGACCAAACATTCAGTCATGTAAAACACACATTACTGTCATTAGGTTGAGTGGTGATGCTGGTGCTAGGTGTTAATAAAATGACAGGAAAGACTCTGCAAAGCTGGCCAGTAGCCTAGGACTTAGGTGAATTTGTCCTTATTATAGCTATGCTTTGGCATAATGAATGGCAGCTGTCTGACACCCTTATTCTCTTAGCCAAATCCCTCCCCATTTTGAGCAAGAAAATCAGAACTGGAGGATGGGAGCCAACCAACCATCAATCCTCCCACCCCCAAATTCCCAAATGCACATCTTTACTATCTATCTTTGTGACATGAATTCTCCAGAAGATGAGTGAAGCTGCTGTGGTAAGGACCCTCAGCCTTCTCAGCCACACTTAGGAACTTGAAAAACATCATCACTGATGTTTCTTCCCTGTTCTCCTGCCATAACGGTTAGCCCTCATAGAAACTCATAGTATTCCATGTGGTTGTTTCATGGTAATCAATTTTCTCTCCCGAACTCAGTTCAGCTTCCTTTGAGGGCCTTCCATGTCTTATACTTTTCTTCCTGCCTGGCAGAAGTGCTCACTAAGCAGTGGTTGGAAGAACGAATGAATAAACGATCACTAGTAGCAGTGAAGAGCTCATAACAACAGTCTTTTTGATTGATTGCAATTTTTGAAGAACTAAAAGTAAGCATATTCACAAGTATGCAGATAAGGTTACTTGTAACACAGGATGAATATCCCTTATCTGAAATGTTTGGGACCAGAAGTATTTCAGATTTCTGATTTTTTTAGATGTTGGAATATTTGCATATACATAATGAGATATCTTGTGGAGGGGAACCAAGTCTAAAGATGATATTTATGTTTCATATACACCCTATACACACAACCTGAGGGTAATTTTATAAAATATTTAAAATAATTTTGTGCATGAGACAAAATTTGTGTTAAGCACTTGTGTGTGGAATTTTCCAATTGTGGTGTCATGTCATCCCTCAAAAAGTTTTGGATGCTCAACCTGTATGAGGTTAAGTGTAGCATAAGCATCAAATATAGTTATATGGACCTCAAGTTACAATAAATGGAGGAATAGCCAAGTCTCAGTCAAGAACCGTATGCTTTAAGGATCATCTACTGAGAACTTCTCACTTTTAAAATGAGGTCTAAAGGAAAGAGGTGACTTGTCCAAGATCCCATTTCTGGTGGAAGAGCCTGAAATAAAACTGAGAAAAGGCTATTTCTAAGTCTGCCCTCAGACTACTGCCTCTGGAGACTTATCCTTCAGGGACCCCTCCAGGAGATCCGTGGGTGCTGCCAGAGCTCTCCATGCCAAAACCTCTTGCTCCAAACTCTTTTGGCCAACAACTCTTCCAAAGTCTTGCCAGTTGATGAGTCAGAGAAAAAGAAGTGGCAGCAACAGAAGAAGAACTAAGAACGGAGGAAGGAGCTGGCCAGCAAATGTGGGACAAGGGCTGTGGGGAGACACTGGTGACAGTGGTGAGATGGGTCTGAGACTCAGGGCAGTGGAGACTCAGGCATCTGCTCTCAGAGTTTGGAGAGCTCCTTTCTGCTGCAGGAGCAGAAAAGAGATGCAAGTTTCCAGTGAACCAGATATTTCCAAAGAATATCTGCAAACCTACTCTGAGATTTTCGTTTAAAATACATTTGAACTGAGACATGATATAAACAGGGCATTTTGTGCCCTGAGTGTGGAGAGTCAGAGAAAATTATCCTCAGAGAAAGAAGAAAGAAGCAACCTCACAGAGCAGAGTAAAGGTGAGAAATGAATCATCTGAGCCGGGGCATAAAATATTAGCTCCTGACAGCTTTTCTGTCCCAGGCCTCAGTCCCCGTGTTCCTCCTTTTTTTATTTAAACAAATTTAAATGAGTTTTTGTTCCTTGCAATCAAATAGTTCCTGACTAATATCTGGAGTCATAAATTGCAATTCTTCACCTTCTGTCTCCTACCAACTTGAACACCTAATCCAAGAAAATAAAGACAAACAGAATAGCCAACAATTATGCAATAGTAATTAAACACTTTCATGCAATCCTAGTTTTGTTACTCATTTGTAAACTAGTCTGTGAGTCTAATCACCATTTGCAATATTATTTCTACATCAAAATGCATTTTGAGCTCCCAACATCCAAGTTAGTAATTTTAAAAACTAGCTTAAAGGTTAATTTCTGCGCACGCATGCATGCATGTGTGTGTGTGTGTGTTTGAAGTAACTTTGTCCATTTATAGATTAATGTTACAGTGCAAAAAACAAAATGGATTTTGGACTCTGTTGGCTGAATCACTAGTGACTGTAGGACTCTGGACAAGTCAATTCAATTTTTTGAACATCAGTTTGTTTCATTATTCCTAAAATGGGTTGGGGGCCATAATACTCTCACCTTTGGATTGTTTTGATGATTAATTGACTTAGTTCCCATTAATTGCTGGTGTTTGACACATAGCAGGCCTTCCATAGATGGTAATTCTTTCCTTTTTCTTTTTTGTCTTCTTTTTTTTTTTTCACCATGGTCAGATGAGTCCTATCCACTGATATAGTCCCTCAAACACACTAATTATTTGGTTTATTTTTGCTAAGCTGGAAGCAGATGAAAGTTGACTTTTGCATTACTGACAAGCCTCTTTCAAACTATGTTGTCTCCTATTATTTCACCAAACCCCTGGATTATTTCCTGATCTTGGGAAAAGAAGAGAGGGTTTTTTTTGTTTTGTTTTGTTTTGTTTAAGGCTATTGACTAAATGCAAATCCGAATTCAAAGAGTTACCAGTATAATTTATTTATTTTATTGAATGATAACTCTAGCATGTAGAACTAAGATCTTCAGGAAAGCAGCAGTGATGGCATCCTCTTAGATTCTCTTTATAGTCAGCTAGAGGGATCCTGATGCGATTTAGGTGTGATTTAGTTTGTCAGTGGATTAAACTTTGAACTCCATTGTAAACAAATCAGCTGACTCTCCCTGCAGGAATTTTGCTTTTATGAGCAAGACTTCATTTCAGAGCCCACTTTTTTTTCTTTTTTTTTTGAAAGAGTTACATAGCCTACAGCTTTCCTGGGTCACACTTATTGGTGTCTTCATATTTTAATTTTAATAAGGACATGAGTAAATTATAGAATCCCAGTTGACTATGTTTTGTTCTTTGGAGTGGAGATGAATTTCTCAAAGTTCTTCTCATCACTTATGCTGTGAATTATATCACTGAAGAAGTTGAGAATTACTATGCAGAGTGTAAGAGTATGAATTTAAGAAGAGATTGGAATATGTTTTAAGAGCTGATGCAAAATAATCAGTATGTAGAATATACAGGGAGAAACTTGGTGACTCAATGGGACAAGGGAGTCCACATGACTGATTCTTCAAGTCTAAAGCTCATAACCCTCTCTCTTCTGTATACATCATACCCAAATGTACATACTGTACATGTGTATTGGTTTGATAAATGTGCTTTTTAATAATGTTGCCTTTTAATTCACTGACAATAGATTTTTTCATGTGACAGTGCCACTAGGTGTTCATTTTAGGAAATCAGACCTCATCGTTTTACAAAAGAAATAATATTATCAACAGAAATAAGACTGAAAAACAATGACTAGACTAAGGAGAACTAAAACTTACTAAGCGCTCACTTTATGCTGGGTACTGTGCCAAGTGTGTTAAATACTCATTACCTCTTTTAATTCTTGGAGCCACCTTATAAGTTCTATTGTTATTTCCTTTATACCATTGCTGAAATTAGATTAAGTTACTCGCCCAGGGATATACACAGTGCAGTGAGATTCAAACAGAAGCCATTTGTTCTGCTGGGCAATATGTACTTTGTGTCCGATCCCATAGAAGAGTATTATTTTAACAAAGTCAGATTGAACTTATTAGTGATGTGGGAACTATTTAACAGATAGGAACTTCAGAGCAATTGGAAATATCTCAGTTAGTGACAGATGTTGTTGATCACAAAAGTTCTTCCAGATCGCTTGCTTCATTGGTCAAACTCAATTTTAGAAAGGTGCCGATTCACCAACACAGTAGTTTTGTATTATGGCCAGATGCTTATTCAATACTTGAGAATGTTTTCTCTCAATTCAGTCTAATGGGAAATTAACCAATGGCTTTTGGGGAAAGCAAAAAAATGAAAGGGCTGGGATAGGATACAGATAATAATCTTGTTCATAAAGGAGCTGCCAATCCCCCACCCTCTGCTGAGGGCATCCCAGGGATTGCCAGTTGCTTTGTCTTGCTTGACACAAAACTCTGTTGTTTGTCCAACTGTTGCCAAGTGATACTTTGACATTTGCATAGCCAGGAAGTACTAGAAAATAGAGCTCCAACATTTCCCTGTATTATTTTTATAGTAATTAGGAGTAAAAATTATTTTTAGATTTCTGGCAGTAACTATTTTTTGCAGTTCCTTTTTTAACTTTGTAAATAAAATTCTATTTCCTGGTTGCCTGGAATGAGAGATTTATGACAAATACTAGCTCCTGGAAGACTGAGTGACATTCTGTATATTTTTGTGAGACAAATTCCAGGATTCTTGGGTAGGAATTAATTCTTCATGGAAGAACGTTTTCAGTGGGAACATAATATGGGAAGAATTACTCATACTCACTATTGCCCATCATTACATATAAAAGTACAGTTCTTTTCTCGTTTTAATTGTTTAAAATGTGCAAAGATTGGTAATTTATATGGAATCAGAAAAACCCCTATGTTGTTCCTACAGGTGCGTAGAGTGAAAGAATCTATATGTTGTTTGGATCTAAATGTTGCTGGGCTACACGATAGCACTTGTTCTACTTTAGCATACTGAGTATACTTCATCTTTAAATCAAGCAATATTTCATCAGGAGCATATTACAATGTGCCTATGTATGTATTACTTATCTTGCATTCTTAAACATTAGGCACATTTTATTTCACTGTCTATTGGTCTCTTTTATAAAATTGCATTAGATTTTTTTGTCTGGGAAAAAGGGATTGCTTAAAATTCAACCATCTTGTGTGCCTGGTATACACTTACATTCTAATAAGCACTGTGAGGGGGATCCAGAAATGAAATAGACATAGTCCCTTCTCTTCCAAAAAATGGTAGTAGAAAAGTTACAAATGAGTGTCCTGCATGGAAAAATAAAGGGGGAAAAAAGAACACCCTAAAATATGCATAGTCACTTGGAAATCTACTCTGCTTGTCTCCAAAGTTGTGGGTTTGAAAGATTGACTTCTTGTCTGTAGAATCAGCACCCCAAAATATCAGTGAATTAGCAGCTATTGACCTCCATCTTGGGAACTTTCAGAATTGAATGTTTCATATTCTATTCCCTTGGCAGGTTAAAAAATGCTTTTCTTACTTGATATATTGCATAAGTTAACAGTTTCTGAAAAACGCATGAATCAGCTTATCAGAAATACTCTAAATGCACAGCAAATGCAAAGTCATATTCAAAGAATTCTACTGCAAGAAATTTAGTGCGATGTGATTTAAACATGCCCCTAAAATGTGAGGCTTGAGCTTGGACTTTTCTCTGGGATTAGGAAGACATGATGAGCTTGAAACTGAAAAAGAAAAAAACCATTGATAGTTCTGTTTGCACTCTACCCCATTCTCATGGCCTCTAAGTGCACTTGTTTGTGTTTTGGTTGAACAAGGGAGGTGATTATTTCTTCAGCATGTGACTCTTTCAGTTTCAAGCATACACACAGGCTTTTCTCATCTCTGTGAGGTCACAGAGATATGCCTTTTACATGATAGGTTACTGAGGTTGGGGCTTGGTGCTGTGGGGGTGTACCAGTCAAACCTCCTTTGTCTGCTATGTTGGTTTCAGTTCCTTGCTGGCTGTTGGCTGGAGGCTTCAGTTTCCCTACCACATAGACCTCTCCATAGGGTAGCTCACAACATGGCGGCTGGCTTCCCCCCAGGGAGAGCAATGAGGGATGGGGAAAGAGAGAGAGAGATAGTTTGTGCAAGCAAGCAAGAGAGAGCAAAGGCCAGTGGCAGTCTTTTGTAACCTAATCTCAAAAGTGACATATCACTTCTGCCACATTCTTTTGTCACATAGACCAAACCTACTGTGATGTGGGAGGATACTATCCAGAGGTGTGGATGCCAGGAAGGATCAGTGGTAACCATCAAGACTGGCTACCATAAAATGCTTTTGTTGGTTTGGGAAACTTTCTGGGAAAGCTTTCCTGTTTACGTTGTGTTGGTAAAGTCTTGTTAAGCTTTCAGTCTGATGGTTTTGAATACAGGATTAAATTTGACGAAACTAATAGTTGACAAAGCATCTCAGAGAATGTGAGTTTATAACTGGTTGCTGACACATACATAACATCAATGGTGTGAAGTATGGATATAATGCATGTACACTTAAAAATAACTTTGTATAGTGAGCCAAGATCGTGCCACTGCCCTCCAGCCTGGACAACAGCGAGACTCTGTCTCAAAAAACAAACAAACAAACAAACAAACAAAAAAAATGCTTTGTATACCCAGATACTTTCTGTAAGTTTTAGTATATGAGATTTAGACTTACCTAGTCTTTACTCTTTCAAAGTTGTTAGATTTTTTTTTCTCTTGAATTGTCTTCAGTTGGCTGTAATTTTATGCAAGTATAAATATGCAAACAGCCTACCTATACTGAAAGTACCTTAGTTTAACTCATTTGATGGACTTTAACTGTTTGGGACTCCAGTGTTCAATAGTGCTTTGTACAGCAGAAGGAAGTATGTGTGGTAATAGGTCCTGACATCATACCACATTCCATTAGCTACTTATTCTTTTATTAATTAACATCCTTTGGCATATGGTATATTGATGGGCTGTGAAAGAAGCAGAGAGGTTGAGAAATAATATTTAACTAACTTGGACACTAAGCAAAACCTTGTTTTTGTGCAAAAGAATGCTCCATGCCTTAAGGGAAGAAGATGGAATGTGTTCCAGTGATTAAATAAATCATGTTGAGCTTGATTTTTGTTTCCTTGTTTTATCCTTCAAGGTACTAGGAGATTGGCATCTTGGAGGAACACAAATAGAGATTTCAGGTGACAGGGAGGGGCTTCTGGATTTGATACCTCATATATAAGGTGAAGTGATAATATGAGTGGTTTTTTTTTGTTTGTTTGTTTGTTTTTTGAGACAAGGTCTCACTATATCACCCAGTGATATAATGGAGTGTAGTGGCGTGATCTCAGCTCACTGCAGCCTCGACTTCTGGGCTCAGGCAATTCTCCCACCTCAACATCCTGAGTAGCTGGGACCACAGGCACATGCCACTATGCCCAGCTAATTTTTTCTGTACTTTTTAGTAGACATAGGGTTTCACCATGTTGCCCAAGCTGGTCTTGAACTCCTGAGCTCAAGCAGTCTGCCAGGCTTGGCCTCCCAAAGTGCTGGAACTACAGGTATGAGCCACTGTGCGTGGCCTGATAATATGAATTTAACCAAGTGTGTATGATAGATTATCACAGTTTCTTTAAGGAGGTACTCTGTCCAGCCCTTGGAGTCATTGGCAAGGATGACTCCAGGTTTTTGGAACTCTTTAGGAAAAATAATACACAATTACATATATAAATAAGGTATGAAAATAAATATTTATTTCGAATGAGAAAAGAAGCAACAAATAATTTATTTAAAATCTATTAATTACCACACACATCATGAATCCAGAAAAAAAGTCACGATAGCTTTTACCTCCACACATTTAAGAAAGCTTTTCTCTTTTACCACCCACAAACTTTTGGTACTGGGCACTGTGGGACAACTTTCTATCACAACATGACTTCAGGCCTTGTATCTTCACATCTCAACACTGGGTGAATTGGCACTGTGGGTGCTAGGACTATTCCTGAAGTTATTAATTGGGGATGACTAGTGATAACTGCACACAGAAGTCACTGCAAACCCCATAAACATATCACACTCAAACCCAGCCAGGGGATCCCCAACTCAACATCCCCTATCAGATACTGAAAATGCACATGGCCACTCTGGCTCCTTCCAACATGAGGGGAAGTGTGTTGGAGGCCAAGTCAGAGTGAAAGGGGACAATAGTCTCTGTCCATGCTAATAGAAAGATCTTGCTTTTAGAAGTTTTACAATAACGTGACAACAAGAACACATAGGTAGGGCCCTTTTCAGGGTCTGTGTAAAGTGAAGAGCCATGAAATTTAAATGCCATTAGCTTTACTGGAAATCCATTTCTGATCCTTGGACTCAAAATCGCTATTCTGAGACATGCTGACTGGCCCAGACAAGCTGATCACATTTTGCCTTTAACTTAAGTGTTAACCCTTATGACCAGAATCGGTGACCCTAGAGCTGTGAAAAGTTCAGCTGTCTTTGTATCCCTGCTCAGCTGACCTGGATTCAGTATACTTTTCTTTGTTAAATTCATCATTTAGGTTCTGTGTTTTGGAAAATGAAATTTTGGTATTGATAGAATATGGCCAGGGTTGGCTATGATATCACTTTCTTTCTGCCTCTTCCCCAATGGGCAGTGAACCTTGAAAGGCAGTGAGGAATGCTAATTCAGGCCTTGTTTATTGTCATTGTACACCCATGGAGTGCTAAATTGCAGATCTAAATGTATGGCTAATCTTCTATGCTATGTGTTAGATTAGTGAGGATGATAATTAGTTGAAATTAGGAAAATAGAACCTAAGACAGGAAAGTGATACCCTGGAAAATCAGAGTCCTCAGAGTTCTACTTGTCCTGTTGTTACTGGCCAATTCTTGCACAGTTCTACCCAGGGTGGGTGCAATACAAAAGTCGTTATGCTTAAGAGTACTTTTGTTTTTCCTCTGGAGGCAGAATTGAAACAACTGACTTCTTCTCAATGTAGACAAGAACTACGCATGGGCAGAAAGTGAAATCATTAGCTTTCTATAGATCTTGGGTAATATAAGCTTTAAGCTTATGAATTTTAAAAAGCAGGCTTGACTCATCTCTGCCTCCCATGATAAACATTTTCTACTAAGTCCACGTGTGTTAAACATGCTTCTTGCAATGTAATGGGTATCCAAGGTTAGATTTTAGTTTAATCCATCAAACACGTCCATAAGCATAAGGAATTCTGTGTTGCACTCACCCTAGGAAAAACTGTGCAAGAATCAGCCAGTCCCAACAGGACAAGTAGAACTGTGAGAAATCTAGTTTTTCAGGCTATCACATTCCTGTCTTACTTTCCATTTTTCTAATTTTAACTAATTTCATCCTCTAACACATAGCATGAAAGCTTAGCCATTCGTTTAGATCTGCAGTTCAGATTCCCGCCTGGTTTTTTTTTCAGTCTCCTCCTCCTCCTTCCTTTTATTAATCAATTCCTTGGTGAACAAAAATCTAGTCTTTCTAGTCCAAATTTGAATTTTCACTCTATGTTGGCAAGATTTTCTTATCTATCCTGGTGAGAGATTTCGGCAAAAGTCAGACCGCCTGCTGCCTGAAACACCTGACTGAACTTGGAAGGTAAAATAGGTAACATGTGACCAATTTAATCAGTAGGCAGGATGATGTTTTTGTTTTCCTTTCCTCTTCTCTTCTTTCAAGCCCTTATGTGCTATATAACCCCAAATAAAATCATGCACAACTTATGTATATGTTTAATTCAAAAGCATTCTGTGTAAAGATAAAACTGAAATTTCATCTTAAATAGATCTATTCATTCAGTGCTTTGGAGGCCAGCCAGGAATGAACTCCAAATGTGAGACTCTGCAACAGCAACCAAAAGCACATGCTCCATGTGACTTAAACCTATATTTTCAAATGGCCGATAGAACAAGTTTCAAATGCTTTCAAGCTGCGACTAGGCTCATGTGGAGAGATAAACAGAGGCCCCAAACTGTGGGCTGAATATATAAGTCATCAAAGCAATTTTAAAATCAATTCAGCGTTTGACAAGGAGCCAATATGGTTCCCTTGTGATTAGAATGACATGCTCAGGCTACTACTGTGGGTAAAATTCTGACAGCAGTGTTTTGTACATGTTGGAACCTATGAAAGATCCCCCTCCTGCCTCCCCGCTCCAAGGAAAACGATAATGAAGCATTACAATGGTGTATCTGTGAGATCACTAACACATGGGCGCCATTTGACTATGAGGGCATTGATGAAATTCTAGTGACTGGGCAAAAGAGCCCAAGACCCGAGTTTATGGTATGGCCTCAACCACATTTATAAAAACAAACAAAACAATCATCTCTGAATCTAGAGATAATTGAAAACATGCTTCTTCTAAGGATAAGGAGTGTTTTTTTGTGTTTGTGGAGAATCAGGACAGAGGGAGAATGGCAGTGACTGAAACACTATAATGGGCCCTCACGTTTGTTCATTTTCACAAGGGAAAATAAAAAAGAACTTGCTAATCAGAGGCCCATTTGCCACTGATAGTTTTCTTCTTTATATAAGTTCCAGTTTTAAGTCCCTTTTTCTTATCCTAAGAAGTTCTCTTGGCTCCTCAATGTGTAGAGAAGACCTGGTGGAAAGTGGGGTTCACTGTACTTTCATTTTATAGCCTAACTTCAATCATTGTTTATTTTATTTTTTTCTTCACTTTGGAAGTGATTACCTTGATTTCTTTTTTTTTTTTTTTTTTTTTCTTTTTGAGATGGAGTTTTGCTCTTGTTGCCCAGGCTGGAGTGAAATGGAGCAATCCCAGCTCACTACAACTTCCACCTCCTAGGTTCAAGCAATTCTCCTGCCTCAGCCTCCTGAGTAGCTGGGATTACAGACATGCACCACCTCGCCTGGCTAATTTTGTATTTTTAGTAGAGATGGGGTTTCTCCATGTTGGTCAGGCTGGTCTTGAACTACCAGCCTCAGGTGATCCACCCACCTCGGCCTCCCAAAGTGCTGGGATTACAGGCGTGAGCCACTGTGCCTGGCCTACCTCGATTTCTTGTTGGTAAATCAGAAGAGATAAATGTCCCACAGCTGCGATTTTGATGGTAAGCTCCTATCTCATTGTAACAGGCTCAAGGCCAAATTTTCTCCTTGGCCTTCATGTCCCCATTCTTTCAACCTCAGACTCATCACCTGCTTGTGCACTTTTGCCACCATCTGGCACTGCCAGTGTGCCAGCCTCCTTCTCTTTTTCTCCGTAAAGTACTCCAGTCACAGAAGGCTTAGTTGCTTCTGTCCTGCCCTGGCCCACGTCTCTGGTCCTCATGCTCCAAGGAGAGCAGGTAACAGGGGTAAGGGATCCGTACATATCAGGCACACAATAGGAACATTGTTCATTGTTCAGCTCAGCTTCTCCTGTTGATTCAGTGCACTGAACAATCCTGTACCTGGATCAATAATAAATAATATTGCTAAAGATGCTGGAGCAAAGCCCAGGCGAAACTGTACTGAATGAAGCTCACAAACATGGTTTAGCTGGTTCCCTGGGAAACATTCTTGGGAGAGGCAAAGTTATGGAAAACTACTCTTGTTTTTCCAAGAATATGTGGTACAGGCTTGTGACAACCTTTAAGGGGGAAAAAATATCTCCACAGTCACATCAGGTCAATCTCCTGTTAAACATCCAAACTCGTTTTCATGACCCTGAATGAGCTGCCCAGCTTTCTGAGCTCATCTGCAGGTACTTTCTTTACCTTCTCTTTAAGTTCTAGACATACAAATATCCACACTTTACTGTTCCCTCTGCCTAGAACACTCTTCCCATGTATTTCATCTTCTTCTTATCACCCAGTTTTTAGATTAATTATTACCTCCTTGGTTGTTTCACTTCTTACTCCATTTTTGCTCCTTAGCAATTACACCTATGTGAATTCATGTGTTATTTTAGTCATTTATTTATGTTTGTCTTCCCAGTAGAATAAGCTCTGGTGAGGCAGGAAGCTTATTTACAACTGTATCCTCAACATCTAAAACAATGCCTGGTGTGTGGGAGACACTCAGTAAATAGTTGTGGGATGAAAAATGCATAGGTGCTCATGGAATGACACAACTGTAGACCTTTCTCAAGGTGGTCTTCCTACAGAAGTATTTTTTTCTTTGAAACAGAATCTTGCTCTGTCACCCAGGCTGCAGTGCAATGGCGCTATCTCGGCTCACTGCAACCTCTGCCTCCTGGGTTCAAACAATTCTCCTGTCTCATTCTCCTGAGTAGCTGGGATTACAGGCACCCACCGTGATGCTAATTTTTTCATTTCACGTTGGCCAGGCTGGTCTTGAACTCATGACCTCAGGTCATCCCCCCCACCTGCCTTGGCCTCCCAAAATGCTTGGATTACAGGCATGAGCCACCGTGCCCAGCCCAGAAGTATTTCTTTGAAAAAAATAAGTGCCCTATCTGATCATAAATTCAGCTTCTGATGCAGTACCATGGAGTTGTATGAAATTTAGCAAATGCTTACTAAGACCCGACTTGGACAAACTATAACTGAAGGCAACATGGAGGATCTATAGCTAATCGAGAAATTATGCCTATTATCAGGGACCTGAGACTTTGCTGAGAGTAGTGCTACCTCTTTGTGGGGGGAGTTTGACAAAACAAGACAAAATGAAGTGAAAGCTAAACAGAGACCCAGAAATCCAGCATTTATCCTTTTTCCCTTCTGTTCATACTCAGGTTCACCAAATTTGAGGTTTCTACTTCCTTAGTATTTTTTGAGTCTCTTCACCAATCTTTGCACCCACTGCTGTATCTGTGGTTTTGTTTTAGCCTCATAATAAGTTCCCCTGCCTCCACCCTAAACTGGCTCTCATCTTTTCTCCACACTGTTACTGTAATGGAATTTCTTTTTCTTTTTTTTTTTTTTAAATACTTGAGGGGATGGATACCCCATTTTTAAATTATTATTATTATACTGTAAGTTCTGGGATACATGCGCAGAATATGCAGGTTTGTTACATAGGTATACGTGTGCCATGGTGGTTTGCTGCACCCATCAGCCTGTCATCTACATTAGGTATTTCTCCTAATGCTATCCTTCCCCTTGCCCTTCACCCCACAACAGGCCCTGGTGTGTGATGTTTCCCTCCCTGTGTCCATATGTTCTCATTGTTCAACTCCCACTATGAGTGAGAACATACGATGTTTGGATTTCTGTTCCTGTGTTAGTTTGCTGAGAATGATGGTTTCCAGCTTCATCCCTGTCCCTTGCAAAGGACATGAATTCATTCATTTTTTTCTTTCTTTCCCAGACAGAGTCTCTCTCTGTTGCCCAGGCTGGAGTGCAGTGGTGCGATCTCAGCTCACTGCAACCTCCACCTCCCGGGCTCAAGCAATTCTCCTGCCTCAGCCTCCAGAGTAGCTAGGATTACAGGCGTGCACCACAATGCCCAGCTAATTTTTGTATTTTTAGTAGAGATGGGGTTTCACCATGTTGGCCAGGCTGGTCTCAAACTCCTGACCTCATGATCTGCCCACCTCGGCCTCCCAAAGTGCTGGGATTACAGGCATGAGCCACCATGCCCAGCTGAATTTATTCTTTTTTATGGCTGCATAGTATTCCATGGTGTATATGTAACACATTTTCTTTATCCAGTCTATGATTGAAGGGCATTTGGGTTGGTTCCAAGTCTTTGCTATTGTGAATAGTACTGCAATAAACATACGTGTGCATGTGTCTTCATAGTGGAATGATTTATAATCCTTTGGGTATATACCCAGTAATGGGATTGCTGGGTCAAATGGTATTTCTGGTTCTAGATCCTTGAGGAATCGCCACACTGTCTTCCACAATAGTTGAACTAATTTACACTCCCACCATCTGTGTAAAAGTGTTCTTATTTCTCTACATCCTTTCCAGCATCTGTTGTTTCCTGACTTTTTAATGATCGCCATGCTAACAGGTGTGAGATGGTATCTCATTGTGGTTTTGATTTGCATTTCTCTAATGACCAGTGATGATGAGCTTTTCTTCATGTTTGTTGGCTGCTTCAATGTCTTCTTTTAAGAGTGTCTGTTCATACCCTTCGTCCACTTTTTGATGGGGTTGTTTGTTTTCCTCTTGTAAATTTGTTTAAGTTCCTTGTAGATTCTGGATATTAGCCCTTTGTCAGATGGATAGATTGTAAAAATTTTCTCCCATTCTGCAGGTTGCCTGTTCACTCTGATGATAGTTGCTTTTGCTGTGCAGAGGTCTTTAGTTTAGTTAGATCCCATTTGTCAATTTTGGCTTTTGTTGCCATTGCTTTTGGTGTTTTAGTCATGAAGTATTTGCCCATGCCTATGTCCTGCATTGCCTAGATTTTCTTCTACGGTTTTTATGGTTTTAGGTCTTAATTTAAATCTTTAATCCATCTTGAGTTAATTTTTGTGTAAGGTGTAAGGAAGGGGTCCAGTTTCAGGTCCTAGCCAGTTTTCCCAACTGTAATGGAACTTCTAAGCTCAAATTTTCAGCATGTCATTCCCCTGCTTAAACCTTTCATAGATTCCCCACTGACCTCAAGATAAGGGCCACGTTCTGAAACATAGCCTGCAAGGTCTTGCCTGACCTGGCCTTGGCCAGCCTGTCCAGGTTGATCCCTACCATGCCCCACCTTTCATGCTACGAAGCAGCCACAAAGTTAAATATTCCTTTCTCTAAGTGGCCCATGATCTCACTGGCCATATGGCTGTTCGACAGGTAAGTCCCTCGGCCTGGAGCTCTCACTCATGTCAGGACTTAGCTTTCATGTCTTGTTCTCTGGGTCATGCTCCCATTCCCACACCCCAGGCTCCCACAGCCATCCACTTTTAGAGCATTCACGACTCTGATTGCTCTTTGTGTGTGTGTTTTCTCTCATTACACCAAAACTTCCTTGATTATAGGGACAGCATCTAGTTGAAAAGAGAAGAAAAAAAGAGCAAAAAAAATTATAAATGAATGACCCAATAAGGAAATACAACTAATACACTGTTGGTTTTCCAAGGAGGAGATCATTTAAGGCATCCTGGAAAAATGATGTTTTATCTGAGCTTTGAAGTATGACAAAAGGCTTTCACAACCAGGGAGTAAGTGTGAAGTATTTGAGGCTGAGGAGAATGGCAAGAGGTTAGGCATGGCTGGAAACCTGTCAAGGACAATAAGACCAAGAAAATAGGGGAAAGCTCAATCATTGAGGGCTTCTGATCCTGTACTATGGAGTCGAGACTTATTCTGCAGGCCACAGGGAGTTGGGATTGTTTCTGTGTAAGGGTGTGACAAGAACCAACTTATGGACTAGAAAGAACAATCTAGCAACAAGGCGAAAGAGGCATTGCAGAAGTGAGAGACTGGAGGTAGTGAAGCCAGTTGGAGACCATGCCAACAATCCAGGTGAGCGATGAGGAGGCTCTGGGCTGAGGCAGAGGTGGGGTGGGGCTTGGGTAGGTGGGGGAAGACATTGTGGAATGAGAACAGGCAGCATTTACCATGATCAGCTAGAAGGATGGTGAGGCAGACGTGCAATGGGACTGACAAGCTGTGTGTCCCAAACAATAGTCCAATCTCTTGGGTACTGCTCAGCGTGCATTGGGAGGAGAGTGTTCCACACTGCATTGCCATTTAAAAGGACATTCCAAAAATGTAGCCCATTCCATGAAGGGCAAGAAAGCAGCCTGGATACCTCGGTCAGTGAGACATGGATTGAAGAATGCGATGTTGTTTAGTTTGGCAAATACATGCAGAAGTGAGGGGAGATGTCATAGCGGCCTTCATATATTTGAAACTGTCCCATAAAAGAGATATTAGGCATGTCCAGAGGGCAAAACTCAGGCCAAGAGTGAGCTGGAATGGAAAGAAAAACATATTTTGGCTCCATACAAGGGAGATCTTTCTAACGTGTAGAGCTGTAGGCTACTTTGTCAACTAAACAGCTCACCTGCACTAATGGCCACACAGAGGGCAAGGGACCCTGTTGGGACACATAGAAAGGGGTTTCTGGGGTAAGATGGGACGTGAGACTGAGGTCCTGTAACCCTGGAGACTTTAGTTTCCTTCCATTGCTATCCTAATTCACTCCATGTTTTTAATCACAAACATAGTATTAAGAAGAAATACTGTGACCAGGAAATCTTGACAGGGAAGAGGAATTGTATCGCGAGGACAGTTCTGCTGCCAGGGGAGAAAAAGTTTATTCAGTGCCCTCTGGGACACTTGCTGACCTCTGCTCTCCTGTTCACCTCCCACCTCTTCTACGGAAACAATGGGATTTTCCTCTGGGTTAATATGACCCAAAGGGGCTGGCTGTTCTGGTCCCAGCCACATGACAGTTGGGAAGTCCCCACTTATTAAACACTGACTTCCTCGTTTCTTCGGTGTTTTCAGACATGGGGCAAGGCAAATTCAGTGTCTGGGCCTCTGCCTATAAGAATTCTGTTTCCCTTGCTATGCTGTTTCTCATCTCCACTTTCTCTTTCTCTACTCAACTAACTAATCAGCTAACTTTCTCTTTCTCTTTGATCATAGGGCTTTGTCAGTCAGTGATAAACTAGAAATATTCCTTTTCAGGGATTTAGAGACCAGGGACTATGCCAAGTTCTTAATAACTATATCAATGATCAATATTTCATAATTTATGTAATTAGAGAACATATTTTTCTATTGATTTTTATGGCCAGGCCTCAAAACAACCTATGAGGTGAAGAATCTGAAGCTTAGAGAGATTCAGCCAGTTTCTCAAAATCTCCTAGCTGTAAGAGACAGAGTTGAGGATCTGTGGTCTGACTTCAGAGCCTGGACCTTCAATCAGTAATCGATGCTACCTCTTTGTCTGGAATAGGCCTTCAGACAAGAGTAACTCACAGACAGGTGGTCCTCAAACTTCCACCCTCTCTTCAGACTGCAAACTCCCTGGGCACAGGGACAAGTCTCACCATGAGGCTAAGAGCCCTAATAATTGCATTGTCCAATACATAGAATGAAACAAATGAATAATTTTAATAATGTTTGTATGTTGAAATGATAATATTTTAGATATGTTGGATTGAAAGGTATTAGATTTGATTTTACCCAGTTCTTCTTACTTTTAAATATGTGGCTATTGGAAGTCTGGCAATTACATATGTGGTCCTCATTGGCTTCTGCTGGACAGCACTGCTTTAGAAGATGGAGGCCATGCCTTTTCTCTGAGACCAGCTGAAGCGTTCTGTTAAGGAGCTGGCAAAGGGAGGATGCCAGAGAAAAAGCTGGAAACTAAATCCTGCAGAGTCCCTAAATGAGACGAGATCTCACAAGACTAAAGCTGGCACTTTACCATGACACCTCGTTCTTCGTTCCTTTCCTCCCTAGACTCTGAGGTTTTTGATGGTTGTTGCTTTCTTGCTTGTTTGTTTATTTTTGAGAAAACGACCACATGCTCACAGGCAGGTCCCCCGGCCTCTGGCCTGCACCAGAAAGCCTTCTGTGAGGCTGAGAGCACAGCCACCCTCCTCTCCCCTGCTCTTTGTTAACATGTTTTTCCCCATTCTGCACTGCCCAGGGCTGAGAGCTGTGTGGGAGGCTGATACACAAAAGGCACAAAAGCATCCCTGGAAATATAGTGAGAAGGGGACATTTATATTGACCAGAATTCCTTTTAGGGTGAGAATCGTTTTGTTTGAAATGTAGGAATAATTTGATACTGTGCTTTGTGTGGTGGGGTGTAAAGACCCCTAGGTCCTAGTGGTTACTAAATTGCTTTCTAAAAGTGGCGATTTGGTTCATTGTAGGGCTTTCCTTCTGCTGAGTTGAGTGTGCAAGTTTGAAGCAAGAGATGAACTGCTTGGGGCAAACAGAGAGGTAGAAAACTGCCACAGGGATTCTATTCTCCTCTTAATTTACTAAGCATGTGTTCTTTTGTCAATATTTTAATGAATATTGATTGGACAAGAAAGCAAATAATTAGACTCTGGGACACTCACATATCTTAGCCTGGCGCTGGCATGCTCTGATGAAAAGCATTTTCCCTATAGCTGCTTTTACAGTCTTACCTGGTTTAGTGAAGATTGTGTCTGTGTCCAGTGATGTTCAAAGCGATGGCAGGGCTGCACATGTGCATGATGCACGCTTTAACACATCCTCTCTGGGAAAGCAAGGCAGGGGGCACTTTTTTAAACCAGAGTATTGATTTCTAAGATGTAATAAATAGACCTATTGTACTCATGAGGAATGCCAACAAATACATCTTGAAATGAAGATGTGAGGCTACCACAAAAACGGAAGAGATGGGGGAAGGCCAAGGAGATATTTGCTTAAACTACAATCATCCAGTCAATGTGAAAAAAAAACAAAAACAACAACAACAAAACCCTTCCTCAATCTTATCTCTCTCTTCCACTCAATCCCAAGAACCATAAATAGGTTATATTCCTTTTCATAACCCAAAAGCAGCACCATCTTTAATTCTTTTCTGATAATCCCTCCTTACCCTCCCCTAACACTTTAGACAGTATTCTGTATCCAGTGGATACAGGTTAAATAAATATAAGTTACTGACAGGAGACTTCTTAGCAGGGCCTGGCCATAAAGTGCCTTCATGACCAGTCCTCATCGTCTGGACTCCCATGATTGAGTAAGAGAGGCTCTCTGTCCAGAAACTGAGCATGACTTGAGCAAGCCTGTGGGCATTTGCCATTTTTCTGAGCCTAAAACTGCAGCACCTGATTCTGCACATGGTCCAGGCAGAGATAGATTGCCCAAACAGTGGGATCTGGCTCTTTCAGTTGTGGCTGGAGATTGCGTGAGACATGGCAGCTCCAAACTTCTGGGCTGCTTGGTACCCAAGGAAATTGGGGATTGATGAGTTTGCTGAGCTGTGAGAAGTTGTTTTGAACTTTTCTAAGGGAGCTAAAAGACATAGAGTCACATTTCTCCTCGGGGTACCTGGGCACCAGCCCAATAGTCTTACAGTGACCTCTTCCACACACTTTGGGTGGTTTGTTCTCTGGAGATGCCCATTCCCATGTTCTGTATGTGGGAAGTCAGGAAAAAGTCAAGAAAGATGCATTTCTTCCAAAAATTGTCATTGACTAATTCTATTCTCCTGAGGATAGTAGCAGCAATTGCTAGTAATATGTAATAGTCATATTAGCAAACACTTAATTGAAGCTTGCTGTGTGCTAGGTACTATTCTAGGCACATTGCACACACTAAGTATTTAATCCTCACAACAATTCTCAGAAGTAGGTGCCATTATTGTCCCCACCTTATAGATGTGAAAACAGAGGCACAGAGAGGTTAAATAATTTGTCTAAGATCACACATTTGATACATTCAGATTTAATCAGAGTTTGGATTCTTAATTTTACACTAGATTGCCTTTCAGTGTGTATTCATTCACTGTTACATATGTTTGTTTGCTCATATCACAGTGCGGGGAGTATATCAGGTAGAATTTACTGGCCAAATTCATCTTAGACACCAAAAAAATTGAGCCCTAGGCATAGGCTTTCACATCTCTGCAAAGCACTCGGCCACCTAGTAATGCTTTGTAGACATTTTCCCTGGAAGGCTGACTGATGTGCAGCAGGTACACATGTGATGTTGGTGGCACTCGTGTGGTAGTAAATTGAGTGGACCACATTTTTATCGTGTGGTCTATTTGGCTCTGAATGTGTTGTTGTGGCCTCTGACACAAGTTTTATTTTACGTGATCTAAATGCGAATTCTGAAGTTTCGATTTTGAGAAAAGAAAGGAACCTTAAAACATACTGGACTCAAATGCCATAATAGTCCTATGCAGACTGTGGAGGGCTCCACAAGGCAGGCTGAGGGAGGGAGAGGGTTAGAGAAGGAAGGAGGCAATGAGGGACACACAGGAAACAGGGGCCACCAAGAAACAGGCAGCAATTTGTTATCAAGCAGTCTAGAGTTTCTCATAGAGAGAGAAAAATGAATTCGGGCAACTATTTCTTGGGTAGGAAGATCATTCAGAAAGCCTGTCAAATCCAAGGAAGTCATGGAAATGGTTGTGGTTTACTGTTTGTGATAGTGAACAACATAGATCTAATTACTTTATTTAGAGTTAGCATTAAGGTTTAGATGTACTGTGTGTGTCTGTGTCTGTGTGTAAAAAAAAAAAAATGTTCGTAAGGCTGGGGGATTATGCCAAAGGAATAAACTGAACAGAATCTCTCTATCTCTCTCCTCAACTCCTCTCTCCCCTTAAGTCTTAGAAATAAGAGAAAAAAAATATAAAAATATACATGTTAAAGTAAATTTTTTTTTTTTTTTTTTTTTTTTTTGGTGAGACAGAGATGTACTCTTGTTGCCCAGGCTGGAGTGCAATGGCATGATCTTGGCTCACCGCATCCTCCACCTCCCAGGTTCAAGCGATTCTCCTGCCTGAGCCTCCTGAGTAGCTGGGATTACAGGCATGTGCCACCACGCCTGGCTAATTTTGTATTTTTAGTAGAGACGGGGTTTTGCCGTGTTGCCCAGGCTGATCTCGAACTCCTGACCTCAGGTGATCCGCCCACCTCCCAAGGTGCTGGGATTACAGGCGTGAGCCACTGTGCCCGGCCGTTAAATTAAAATGGAGACTAGGCCTGAAGAATTCCTGAGCAGACAAAACCAGTGAGGCCTCAAAAGTGACCTCAACTTTGCTTGATTTGCAAACGTAAGCAAAACTTAATGAGCTTTTTCTTGTAAATGCCTATTAAAGAAAAATAAATCTTAAGCTCAACCAATCAGACACAGCCAACAAACTTACAATTACATAACTACAGACTTTCCAATAAGATAGACCAAATAAGACAACTGTGTAACTGTAACCAATCAAACGTCTGCTTTGCTTTACTTCTACAGTTGTCCTATAAAAGTCTTCCCCTTATGCTCTCTCTGTGGAGCCCCTCAATCATTTTTTGGTTGGAGCTGCCCAATTCGCGAATCATTGTTTGCTCAAATAAACTCTTTAAAATTTTATTGTGCCTCCATTTACTTGTTAATATATGTCAAGAGAAAGTATAGCCGTAGTGGAGCAGAAATTATGAGGAACCTCTGAAAGCTGGAGGTAGATGAGATCACATTGAAGGAAGAATCTACAGCCTGAAACAGATTTAGGAGGAGGGGATGGAGGAGGGGATGACAGCCCAGGAAGAGTGCTGAACTGAAGGCGGAGGAGAAGGGGAACAGCAGGGGCCTGGTTGGGAGTTGCTTGCTGTTAAGATCTCCTGGAGGTGAGCCTCTTCCCTCTTCTAGGTAGTTGCTGCAAATCTGGGAGCCTGGGCAGTGCCCGGGGTGGTTGGGGAGGCCCGTGTGGAAGCATGAGCCCTGTGCCCAGGACTCCAGGGTGGTAACTGGAGGTGGGCTGTGATCAGAGACAGGCTAAAAGGAAATGGCCAATAAAATGATAACCTCACAACCCAAAATCACCATACCTTAGAGGATAACACCCATCATGGAAGATAGATAACATCCAAAAAAAAGAGTATCTGAAGAGACATGATTAATATAGCAACCAAGAGGAAACTTTAAAATATGTATACCTAGCATTTGCAGAGCACTGAGAGAATTGTGTTCCATACCACATCCATCCACCCGTTATTCAAATAGAAAGGTAAATTAAGACATTTTATAACAACAAAAACACTTAAAAACATACCATTTGTGAACCACGCAATAATTAATACAGAACACACTTCAGCAATATTAAAAATGAGCTTCAAAGATATGGAAAACAAACAGCAGTACTGAGCAAAGAAAGCATAATTTATAACTGAGAATTATTTAAAACACAATAAAATTTCGAACTAAAATCTCATATAATTTCAACATTGTGGGAGCTCAGAGGTCAGAGGAGGAGACAGGAAGTTACAAGTACTCATTAAAGCTAGGCTTCAATAATTTAAACATAAGTTTTTCATAAATTTGACATACATTGAAATATGTCTTAAAATTTTTAGTATAACTACTAGAAAAGCAGAAATAAGAGGAATAACCACCAACCAATTAAGGAAAAATGTGGAATAAATATAATATGTAAAAGAAATATAATCAATCCAAAAAATTTGTCAAACGGTAAAATAAGAGTCAATAACAAAGCATGGTAAATATAATACACACAAAAATGATGACTGGGACAAGTACAAAGTATGAGAAATAAATGTAAATGGTTTAAATGACTCCACATGAAACAAAGAAACACAGCTTTGAAAAATGAATACCAGATATATGTTTTTTATGAGTGACACATAAAATGGAATGACTCAAGAAAGGTGAAAATATATGGATGGGTAGAGACATTCTAAGCAAATACTAATAACAATAATGATAACAAAGGCTATTATAACATATTAATATTAGAGAAAATAGAACTCAATATTAAGATTATTTAAAGGGAAAAAACAATATATTTCATGTTGATAAAAGGTTCAATTCAACAAGAAATGTATTCGTTACAAGATGTTATGTACACCATAGTTTCAAATTTCCTAAGGCAGAAATCACTAAAAATGTGAGAAAATGTACATTAACATTGTAATCTGCGAATTTACGTGCTTGTTTTAAAAACTGATGCATTAAGTAAGCAAAATTTAAAATAAAACTATAGAAAATTTGAATAAAAATTATCAAACCTGATTTGCTTGAGAGCTATTATGATCAGAAGTTGGTTATATGGGGCTATTTACGGGATGAAAACAACATTTTGTTTAATAACCTTTCGTATATCATCACTTCCTTCTGTCCTTCCTTCATTTCCTTTCCCCTCCCTCCCTCCTTTCCTTACTTCCTTCTTTCCTTCCCTTCCTTCCCTTCCTTCCTCCCTCCCTCCCATTCCTCCCTCCCTCTTTCCTTCCTTCCTTCCTTCCTTCCTTCCTTCCTTCCTTCCTTCCTTCCTTCCTTCCTTATCAGTCATCCATGTATCTATCTACCTATCTATCTATCTATCTATCTATCTATCTATCTATCTATCTTCTATCAATCCCTATTTTATTTATGGTAAATGATTCAAACAGTACAAAGGAGAGTGAAGAAAAAGCCTCATTTCTTCCGTCTCCCTCAGTTCCCCAGTTCTCCACTCCAAATGCAGCCACCATTTTCAGTTTTCATATCATTCCAAGTAATGTGTGCCAACATAAGTTTGTACCAGTATGTGTGTATGTATGTATGTATGTTTGTATGTGTGTCTATCTAGGAATAGATATTTGCTTTTTAAAATATTTGTACTTGAACATATGTGTTTTCCTATGCGAATAAATATTTTTGCACAGCATTATTTTAAAGTTTTAAGCAGGGTTCTATTGTAAGAATGAATCTTTTTTTGTTTTTTTTTTTTGAGATGGAGTCTCATTCTGTTGTCCAGGCTGGAGTGTAGTGGCATGATCTCGGCTTACTGCAACCTCTGCCTCCCGGGTTCAAGCGATTCTCCCACCTCAGCTTCCCGAGTAGCTGGGGTTACAGGCACCCGCCACCACGGCTGGCTGATTTTTGTAGTTTTGGTAGAGACAGGGTTTCACTATGTTGGTAAGGCTGGTCTTGAACTCCTGACCTCAGGTGGTCTGCCCGCCTTGGCCTCTCAAAGTGCTGGGATTACAGGCGTGAGCCACCACACCCTGCCAAGAATGTATCATTTTTATAGGTACTTATGAGTAATGTGTCTATGACAATTCTTACACATACTTTGGTGATCAATTTGTAAAAGTAGAATCAAATGTGGATCAACATAAAGGAACATTTGTAAGACTTTTGAATAGATGTCACCAAGTTGTTTTCTGGAATGTGTTTCTTAAATTTTCATTGTGAATTTAACATAGAGTACTCAGACACTAGTCCAAGTCTATATTTAATAAGTGAGTAAAGTCTTAGCTAAGAAATTTGATAGTGATGATCTGATTGTTGAGGAATACTAAACCAGTTTCAAGTTGAAGAGCCAGGCCTTTTTTTTTCTGTGTATTCAAATCTATCAGCCCAAAGTTGCTATAGCCAAGACAAAGCTTTATTCATGTATGCTTCTTGTCAGAAGATGGCTAAACTTGAGGGTGGAAGGTGATGGGAGATCAACAAAGAATTCAGTATTTCTTGGCTTCTTTGGAAGTTCAGCTTTAAATATATTCTGTACTTCCTAATAGGATGAATAGAAATGTTCCTGAGAGGGAATGACAATATGACGAAATTTTGTTTTGGGAAGGTATACAACTTTTAAAATTGTATAAAGTAAGAAGGCAACCACAACCTGTTTCATAACATAAAACACCAAATTTAGGATTGACCATGGGACTATGTTAATTGTTCCAAAAAAAAAAAAAACCAAAAAAGAGTACCTTAACATATTGACAATGAAAGGGCTTCATATAAAAATGAATTTAGAATTTGGAAGCACTACTTATTATATCAGCATCTTGAAAATTAATAGTTAACATATTAATGGCTCTGAGAAATCCAATAAAACACTTCCTTAAATTCATTTTACTCAGCATTTTTGAAATCTATTTAACCAATAACCAATTCCCCTTTTAAAAACATGTGACACCTGGCCAGGCATGTTGGCTCACGCCTGTAATCCCAGCACTTTGGGAGGCCGAGGCGTGTGGATCATGAGGTCAGGGGTTCACGACCAGCCAGGCCAAGATGGTGAAACCCCGTCTCTACTAAAAATACAAAAAAAATTAGCTGGGTGTGGTGGCAGGTGCCTATAATCCCAGCTACTCGGGAGGCTGAGGCAGAGAATTGCTTCAGCCTGGGAGGCAGAGGTAGCAGTGAGCCAAGATCGTGCCACTGCACTCCAGCCTGGGCAACAGAGCGAGACTCTGTCTCAAAAAAAACAAAACAAAAACAAAAACAAAAACCATGTGACACCTATTAGATACCCTCAGAATTGGTTTTCTGGAGAATATATTTTTAATAATGCTGGCCCACAATATGGTGGATTCATCAAGATAATACCAAAATAATTTGTTGGTACAATTTCCTACTAGTTATATCAAAATTATTGAATATCAAGACTGCTATTTTGGGACCTGTCATTTAGCTAAGTCATGGAAATGAATCATGCTGAATTAGATGCCGTCAACTTCTCAGGTCTATGCTGACAACATCTTAATACTTTATTACGATCAGCTAGTCCCTCTAATTACAAGAGATGTTAAAGAAGTTCTATAATTTTCTTCAGACATCTGTAGACAGATAAAGAATACATGACTTAGCAACACTGTTGTGTAGATTTCCCATTTCCACATGCACTCTGATCAAAGTCTGTCAATATCCATTTATTCTCAAAAAAACAAGTTGAAGCAGGTAGGAAGATTGCTAAGAGAAGGAAGATGAAGCCACTGTCGAATAAAGCAAAACACAATTTGCTGCCCCACCTCCTAGAGATCATCTATTAGTGCGACATCAGGTTGTATTACCTGATGAATAATGGCTGACAGATCCCTTAATTCTGCCCACCAGTAATTAATAGGAACTACCTTAATTATACATCATTCTTTTAAAAATTATAAATAGCATAGATCAATCTTCTTTTTACTTCACCTACTACTTGTGTCTTACTTCAAGTTCTTTATTGTGGTATAAATTATTTCTGTTAAAAAGACTAAAAGTGAAGCTTATATTTTGTTTTATTAATTTCGTATTATTATTTTTGCTTTTGATTGCAAATTGATGTATACTGCTTATAAAGAATTCAAACAATCAGAAACATCTAAATTAAAAAGTAAATTCTCATCCCTCCCCTAACCCTGCTATCCAAGGCGTAATCTATGTTAGTAGCTTGATATGAATACTTCTAGATGTGTACAAACAAATATTTATATGTTTTATACATTAATGATTATATATTTTTTATTTTTACAAAAATCTTAAACTACCAATTATGTTCCTAGAACTTGCTTTTTCCCTCATTAACAATATTTTAAACACCATTCTATTTTAGTATATATACATCTCCATTGTTCATTTTATGGCTGCTTAATAATTCAATGTATGTATATATTAACATTTGTTTTACCGGTCTTTAATATATGGATAATTATATATGTTCTTTTCCTTTTTCTTTTCTTAAGGAACAATGCACAGTATACATCATTTAACAATGCAATTGAATCTTAGTCAATTCTAAAATCAACATACAAGGCAACAATCCCTAGAAGTGAAATTAAGTCATGAATTAATTAAAAACAGTATTTAGTTTAACATGTATAGTACAAACCGGCACAGTCATATGTATGTAAACATGTATAATATATAGAGGAATGTATATTACATAATAAATTCATATAAATACATAATTTAAAGTGTTTTCATTATATAAAAGAGAAAATGTGCAATCAAGTTCTTTCAGGTGGATATTTTTGCTTGTTTGTTTGTTTGAGATGGAGTCTCGCTCTGTCACCCAGGCTGGAGTGCGGTGGCGCAATCTCGGCTCACTGCAACCTCCACCTCCCAGGTTCAAACGATTCTCCTGCCTCAGCCTCCTGAATAGCTGGGATTACAGACATGTGTCACCACGCCTGGCTAGCTTTTGTATTTTTAGTAGAGACAGGGTTTCACCATGTTGGTCAGGCTGGTCTCACACTCCTGACCTTGTGATCCATTCGCCTCTGCCTCCCAAAGTGCTGGGATTACAGGCATGAGCCACTGCGCCTGGCTAAGGTGAAGATTTTATTGTACATAGGTCTTTGTACACTTGTGCGAGAACTCAAGATTTTCTACATGATTTTTCAGCCAGGATTATTTTTATTAATATGCACATTTGATCATGTCACTTCCCTGAGTAAAACTATTAATTGGCTTTCAGCAGAACTCAGATAATACCTCAGATCCCTAAAAAGGTCCACATGCCTCTGCCCAATCGCCATTGCCTATCTCTTGAGCTTCATCTTGAAATACCCTCCCCATTTCTCAGTGGTCTTGGGCCACCCTAGTCTTCAATGTATTGAATGTGCCCTTGCATATGCTCTTCTCTTTGCCTGGAAGATTCCTTTTTCCACAGATTCTTGGGTAATCCTTCATGACTCCCAAACTCATAATACACATTTGGTACCTCTTTTATTAATTCTCATTTCAGGCACTGTTTTTTATTAGAATACTTACCATAATTTAAGAAAATGTATATATGTTGATTTATTCAACAACCTATATAATCTCTTCCATGAGACTGTAAGCACCCTAAAGTGTTCACCACCATCTCCTCAGCCCCTAGCACATCATAGGTACTCGGTAAATAGTGATAATGAAGCACACACACCCTTTCAAAGCACTTCATAAAACTCCTCTCAGTGCTACATTTGTGAACATATTTAATCCTCATTGCCAAAACTATAAGTTGGCATTACTATTATCCCCATTTTGCAGAGAAGGCAATGGAAACATGGAGATGGTAAAGTCATTTGGCCAAGGTCATGTGGGTAGTAAGTGGCAGCACTGGGATTTGAATATAAGTAGTGAGTCTGGCTCCAGCATCTCTGCTCTTAACCACTGCAGCAAGGTCTCAATATTTTTAATATGAGAACTCTAATACACACCAGTAGAGAATACCCCAGAAGCCCGGTGCCAAGGCTCATGCCCGTAATCCCAGCACTTTAGGAGGCTGACACAGGTGGATCACTTGATGTCAGGAGTTTGAGACCAGCCTGGCCAACATGGTGAAACCCTGTTTCTATTAAAAATACAAAAATTAGTTGGGCGTGGTAGTGCATGCCTGTAATCCCAGCTACTCAGGAGGCTGAGGCAAAAGAATCGCTTGAACCTGGGAGGTGGAGGTTGCAGTGAGCCGAGATCGTGCCACTGCACTCCAGCCTGGGCGACAAAGCGAGACTCCGTCTCAAGGAAAAAAAAAAAAAAAGAATACCCCAGAACAAAAGCGCACCAACTGCCCACAATTGTTATTTTGTTCAAAGTGTTATTTATGAGTCTAAGATGTATTTGTTCTAAGTTTATTTTTGAGATGTTTTATCGCTAATCGTTAACTTTACCATGTTCAATAAATGAAAAACAGCGAAGATATTAAGAAATACTATGGGTCTATTTATTATAAAAAAAGATTGAGTTTAAAAAAAAATTAAAAGATCTGAGAAAAAAATGATTGTGGTATCACTTTGGACTGCCAGATTTCCATCCAGAAAGACTGTATTGATTTTCTATTCTCCATGGTTCATGAAAGTGCCCTTTCCCCACACTCTCCCAAACACTGAATATGATTTGTCTTTTTCATTTTTGTCATTTTGATGAATGTTTCAAAGGAAGATGGCAGTCTTTGGTTAAATAAGTATTGAGCACTTGGTAAATGCTTGGTATCAAAGCACTTGGTGAGTGCCTTCCTGCTAAGAGCTTCCTGTCGAACAACTTTTGCATAAATCATCTTATGGAGGCTCCACAACATTGTGCATGGGGGGAGGAGGGTAGTTATTGGCATTATATTTTAAAGATAAGGAGTCAGAGGATAGGGACTTGAGTGGCTTTCCCAGAGTTACACAGAGGTCTCTAACTCTCTAGTCCTTTCTATCTGTGTACAGCATGTAGTGCACATTGAGCAATTTTAGAGTTTGATTCGCCAAGTACTTACTGTATTCTTAGTTTTGTGTTAGGTGCAATGTTTGATAATAAAGAAGTATAATACTTGGTTTCTACCCTTAAGAAACATGTATTTCAATTATATATGCTAGCCGAACACTTAGGACTTAGAGGCAAATAGCGTAGAACAACGAATGATTAAATACTTAGCTGTGTAGTAGAGACCACAAGTAACATATCATCTGCAAGATGTTTTGAGTGCCATTATATGCAGGATACTAAAGTAAGCCTTGGAGGGAACCAAGAGATGAGAGGTAAGATGTATGTAATCAAGAAAGCTATAGGCAGATAGAGGTCAGTGATGGCTGCAGAGGCAAAATCTGATGATATCGTGAAGAATGAGTGGAATTTAAATAGACGAAGGTGTGGTTCTTTCCTAAGAGGTCCACAAGATGAGTGAATGTATAAGGTTAGGAATAAATGTAACCTATTTCAGAGACTGACATTTTCTTTCATTATGAAAAATGATCCCACAAATAAAATCACCTTGCTCTATCAGAAAATTTAATAGATAGCTGGAAGTAATTAATGAAACAGCATGTAATCGCTATGTGGTAGAGCAATCAGAAATCGTATAGCAGTATTCACTAATAAGGTAATTTAAACTCATTTTCAAGGATGAGAAGAATGAACTCTGAAGGACTGCTTGATATGATTCCACTTGGCCTCAACAACATACTGAGTGTTCTGCTACCCCAAAGCATATGGTGCATATTTATAGGGTTCCATATGAAAGCATACATAAATTAAGCCTGCAAATTTGACCTTAAATAAGCAATTTGCTCTGAAACCTGAAAGTCTTCTAAACCCAAACTCTGTGCGTCTAATTATCTGCCACAAACACAGAATTATGAAAGATGAATTCTGTAAACAGAAAAAGAGCTAACCAATCTCCTTTAACAAGTTGATTTTTTAAAGACTTGTGTAAAAACATGTAAGAGTCTACAGTTCAGAGCCAGCAATCTTCTGTCTCACAGACTCATTGCAATATATCAAAAGAAATTTCTAGATAGTCCCTTTTGACCACCTAGGGAGAGGAAGTGGTCTGCCTTTTTAAGCTTGCTATCTAAATTGTGGACAATTTTCTTAACCTTGTATATAAAATGAGGATAATAATACCATCTATTCCATAGAGTTGTTGCACAAATTAGAGAATATTTAATGTATAGAGATTTCCACAATGACTACATACAGTAGACACCAACTGAAAAATACTTACAGTTGTTGTTATTATTTCTGTTTTTAAGATCATTAATTAAATTTGAGAAAACAGGCTGGGTGCAGTGGCTCATGCCTTTAATCCTAGCACTTTGGGAGGCTGAGGCGGGTGGATCACCTGAGGTCAGGAATTCGAGACCAGCCTGGCCACCATGGTGATACCCTGTCTTTCCTAAAAATACAAAAATGAGCCAGGCATGATGGTGCGTGCCTGTAATCCCAGCTACTCAGGAGGCTGAGGCAGGAGAATCACTTGAATTTGGGAGGCAGAGGTTGCGGTGAGCCGAGATTGCACCATTTGTACTCCAGCCTGGCCAATGAAGAGTGAAACTCCACCTAAAAAAAAAAGAAAGAAAGAAAAGAAAAAGAAAGAAAGAAAAAAAAATTGAGAAAACAAGGAACCCCTTGGGGAAAAGGGAAAGTACCTAACATTTTCCTGGTGCCTGTTACGTGGTCAGTGGCTCATATGCTTTATGAATATCATCTCAGTTTTTTAGCTGCAAAGGAGCGTTTTACCCATATGCAAGGGCTGAGCCTATGTGTATTACTTACATAAAATAAGGGTTTTTAGCAAAACAAGGAGACATCTTGTTAACATTAAAACATGCAATCCATTTCTGCTATTATTTTAACCCTAATTTGAAATAATAGACTTTGACCTAATGTTACAGATTTCAGAGAATAATGGAAAACTCCAGTCTTTCTAAATTTCCTAGGCTGGCCATAAACTGTAAGATCAAGTTGTTTTTATGACCGTAGCTTGTATAAATATAGCCAAGTTATTTTGGAAGTCTCTAAAATGTTATTATTTAAGCAAGTCTTTAGGATGTTGCCCTTGAGAGAAAGATTTGCTTTTTGCTTGTATTAGAAATTGTAGTTCTCTGATGGCTTTCTGTGATTAGCACTTGTTGGACACTTAAAGCATTTCTTATCAGGAAGATATAATTGGATCTCCTACGATTTTGCATCTTCAAATGTATCTCTGAATGGCCACCCGAGAAAGCATTTAGCAGAAACACTTGTTAATGGATTTTTTTCTTATCCCAGGTTTACTTCTAATGCAATAATAATCACATATATTTCCAAAGTGCTTTTTATTCTCAAATACAAATACAGCAGAGCTCCTTACAAACTAAATGTAATTCTGAAATCTTGTGTTCCATCTCACCATCAGCTCTCTCTGGAGTAGGACATAGGCACAGCAACAAGGAAAGAGGGGAATTCAGAGACGGTTCCAGGATAAGACAAGACTGGGAGCATTGAGCCCACTCGAAATTGTTTTGTGTTGGAAATGCTAACCTCTTGGCCTTCAAGCTGAATGCAAATTCGTCCTCCAGGAATTAGTCATTCTGTTCTGGGCTGTAGTTCATGCTTTTCTCCCACTCTCTTTTGTGTCGCACTCATGAAGATCCCTTGCAACTGAAGCCAGGAGACAGTTTTTAGTTAAAAAGAGGAGTGAAAATTGTGCTGAAAAAGAAAAAAAAAAACGCAGTGGAATCAGCAGCTTTGATACAGAAATATAAATATTGCTTTGTTGATTTCAGTTTTTTGATGAGGGACACATATGCCCTTTTCCTTTTCCTCTCCTGATTTCCAAAACCATAAATTATTAACTTTGCCTGTTTTAAAAACTTTGCTTAAAATTATGTTTGTGATTCATCCAAGTTTTGGATATAGTAACATCTGTGCATTTACATTGTTAGTAGTATTATATTGTATAAATGTACCACAATTTATTTTACACACACACACACACACACACACACCCTTTTTTCACCTAAGGGTGTACGTAAACTATTATGACAACTGAAATACATAAAACAATTTTCATATCAATTAAAATGGTAAGGTCAACCTTAGGTCAGTTTTTTAAACGGCAGAATATTCTGATATTGCAGAATATCTACAAATATGGGTACCTCACAATCAGATTGGGCAGGGGATTCTATCAAAACGGGTTTTTCGCCAGGCGCGGTGGCTCCTGACTGTAATGCCAGCACTTTGGGAGGCTGGGGCGGGTGGATCACCTGAGGTCAGGAGTTCAAGACCAGCCTGACCAAAATGGTGAGACCCATCTCTACTAAAAATGCAAAAAATAGCCGGGTGTGGTGGTGTGCGCCTGTAATCCCAGCTACTCGGGAGGCTGAGGCAGGAGAATTGCTTGAACCCAGGAGGTGGAGGTTGCAGTGAGCAGAGATGGAGCCATTGTACTCCAGCCTGGGCAACAGGAGCAAAACTCCGTCTCGGGGGAAAAAAAATGTGGGGGGTGGTTCTTTTTATGTTTAACTTGAATGTAGAAAAAAAGATATAGAGGAGAATAGCCTAACTCACTGCAGCACACAATGCAGTACCTGGGCAAGTGAGTAACTGGGACTCTCATTTACTAATGTGGGAAAGCAGGGGAACGAGAAGTTCTGGTGCGGGAGGGTACACTAAAGAGGTTTCCTTTGAAAATGTTAGGTTTGGGATACCTATTAGATGTCAAAATGGAAATCTTGAGTAGGTAGTTACACATCAGTGTCTGCAGTGTAGGAGAGGCGAGGGCTAAGATATAAATGTGGGAGTCATTTAGGATTTACATCAAGTCATGAAGTGGATAAAAAGACTTATGGGTGAGTAAACATAGAAAAGAGGAGAAGGCCGGACCCGGTGGCTCAAAACTGTAATCCCAGCACTTTGGGAGGCCGAGGCGGGCGGATCACGTGGTCAGGAGATCGAGACCATCCTGGCTAACACGGTGAAACCCCGCCTCTACTAAAAAATACAAAAAATTAGCCGGGCGTGGTGGCGGGCGCCTGTAGTCCCAGCTACTTGGGAGGGTGAGGCAGGAGAATGGCGTGAACCCGGGAGGCGGAGCTTGCACTGAGCCAAGATTGCGCCACTGCACTCCAGCCTGGGCGACAGAGCAAGACTCCGTCTCAAAAAAAAAAAAAAAAAAAAAGAGGAGAAGAGCCTAAAGACTGAAACTTGGGACACTTCAACATTTAGATATTTGGAGGTGGAGGAAATGCCAGCAAAGGGGACTGAAATATAGCGGCCCTTCAAATTGGAAGAAAACAAGGAGTGTTATCCCGGTAGTTAAGTAAAGAAAATATTTGGGCCGGGCGCGGTGGCTCACGCCTGTAATCCCAGCACTTTGGGAGGCTGGGGTGGGTGGATCACGAGGTCAGGAGATCGAGACCATCCTGGCTAACACGGTGAAACCCCATCTCTATTAAAAATACAAAAAATTAGCCAGGCGTGGTGGCGGGTGCCTGTAGTCCCATCTTCTTGGGAGGCTGAGGCAGGAGAATGGCATGAACCCGGGAGGCGGAGCTTGCAGTGAGCAGAGATTGCGCCACTGCACTCCAGCCTGGGCGACAGAGCGAGACTCCATTTCAAAAAAAAAGAAAATATTTGATGTATAAGGGAGGAAGCAACTGTGTCAAATGTTGAGGAAAGGGTGAGTAAAATGAGCCTGAAAATTGAGCATGGTTTTGAAAAGGTGGAGATCACTGGTGATATCTATGAGTGCTTTTTGTGGAACAGTGAGGACCAGATCGTTATAAGAGTGAGTGGAGGAGAGAATGTGAGTTGAGGAAATGGAGACTCTAAGCATAGACAATTATTTAATGAAGTTTTGATATAAAGGAAGGCAGAGAAATAAGGCAATAGCTGGAAGAGTTCATGGAGTCTGCACTTTTTTTAATGGGAGAAATAAGAAAATGTTTGTATGCTGATAGAACTGATACAGTAGAAAGGGAGAAGATGATAATTTCAGAAAAGATAATGAAAGGAAACAAAATACAGATTTTTAAGATAAACAGAATTAGGAAAGTTTGATGAACTACAATGGACACTAGCCAAAAGAAAATGATATATAAAGCCTTTACTGTATGAAATTAAGAAAATAACAATTTACCCCTCTCAGAAACATTATTTTCTAAAGCATAAACCACGGATCTTGTGTTTTCTTAATGGCCATGTTTGTGCATGTATAAAAGTACAAAACATTTAGAAATTCATGTCCAAGAGATTCTATACCCTGGTATAAACATTTACTCACTTTGTCCATGTTTATTTTCACAATAGTAACCAATAAAACTAAAGATTTTCTAAGTAGCAGGATCACTATAACAAATATTCCATCAAAACAACCAGGGAAAGAAAGCACTTTCAGCTAGCATTTTAGTATTATCCTAACTCTTTTACAAAGCAATTGTGTCATTGGCTAACCATCTCATCAGTTTGAACAACTGTGAAAGTTTACGAAAATTCTTTCCTAGTTGCTTTTTCAGAGAGATACTAGAAGGAATTTGCATGTTTGTGCACACTAGTGTGTGTTCCTCTTTTTCTTTCTTTCTTTTTTTTTTTTTTTTTGGTATAGCCTTTTTCTTTCTGTTTACTTCTGCAATCTTTTATGTTTGTGCTTAGAATAATAGATGTGTTTTCTGAGATTCTTAAATCCTTCCATCAGCATATTTCATAGATTTTCTTGGCTCTGTTGATAAGATAGGAAAAGAACAGTGTAAGCAGCAGATGCTGTTTTTGTTCCATAAATGAAGACAATTAATAAGTTTAATTTTGCATAAAAATGAAAAGAAGCCAGGCACGGTGGCTCATGCCTGCAATCTCAGCACTTTGGGAGGCTGAGGCAGGCAGATCACGAGGTCAGGAGTTTGAGACCAGCCTGACCAATATGGTGAAACCCCATGTCTACTAAAAATACAAAAATTGGGCGTGGTGGCGTGTGCCTGTAATTCCAGGTACTCCAGAGGCTGAGGCAGGAGAATCGCTTGAACCCAGGAGGCAGAGGTTGCAGTGAGCCGAGATCGCGCCACTGCACTCCAGCCTGGGTGACAGAGCAAGACTCCATCTCAAAAAAAAAAAAAAAAAAGAAAAAAGAAAAAGAAAAAAGTATATAAAATGCAAAATGGCTTTTCTCAGCAGTAAATACAGCATATATGATTAGATGTTCTTTTTAAAAACTACACAATGGGCCAGGCGCAGTGGCTCATGCCTGTAATCCCAGGACTTTGGGAGGCTGAGGCGGGCAGATCAGGAGGTCAGGAGATCGAGACCATCCTGGCTAACGCGGTGAAACCCCATCTCTACTAAAAACACAAAAAATTAGCTGGGCGCAGTGGCGGGTGCCTTTTGTCCCAGCTACTCGGGAAGCTGAGGCAGGAGAATGGCATGAACCCGGGAGGCAGAGCTTGCAGTGAGCCAAGATCGCACCACTGCACTCCAGCCTGGGCGACAGAGTGAGACTCCGTCTCAAAAAACAAAAAAACAAAAAACCAAACTACACAGTGAACATCGACTATCTAGACATAGTTTTTGGATTTCTTCTTTTTAGAAAATAGTGTTGCTAAATATTTATATTTCTTGCAATTTTCCCTTTATGACTAAGCTTATTCCTTATGTGCTTGGTGTAACAAACATAATTCTTGTACTTCACATTTTTGAACAGTAGTGTGTATTGTGGAGAACCTTCTAGGTTTTAAAGCCTTTTTAATGCTTTGTCTCATTTGAACTTTTTTTGTGGCATGAGCATGGCAACTGCTACTTTAAAAACTAGGCTGAGGCTTATAAAGAGTAAGTGGCTTGCCTAGCAGCTCAGCTAAGTCTGAAACCTAAGCATTCTGACTGCCAACCTCATGAGCCTTTCATTTGCCAAACTGCCTCTCCAGCCATGTTTGTTTCCATTTTAAACCCATCACAATTTCTGAAAATCAGACCTAATGTTCCCCTTTGCATTTGCTGGGCTGGCTTTTGGTATACTACAATTTTATACCTTTGGAAACTTTGAAGATTTTTAAAAAAATACTTCCTTTAATTTTGCTATCAATATCTTTTCCATAATGTGTTTAAAAATATTTATTGTAGGCCGGGCGCGGTGGCTCACGCTTGTAATCCCAGCACTTTGGGAGGCCGAGGCGGGTGGATCACGAGGTCAGGAGATCGAGACCACGGTGAAACCCCATCTCTACTAAAAATAAAAAAAAAAAAATTAGCCGGGCGTGGTGGCGGGCGCCTGTAGTCCCAGCTACTCGGAGAGGCTGAGGCAGGAGAATGGCGTGAACCCGGGAGGCGGAGCTTGCAGTGAGCCGAGACTGTGCCACTGCACTCCAGCCTGGGTGACAGAGCGAGACTCCGTCTCAAAAAAAAAAAAAAAAAAAAAAAAAATTTATTGTACATGTAACATGGGCCAGGCATTGTTCCAGCTTGTGGAAACAACATGGAAAAAAAGATATAGGACCTTGGTTCTCAGAGAATCTGCAATCTAATTACAGAGCTTATTATGTTAGGGTGGGTTACCAAATGTCTTCCTTCTTGGGTCAGTTGGAGGGAGATTTCTGGAGAGCAGCCTTTTTGGGGATTTGTGCTATATACCTGAAATCATTGAGTTGACTTGATCAATGGTTCAGATGAAGCCCTTTCAATTTTCTGAGAAGATATACAATTGCAATAATTAGAAAATGAGTTTTAGGTTGCCAATAGTGAAAGACATGGATGGGATTATTCCTGAACAGCTCAAGAACCAGGATGTTGAAGAGTCTTAAACAAACCATGTGAAAAGCATTTCTACTCACAGATTCTGCTAGACCAAGATATGATACAGGCCAGGCATGGTGGCTCATGCCTGTCATCCCAGCACTTTGGGAGGCCGAGTTCAGCGGATCACCTGAGGTCAGGAGTTCGAGACCAGCCTGGCCAACATGGTGAAACCCTATCTCTATTAAGAATACATAAATTAGTCAGGTATGGTGGCACACGCCTGAAGTCCCAGCTATTCGGGAGGCTGAGGAAGGAGAATCGCTTGAACCCAGTGGGTGGAGGTTGCAGTGAACCAAGATTGTACCACTGCACTTCAGCTTGGGAAACAGAGTGAGTCTCAGTCTCAAAAACAAAACAAAACCAAGGAGTCTCGCTCTGTCGCCCAGGCTGGAGTGCAGTGGCGCGATCTCGGCTCACTGCAAGCTCTGCCTCCCGGGTTCATGCCATTCTCCTGCCTCAGCCTCCCGAGTAGCTGGGACAAAAGGCGCCCGCCACCATGCTCGGCTAATTTTTTGTATTTTTAGTAGAGATGGGGTTTCACCGTGTTAGCCAGGATGATCTCAATTTCCTGACCTCGTGATCCGCCCAACCTGGCCTCCCAAAGTGCTGGGATTACAGGCGTGAGCCACTGCACCCAGCCCCGATACAATACGTTCTTTAACACTGGGTAATATTTATTGAGTGTCAGGTTTGTGGAGAATGTTTTGTAAGAATAATTTCCTATAATTCTTAGAGGTAGGCATTATCATCATCATTCCCATTTTAAAATTGAGAAATGGAGCTTTAGAGAGAAGCTTTATGTAATTTGTCTAGGAAGTATCAAAGCTATAATGTAAACCTAGGATGTCTAGTTCCTTAGCTTTGCTTTAATCACTGTGCAATATACCTACTCCTGAAAAATACTTGAATCCCATTATTGTCAACTAGTTGAAGGTTAGAAATGCACAGTAGCTCTGGTTTTTCCAAGAAACTTGGAAAAGAGAGAATAAGCAACATCAGTGTATGGTCGAGAGTCCTAGCCTCCTTGTGTTTTTACAATTGTGATGTCTCTGCATGGCCCAGCATTTCAGGAACTATCCATTGAAAAGCTCTGAAAACCAAAAACAAGTTCATTTGCAAGTTTTCATAATTATACATGGCTGTGACCTAATTCTTCCTTTTGCTTTGTGTTTGACTAATATGTATTAGTCACATCTAACCTCCAGTTTCTGCTCCCCTACCCAGCCCCCAATTTGTTAGGGAAGGGTAAAATTCTGATTTTTGCCTGCCCAGACTTTGAGTTTGGAAGCTAACTTAAAATCTTACAGAATCTCTCTTAGCTTTCTCTATATCCCTCAAGCAATCCATGAATGAAAACAATGAGCACTGTGCTTTTCTTTTTGTTTTGTTTTTTTGTTTTTTTGTTTTTTTTTTTTTTGAGATGAAGTTTCACTCTTGTTGCCCAGGCTGGAGTGCAATGGCAAGATCTCAGCTCACTGCAACCACTGCCTCCTGGGTTCAAGTAATTCTCCTGCCTCAGCCTCCCGAGAAGCTGGGATTTACAGGCATGCACCATCATGCCCGACTAATTTTCATGTTTTTAGTAGAGATGGGTTTCACCATGTTGGCCAGGCTGGTCTCAAACTCCTGACCTCAGGTGATCTGCCTGCTTCGGCCTCTCAAAGTGCTGGGATGACAGGCATGAGCCACTGCACCCGGCATGCACTGTGATTTTCATATGGAACACTGGGCAAGTGTGGCTTTGGTGAATTGTATGAGACATTTTACCTACATAATCTCATTCATGTTTTTGGCCTTTTCTATCCTTTGAACAGGGTCTAATTGGCCTACGGTGATATATTATGTAATAAATCCCTGTAAAAGGACACTTTTTCATAGAAATTCAGTCATGTTTAAAAATGCTTCATAAATCATGGAGCACAAAACTTATTGCATTTGCAGCTCTTGAACACAAGTGTAGCGTGATTTCTATTTGTCAGCATCTTGTTCAAGGTAAACTGGGCCAGTAACAAGTATGAGCTTGAAGGATTTAAATAATGGAATTAACTGACTTTGTTGTATTTCTCTATTTGACCTCAATAAACACAAAATATATATTTTCCCCTCATGTTTATAAAGCATATACAAGATTTAATTACATACTTGGCCTACAAAAAGCTTTAATATTATTTCCCCAAAGTAGAACACTTGTACAACATATTCTCCTACCAAAAAACCAAAATATTGAATTTCTACAGTAAACAAAATAATAAAAATCTACTTCAAATAAAAAAACCTCTTCTAAATGACTCTTGAATCGAGAGGAAACAAACGAACAAAAACAACGGAGATTACAAATGCTTTAGCAATTAATGTAAATGAGCCCTCTTCATTGAGAAATCTCCATAATGCGAATAGAGCCCCAGTCAGAGTAAGCTTCATGACTTTAACCTTTCTATTTTAATAAAATGAATCAGAGACTTAGTTCAGGGAACAACCTAGGAAACTTAGAAAAAAGAACAAAATAAATTGCAGGTGAAAGCGAGAAATAAATAAAAGATGGAAATTACTATATATATATTTAAAAACCTATCAAAGAGACTTTAAAGAACACTGGACTTATCAATAAAACCAAAACTGTTTTTTTTTTTTTAAACAAAAATACTTAATGGATAGGCTTGCCAGATAAAATACTATACGCCTAGTAAAATTTAAATTTTAGGCTGGGCGCAGTGGCTCACGCCTGTAATCCCAGCACTCTGGGAGGCCGAGGCAGGCACATCACCTGAGGTCAGGTATTTGAAACCAGCCTGGCCAAAGTGGTGAAACTGTCTCTACTAAAAATACAAAAAATTAGCCGGGCGTGGTGGTGCATGCCTGTAATCCCAGCTACTCAGGAGGATGAGGCAGTGAGAGAAGAGAGACAGACCTTCTCATATTGTTTTATATTGTTTTATACTCAGAAAAGGAAAGAGAAGCAAAACTAAAGGTGCCTAGGATTCAGACCCGAAACCAAGGAATCAGACCTGAAACCAGGCCTGGGCCTGCCTGACCTAAGCCTAGTAGTTAAAATTCGACCCCTGACCTAGCAACTGATGTTATCTATAGATTATAGAAAGACATTGTAAAACTTCCCAGTCTGTTCTGGGAACTTTTCTGAAACAGTTTCTGAAACAGAACTGTTTCACTCTGACCACCGGTGCATGCAGCCCCTGTCACATACCCCCTGCTTGCTCAATTGATCATGACCTCCTCATGCGGACTCCCTTAGAGTTGTGAGCCCTTAAAAGGGACAGGAATTGCTCACCTGGGGAGCTCGGCTCTTGAGACAGGAGTCCTGCCGATGCTACCGGCCGATAAACCTCTTCCTTCTTTAACTCGGTGTCTGAGGAGAAAAGAATAGTTATCATCTTTGGAAAAAAAAAAAAAAGGGAGGGTGGAATTTATATAAAAAGAATGTTATATGGTAAATTATTGTCCTGAAATATATTAACTGGTTGTTTAAAGAAAGAAATGTTTGTAATAAGTCAGAAAGTTAAGGCATGTCGAAAAATTGCCTGTAAAAGTCGTGAAAAGAAAAAGTTATAAAAAAAAGTGTGTTAAAAAGAAAGAATTTATGCAAGAAATGTATAATTTAAAAGTAATTAGGCCTCCTAAATGTAAAACTATTGAAGAGACAGTTTATGTGCAAGGTGTATAAGGAAAGTAAAGTATATATTTGGTAAAAGGATTATAAGGAGGCATAAGAATGTGGATTTTTACCTACATTAAAAGGTTAAAAATATGTGTATTTTGTTTTAAAGGTTTAAGGAAGTTTTAAAACATTAATTGTGTGTAAATTCTGTGTGTAAACATATTAGCTAAAGTTAAAGAAGTATCATCCAGTTTTTCTGTAAACCGGACATTAAATAAAAGCATAACAGGTTTTTCTTAAAGCACCAACCTGTTCTTTAACAAAAATTATAAATGGTTAAAAAGAGTCTAAAACATCTTACCTTATAGTCAAACATTAAAAATTAGATAAATATGTCTACAAGATTTTATTAAAATTAAGTTTAACATTAATAACACACTAATATAAAGATAAAATTTAGCTTATCTGGTATAAAAATCATACAAAAAGCATTATTAAATATAAAATGGTTTTTAGCTCTCTTTGGTCTAAAGGCTAATAAAAATAGGTGCTAAAGGAAATTTCTCAGTAAAAAGGCACTAAGGACTATAAAGTCCACTGCCAAGGTCCCCACATTCAAAACAAAAGGTCGATTTCTTAGAAATTATATACTTGGTTTACCTTCCACTTTCCTTTCCCTCAAAACTAAAAGTCTTTTAGCACATGTACTACCCTTAGAATTTCCGGTAAACCAGCAGCAGCCTGAAGATCACGTTCTCATCGAAAGGTGGAAAGAAGAAAAACTCCAGTCAGCCTGGGAAGGACCCTACCTTGCGCTGCTAACCACCAAGACTGCTGTTCGTACAGCAAAAAAGGATGGACTCTTCACATCCGAGTCAAGAAAGTGCCACCCCCTCCAGACTCGTAGGCCGTAGTCCCAGAGGAAAACTCTACCAAACTAAAGCTAAGAAAAATCTAACTATTTTCATCTATTCTATTACTCGTTCTTCTTTTCGCGCTCTATTGCTGACCATCTAGTTATTAACATAACCAAGTCAATTTCGCCTCAAACTGTTGCATTTAATGCTTGCCTTGTTATAGCCTGTGAGGACTTGCCAAGTCAAAGACAGCTGTCTACTTCAGAAAAGTACTTCTGTCCCTCCTGACTCTCCTCAGACTGGGCATTAGTAAACTAAGGCCATTTAATCCAGGGAGATTTCAATAAAGGCCCCAGTGCCAACCAGGAGTCTTGCCCCCTGAGGCAGAGCTTTCATGCCATAGTTGGTCCAACATTCTGTGGACCACTAAAGAACAAGGATGGACTGCCCCAACTGGTTTTTGTAATTTCCTAAAATCATACATTCATTTTTCTAAAAGATCATAGAAGTTAAAGACTTAAGACAAACTTTAGCAATTAAGACAAGATACCAAGATGCAAATGCCTGGTTAAAATGGATCAAATATTCCATCTGCACGTTAAATAAAAGCAATTGTTATGCTTGTACACATGGCAGGCCAGAGGCCCAGATTGTCCCTCTTCCACTAAGGTGGTCCTCCAGTCGACCAGGCGTAGGCTTCATGGTAGCCCTTTTCCAGGATTTTACAGCCTGGAGTAATAATTCATGCCAAGCTCTCTCTGCTATATCCTGAAGTCCGGCACCCTGCAGGTCAGCCCCCGAGGGCCATCCAGCTTCCATCTCCCAACACTAAGTTCACTTCGTGTCTCTCACAACAGGGAGGAAACAGCATTCCTTGGAGACCTGAAAGGATGCGATGAGGCCCCTGTTCATCCCTGAGCGGATGTGTGGTGGTATTATGGTGGACCTTTACTACGCACTCTGCTGAATAACTAGAGTGGGACTTGTGCTTTAGTCCATTTGGCTATCCCTTTCACCCTGGCATTTCATCAACCAGAAGGAGAAAATATAAAACATCGTAAAGCGAGAGAAGCCCCTTATAGGTCTTTCAACTCTTACATCTATTTAGATGCAATTGGAGGCCTGCAAGGAATACCAGATCAATTTAAAGCTTGAAATCAAATAGCTACAAGATTTAAGTCAATATTTCAGTAGGTGACAGTTAATAAAAATGTAGATTAAATAAACTACATCTATTACAACCAACAGCAACAAGCTTTTCATGAGTTAAAAGAAAAACTCAGGTTGGCCCCAGCCCTAGGGCTAGCTGATCTGACAAAACTTTTTACACAGTATGTGTTGAAAAAAGGAAAAAAAAAAAATGGCAGTTGGAGTTTTAACCCAGACTGTAGGGCCCTGGCCAAGGCCAGTGGCCTATCTCTCAAAACAGCTAGACAAGGTTTCCAAAGGCTGGCCCCCATGTCTAAAGGCCCTGGCAGCAATGGCCCTGTTAGCACAAGAAGCAGATAAGCTAACTCTTAGGCAAAACTGAAACATAAAGTCCCCCCATGCTGTGGTGACTTTAATAAATACCAAAGGACATCATTAGCTAACGAATGCTACTAGATACCAAAGCTTGTTCTATAAAAATCCCTGCATAACCATTGAAGTTTGCAACACCCTAAACCCCACCACCTTGCTCCCGGTATCACCCAGCCCAGTTGTACATAACTGTTTAGAGATATTGGACTCAGTTTATTCTAGCAGGCCCAACCTCTGAGACCATCCTTGAACATCAGTAGACTGTGAGCTGTACATGGACAGGAACAGCTTCGCCAACCCTTGCAAAGTGACTCTAAAGATGACAAGCCCGGCTCCAGTCACACCCGGAAGCTGACTGGTCCACGCACAGCCCAAGCATGAAAAAACTCATCGCAGGACTCATTTTCCTTAACTTTTAGACTTGTACAGTAAGGACTTCAACTGACCTTCCTCAGACTGAAGGCTGTTCCCAGTATATAAATCAAGTCACTAAAGTGGCACGAAAGGTTGCTATGGTCCTATTATTTTATGGTTATTATAAGTGTGCTGAAACTCTAAAAAAAAACTTGTTTGTATAATGTTATTCTATACAAGGTATGTAGCCCAGGAAATGACCAACCTGATGTGTGTTATGACCCATCTGAGCCTCCCATGACCACAGTTTTTAAAATAAGATTAAGGACTGAGGACTGGTGGAGGCTCATAAAGGATACAAGTAAAGTGTTAGCCAAAATAGACAAACAAAAAGGTGCCCAAATGAGTCACCTTAAAATTCGATGCCTGTGCTCTCTTATTATTAATAATAAGTTAAAAATAGGATGAGGTTCTCTTAATTAAGAAAGAGGTTATATGACAGAAAATAAGTACATTTATCATAAATTAAGACTGTGTAAAAATAAATGTAGATACTGGTCTTGTGTCATTTAGGCTACTTAGATGAAAAAAATGAAAAACTCCTGTCCACCTTCAGCAAAGGAAAAGTGGCCCTTCCTGTACCAGTAGCCAGTGTAACCCCTTAGAACTAGTAATAACCAACCCCCTTAATCCTCGCTAAAAAAAGAGGAATGTGTAACCCTAGAAATTGATGGAGCTGGACTGGATCTTCAAATAAATATCATAGTTTGAAGAAAAGTTTACAAACGCTCTCCTGAGCCAGTATTTCAAACCTTCTATGATGAACTGAATGTGCCAGTACCAGAAATTCCAGGAAAAACAAGAAATTTGTTTTTGCAATTAGCCAAGCATATAGCCCAGTCTCTCAGTGTCACTTTGTATTATATATCAGCACAAGTGTACTATATGAATCATTATCAATCTATTGCACAGAAAGACATAAGTAGCAGAAATAAGAGTGAGAACTCCCGCTAATAAAAAGTGAGAGTCTCAAAGGGGAAATGAGAGAAGAGAGACAGACCCTCTCATTTTGTTTTATACTCAGAGAAGGAAAGAGAAGCAAAACTAAAGGCAGGTAGCCCAGCGCCCAGGAACCAGACCTGAAACCAAGGAACCAGACCTGAAACCAGGCCTGGGCCTGCCTGACCTAAGCCTGGTAGTTAAAATTCGACCTCTGACCTAGCAACTGATATTATCTATAGATTATAGAAAGACATTGTAAAACTTCCCGGTCTGTTTTGTTTCACTCTGACCACTGGTGCATGCAGCCCCTGTCACGTACCCCCTGCTTGCTCAATTGATCATGAACCTCTCAAGCGGACCCCCTTAGAGTTGTGAACCCTTAAAAGGGACAGGAATTGCTCACTCGGGGAGCTCGGCTTTTGAGACAGGAGTCCTGCCGGTGCTCCCGGCCGAATAAACCTCTTCCTTCTTTAACTCAGTGTCTGAGGAGTTTTGTCTGCGGCTTGTCCTGCTACAGCAGGAGAATCGCTTGAAACTGGGAGATGGAGGGTTGCAGTGAGCCAAGATCATGCCGCTGCACTCCAGCCTGGGCGAGAGTAGAGTTTCTGTCTCAAAAAAAAAAAAAAAAAATTTCAGATAAACAATAAATTCTTTTTTAGTGTAAGTATATAAAATCGTTACCTTGTGTATAATTATTATACAAATTATTATTCATTTTTATCTGAAATTCAAGTTTAACTAAATTTCCCATATTGTTATTTGCTAAATCTGGCAATGCTGTTAATGGAAGGGAGTATTATTTAAAAGTTTAAAACTTGAGACGATGGAATCTAGATGAACTTTGTAAGAAAGTCAAAATTACATGAGTTGCATCAAGAGATGACAAAAAACAAAAGCTAAACAAAGAATTTAGTACTGCAGAAACAAAAAAGAATGTTAAGTATCTGTTATAAAAAGAGTACTAGGAATTCTGTTTTCATCTTTGGAAGAGTAACAAGAACCAGACTTAACTTTCTGCAGTGAAACTGGACAAAATATATGGAACAACTATTTTTAGATATTCGGCAACAGGCAGTGCACACCATGATCCCTGAGAGAAGGGAATGAATGAGGTAAGCCCTAAGATCTTCTTGGCTGAATGCTTGAAGTGATTTTCAGACATAGGCAAAGGTAGAGGAAACTTACTCAAAGACTTGATGAGTTGTGAAGATGTAGGTTGGAGGTGGGAATGTAGACATGGCCAGAAATTGCAAAGCATAGTTCTAGAAATGAAAGACCTGCATAGAAACAAAAGCTGCAAAACCTGTATAGGGTTTACTAGAGGCCTTGCTGAGGATGCATAGAGTGAAACTCCAAAAAATAGGGGTGCGGGAGGGAGGAAGACTGAGAAGTTGTATGCTGACCGATTCCCTCAGTACATGTAGAATGACTATAGGTGCAGACATCTTGAATGGCATGTACATTAAAATTGTATAAAGAAATACTTCCTCCTTAAGTGGAATTTATTCTATGAAAGCAAGGATGCTTTAAATTATTTTGACAAATAGAGCATGATCAAATGGTATATATTCAAGGAATGAAAGCATACTACATTAGCACATCTATCAATTTAGCCAATATTGATGGAAGCTCAAAAACAAATAGGAAAAGATAAAAAATTCCTAAGTATAAAAAATAGTACTTTTAGACATAAACAACAACTATCATATTAAATTCAGAGAAGAAGGATCGGATGCTCTCTTCATCTTTTTCTTTTTCTTTTTTTTTTTTGTTCTTTTTTTTTTTTTTTTTTTTGAGGTGGAGTCTCACTCCGTTGCCCAGGCTAGAGTGCAGTGGGATAATCTTGGCTCACTGCAACCTCCATACCCCAGGTTCAAGTGATTCTTGTGTCTCAGCCTCCCTAGTAGCTGGGATTACAGGTACCCACCACCATGCCTGGCTAATTTTTGTATTTGTAGTAGAGATAGGGTTTTGCTATTACGGCTAGGCTGGTTTCGAACTCCAGACCTCAAGTGATCTATCCCTCTCAGCCTCCCAAAGTGCTGGAATTACAGGCATGAGTCACTGCACCCGGCCGCTCTTGTCAACTTTTTCACACTGTTCTGAAGATTCTTTCTAGTTAATGCAATCAGACAATATATAAATGGCATCTGCATTAGAAAATATAAAATTATTATTATATAAGCAGCAAAAATGACCACATGCCTACAAATTAAATAGATCTAAACAAAATAGTATTCAAAGTAATACTAGAACTCACAAAAGTATTTGGAAGCAAAATGAATACATAGAAGTAGTTTATTTATGTCAGCAGTAGATAGTTAACATTAGTTTAAAAAATCTCAATGATATCAACAACTGTGAAAAGTCTCACAATAAATTTAATGACAAATGTATAATTTTTCATGAGGTTCAGCAGTCACAGTTGCCTGAAAAGATATAAGGCTGAATAAATGTAGTATATTTCATATTTCATGAATAAATGTAGTAGTCAGGATATTATCTTTCTCAAATTCATGTATTAGTCTTCTGAAACTCCCATCATAACCCTGACATTGTTTCGGTGAGAAGTCAGTAGAAGGAAACTTGCCAGGATTTTTAAAAATTATCTGAAAGATCATATGTATAAGATTATTATTCAAAGTTGTTTTGAAAGGGATTTTATTGTGTACAGACTTAACTTACTAAATATTAAGAAATTCTGTAATATAATTAAAACATTATGGCGTTAGTACATAATGAACAAATAAATAAAAAAACAGTAAAGAGGGTCCATTAAGATATGAAAAGAAAGACTGCACTGGACATCTGTGGAGCAGGAATGTATTTTATAATGAATGACATTAGGACAATTGAATTTCTCTTTGAAACTACAAAGTTAAATATCTCTTTGTATCAAATACAAAAATAAATTCCATTGAACTAAAGATTTAAACACAAGAACAATTAAAATACTAAAATCAATACTTTCTTTTTCATTTCTTTTCTTTTTTTTTTTTTTTTGTGACTAGAGTCTCGCTCTGTCACCCAGGCTGGAGTGCTGTGGAACAATCTTGTCTCACTGCAAACTTCGTCTCCTGGGTTCAAGCGATTCTCCTGCCTCAACCTCCCAAGTAGCTGGGACTACAGGCATGCACCACCATGCCCGGCTAATTTTTTGTGTTTTTAGTCGAGATGGGGTTTCACTGTATTGGCCAGGCTGGTCTCGAACTCCTGACCTCATGTGATCCACCTGCCTCTGCCTCCCAAAGTGCTGGGATTACAGGCATGAGCCACTGTGCCCAGCCTTAAAAGCAATACTTTATTATACTTAGGTAACGAAGGTCTTTTAGATATGACATAGAGATCAGAAATCATAAAGAAAACGATTAACGTATTTTATAATATAAAATTCCGAAACTTCAGTATGGTGAAAAACACTGTAAATAACTTAAAGAATAAATAACAAATCAAGGAAAGAACCCTGTGATTATCTATCTATCTATTATCCATCTGTCTATCTATCTATCTATCTATCTATCTATCTATCTATCTATCTATTACAATTTCAGTGATATGTAAACAGTTTTTAAAAATCAATGAAGTAAAGACAATAACCCAATGGGAATCTGCACAAAACATATAAGCAGGTGATTTGGGAGAAAAAAGTCAGATAATTGATTATCAATGAACAAATAAGAATATTCTAAACCTTGTTAATAATGTTAAAATTTGAATTAAATTGAGATATGATGTTCATATTTAATGTGTTATGTTTGCAACCATTTAATAACCGATAATACACAGAGTTGGTGGGGTTATGGGAAAATAAGGATTTTTATGCATTTTAATGCTTATAAACTATTACAACATTTTGAAAAGAAATTTAACAGTAATCATCATATTTTAAAATGTTTTTACCTTTTGATAGAAAAATTTTACCTCTAGGATTTATCATATTGAAGCATATAATAAATGAGCTAGATGTGTTTGATGAGCTAGATTAGTACAAAGGCCCGTGGATGTGTTGGTCACCTGCTTCCTCTAGGCCTTAGATTCTACACACCCCAGAATCAACTTACTAACTCCCTCCCCTTCCAGTAGTTGGCTTCTATGGGTCCGTCACTAGCCCATGTCTTTTTAGATGAACCCAGCCCCATACTCCATGGTTCCTATAATATTTTATACTATTTTTCTCTACTATTACCTCCTTGTATATGATTTCTCAGAACAAAGCCCTCTGCCTTGTACCTCTAAAAATGCTTTTTCTAACATGGAATCAAGCCCCTGGACTGTGGCATCTTCATTACTATGTGGTAGATCTTCTATTCATATAAAATCCAGCTCCAAAGAGATCACTGGGAGACGAGGTTGATATGACCCTTAGCGCCTCCAGTTAATATTTAAACCCCACTGTAATATATGTAACCACTACATTTCATATATTCTAAAATGCAACTATTTTCTCTCCTCCTAGCATCCCTGAAATCATGACATGTCTTTCAAGTCAATGGCATATTGCAGTTTAGGTGGCAATATTCTTCCTTAGTAGGACTTACGACAATAATGTATCTTATGATCAATGGTATTTTAGTTTCAATAAAGTTCAGTTGTTATACCTAGTTTAATACAAATTTTATTTTATAATACATGCTATTTTATATTGCTAATGAGATATGTCACATGGAACTCTATCAACACACTGATCATTATGGTTAATGCATTTTTTAAAACATTTGTTTGTTTTTGCCTCTTCTTAATGTGTTACCTCATCCATGTTTTAGGAAATGTTTTTTAGTTTTCAGGCTGTTATTTACCAAAAATAGGTATTTGCGAACTGATAATATGCTTTGGTGTTATTCTTGACCCTGACAATGTACCAAGTTCTGGTTTCTGGGTATCATTTTATTTAGCATTTTGATTTGATTGTTGCTTTCTTTTCTCTCTTTTCCCTACCCCTCCCAACCATTGTTTCCTTACTTTGTAAATATTGCATGGACTAAGATTCAGATAAAGTGTTTCTGAGAGAGGCGTAATCTAGGTTATGCCCCTTAGTAGCTATAGAGACTGGGGCAGGTTATTGCAGTTCTCTCAGCCTCCGTGTCCTCATTTGTAAAAGCTTTGTTCAGTGTTTTGGGGAAGAGCAGTTAAGGTAATATACATGGATGTATTTTCTAAACTCAAAAGCTATGACATTTCTGGAGATTATTAATGGCCTCAGAGGGCACCTTCAGTAATAGCTAGTTTTAACTGATTTCCTGAGCATTGATGCAAGGTGCCCCTGCATACTGAGTTAATCTAGGATGAGTTCCTTTATTTCTACTATAGCTCATTATTGTGTTTCCTCATCCTTGATAGCACCTTCTCTAGTCTTCAGATAGCCTTTAAAAAATGGAGTTGCATCAAGGTCATTCACAAGCCTATAACAAAATAAAGGGAAAATGTACCTGTCTTATAAGCCAAGTTGCTCTGTCTTCACCAGGTAGCTTCCCATGCATATAGAGTCCATTCCATGCATATTTCTAAAGTAAATATTCTGCTTCTGTAATTTTGTAATCAATCTGCAACCACAGGATCAAGTACAAATTGCTAACCAATGCAGAACTCTATCCGCTACAGTGTTCTAGGAACAATGAAACTGTAAATCTGGACAAGACTTGGAGTGAATCCCCTTGCTGTAATGGGTAATCACTTCTAAAGCATCTAAGACAAATTAATTTGTTCTATTTTTAAAGACCTCCTGAGGTGATTTTTCAACCTCTCTCAGGAACACTTTCCAATACTTAGCAAATCTTATTGTCAGAAAATGCTTCTTTGTACCTCAAAGTTTCTCATGCCACAGAGTAACTAATGGTTTTTTTTCGTTTCCACCTTGGTGAAATGAGGTAACATTGACAACATATCACATCGTGTATTTGTTTTGTTTATAATCCTTTAATAAAAAGCTCTCCATTGCCTAAAAGGTAACATTCAAACTCCTTGGCATACTATGGAAGGCACATTAGAATCTTCAACTGGATATATTTATAGTATTTACTCCTTACGTCTCCTACATGATTTGGAGTTTAGCTCTGCTAAAGTACTTTCTGAACTCTAAGAATACTATGTTCTTTAATACGTCTTGTTTTTTTGTACATATTATTCCCTCCACTTGGAATGTCTTCTTTCCTCATCTTTCTAGTTGAGTTTTACCTGGTAAGGAAGACTTTCCTTTGTTTCCTAAGCAGTTGGTCACATTGCACTTTTTCCAAGCTTCTATCACAGGATTTGGTTATTTAGTATGATATTGCTTTATAACTGTTTGCATGCAATTTCTTACCTTTCACTAGGCTGTGAGGATTGAAGCCTGAGATGAGTTTTATTCATATGCTTTCTATGTACGGTCACTGACTAACACATAACAGGGGATCAATGAATAAGTTGAAAAAAGGAATGAGTGAATGAAGTCACAATACTCTCCCACTATTCAGAGAAGCAAAAGGCTTCCTTTGCCATAAATTAGGAAGAATATAAATATAAAAAACACAAAAGACCAGCCAAAAGCATCAACATGCTAAGTATCTGTAAAGTTATCCTAATTTAAGTTGTCATTATCAGGAATTGTTGAAGGAGAATTGTAAGTATGTATATCTCTTTGAGGGACATCACCACAGGTTTGTATTACCATTCCTAATGTGAAAAAAAAAAAAACTTTACTAAGTCAGAAAGTCAAGGATTGATGTTTTATTTTCAAAGGTGATTTTTCCATTAGCTTTTCCGTGCCCATCAGCAGGACATTCTGCAAAAGCATATGGATGTTGGCAACCAGTGATGTATCAGATGCATGCCATTAAAAACACTGAGGCAGTCTATCAATGCCATTAGAGGCTGTGATGGCCAGAGATGAAAGACTGAAGAGCCACTTACATAAAACGCATGACACTGGCATAGAATTGTGACACAAATAACCTATCATGAGGTTTTTCTGATTTTATTAACAAATAAAAATATAACTTCCCAATAAACGTGTCCTAGGGAAGGTAAAGTGACTCTGAACTGGAAGGGAACTTGGGATGGAATAGCCATTCTTGTTCCCATTGTGAGGGAAATTCTTAAAATTGCCATTTACGCCCCTTTTACCAAGGACCTGCCAACATGGGCCTCATTCGCACCAAAACCGTGAAGAAGGCGGCCTGGGGCATCATAGAAAAGTACTACATGTGCCTGGGCAACGACTTCCACACGAACAAGCGCGTGTGTGAGGAGATCGCCATTATCCCCAGCAAGAAGCTCTGCAACAAGATAGCAGGCTATGTCACACATCTGATGAAGCGGATTCAGAGAGGCCCAGGAAGAGGTATCTCCATCAATCTGCAGGAGGAGGAGAGAGAAAGGAGAGACAGTTATGTTTCTGAGGTCTCAGCCTTGGATCAGGAGATAATTGAAGTAGATCCTGACACTAAGGAAATGCTGAAGCTTTTGGACTTCGGCAGTCTGTCCAACCCGCAGGTCACTCAGCCTACAGTTGGGATGAATTATAAAATGCCTCGGGGACCTGTTTGAATTTTTTCTGCAATGCTGTATTATTTTCAATAAATCTGGGACAACAACAACAACAACAAAAAATTGCCATTTACAAGGACTCAAAATTTTGTTTTCTCAACATAATCTTTTCCTCATATTATACTGATTCCTACTATTTCTAGATGGTTTGTTAATCTCTTTGTATCGTACCTACTTCCAAAAAGGATATTTGTTTTTCTTGGTTCTGACTATCCTCTGATGAAGGGGTAAATGGGTATTAAATTAATCAGGGTATATTTTTAGTGTAATTAGTTGGAGTTGGTGGGAGGGAAGGGAAAAACAAAGGTCTTCTGTAATTCACAAACTGAAAAATCTACTGCCTCTCTCCATTGCTGTGGCTACTGATGAGGTATTAGACAGCTGTAGGATGCCCCTCTCTGAGCCCGAACATCAACATTTAGGACATGGCAGGAATTAAAACATTGGGGAAAAATAGAGAGCATTAAGGATCACTTAATTACTACCCTAAAGAAATATTGTGTTGGCTCTTTGGAATAGCTATTTTCTGTTTTTAATGAGGAAAGTCAATGATGATTTCCATGTATCTATTGGGACTTAAATTAGCTATTAAAGAAAGAGGTGAGATACAGATCTCTCGTAATTGAGAATATAGGTTCTCTTGTATGTAAACCTTTTAAATAAATGAGCACCAACCCTCACTTCCCTCCCTTCCTCCCTCCTTCCCTAACTTCCTTCCTTCCTTCCTTCCTTCCTGTTCTTAGAATTTGCTTTTCAGGGTTGAATAAATATTTCTTACAGCTCTCTGTAACAAAGCTTTTATTTTTAGGAATACTGTTTCCGTTGCATATTTTACCCTTGTGAGCAGTGTTATTCTATTTGATTCTCTAATGATTTATTAGCAAAGTTCAATTATTGACTTTGTGCATTAAACATGACACTGGCTGATCATATCTGTATTTGGGAACAGGTTAAAGGTTAAGGGTCTTGAGTTTAGAGTCATAGATTTTCCTTGTCATATTACTTTGAGAAGGGTGCTCAAATTTTTAAACCATATATTCCTAATTTATAAACACAAACATAAAAATTAGAACTACTCCATATCCCAGTAGTACCTAATCCATAGGGTTACTGTGCAGATTTAGTGAGATAATGACACAAATAAAGAGCACAGTTATAGTTTTTGAAAAAAATTAAACACTTGACCTTTAGCATTGTTTTAAATCCTGGGACTAGAAGGCAGATTTTAAATCAGAAGGTATAAGATAGAACCTAGAAAACTATATGTGTATATATCATCTCTCCAGGTGATTCTGATACATAAATTATGTTTGAGGACCATCAGTTTAGAACATTTTCTTCCCTTAAAATAGAGCCAGTTTTAACGAGTAAGGATTCCCATCCTTTATTTACCATTTCGCAGAGAAGTTTCTCTGAGAACTTTCCCAGGAATCTATTCCAATTGTCACAAAATATTTTTTTAAATTGTATTTTAAATTATCCGAGCTACAGGAGAGCATAAGATCCTTCATTGCAGCCTATGCGAAGATGAGGCCACTTAACGTGGAATTCTGTCATATGTGGATATTTATGTATGCTCTTGTACCTCTTCCTTAACTGTGAATTTCAATGAGAGAACCAGAGAATGCCTTAGTGTGCATATTGATCTGTATTAAAGTAAAATGAATGGACAAACACCTTATTGAAATTTCCAGAGAAGTAAAGCCAGAAAAACTTTTTAGTGGGAAATTATAAGTGAAAATTTATGGCAGTTTACTCATTATTGCTAAATTGGGTTCCATAAAAACATCACAGATAGTCTCAGGCTTAGTGTGTTGTCTTGACTGATTGATGTGGGAACATCATTATAAAGCCTTTCCTATATTCACTCATGAACAAAATTTCCCTCACCCAAACATCCATTGTGTTATTAAGAACTATGTCATTTGTAACTGACTGAAACTCAATTCAAACTAGCAGAAAAAGGGTGTGTGTGTGAGTGTGTATGTGTGATTTTTTTTTTTTTTGGTTCTTTTAACAATCTAGGGATTAATACATTGTTCTGTTGTTTTGTATGGTTAAAATAAGGAACTGATCAAAGTGTAATTTCACAAATCACATGTTTTATTTCCATACAAACAGATTCTTTTGTTTTTTCAAAATGCTGATGGAGGGAGAGAATAACAAAAACAAATCTTACTGGGTACACGCTCAATAGCGAGGTTGCATTAATCACATAGTGAGTGGGTTCCTATTTCATTTGGAATCCAGTTATTAAAGTCTAGCTGCCAAACTAGGAAGGAGACAATCCTCTGTGGATGTAAAGTCAATCAAAGTTTAAGGCATAGCTTTGCATGAGAAGTTCAGGGACGAGACAGTTTGACCAACACAGCAGAGATCCGAGATGACAAGCAGGGTCCCTTGATGCTAGTGTAGTGCTAGTGTTGGTGGGCTTTGGAGAGTATCTTAAAGGCTGAGAGAGTAGCTCTGCCACAGCCCTGGCTTTCAATCTGTCTGTCAAAATTATGGGTTTATATGTATTTTGGAGTCTAGTAGTTGAGGCAAATAACTCACTTATGTGGTCTGATAAGCAGGGCTTAACATTCTCGTGGGGAGGAGGGATTCTATTCCAAACTCTTATCACAGCAAAACATATGTCACTCAGTAGCAAATTATGTGTTTGGAATCATTTCAAAGCTACATAACACATGTCTTCTGGCATAGCTAGATGTAGGAGTTCACATCATGTCTTTAGGACTCAATAGCTTCTATATGTCACTCAACCTTACTTTTCTTTCAGTTGGCTTCGTTCTCAAGCAGGTCCTTAACTCCATTTATCTCAGCTTAGCTATCCCAGCAGAAGGAGCACCTCTTTTTCCAATAAGTCCAGTAATAGAACCAGAAGTGGCTCTCATTTAATGTAATTTGGATCACATACTTGTTTCTAACCTACCAACACAGTTAAGAAATGGAATATGGTGATTTATAAGCCCTAAGTAATATGCCAATCCCTCTAGGGATGGGGACAACCATATCCTACAAACACAAGAAATTGTCAAGACTGGTGATTCCTTTAAGGAACATTGAGGCACTGATATCACAAGAGGAAACATGCTGAGTGACAAAAGACAACAAATGTCCACAATATATCATAAGGCACTTAGTCCCTTAACCATGAAACTTCCTTCCATCATGAATATTTCACCATTGAGTCTTAGGAAGGGAAGACTAAAGTAGGAACTATTTTTGGGAGAAAACTTAGTAGTTTTAGAAAGGTTTAAATATGATTTTTGCCTAACCTTTTCTTTTACCAATTTATATAATTTTTGTCTACTTGTTTGCCAATGTAATGGGAAAGAGGATTGAATTTATTAGAAGGCTTTTGAATATGTTGAATGCTATATTTAATTATACTTTAATTATCTTTTTTTAAAGGCCAGAGTGAATTAAACTTACATATAAGCCCATGGAGAGCAGGCCACAGGAGATAGATTTATTTTCTGGGAGCCTCTTTGGGCCAGCAGGTCCATGCTTAGTAATATTCCATATGTTATATGCCAAGTCTCCTGCTATGGAAAAGTAGACATTCTATTTATGTGTTAAACATACTTCCAATCAGGTAGTAGTCTCTTTCTTTACTTTCTCTACTTTTCCCAGCAATTTAATCTTCAGGAATTAATTCAGTTTCTTGGGCTTTTTAATTTACAGCATTTTAGGTTTTTTGGAATAGCCCCAATTTCATGCATTCATATTGCCTCAATAATGGAGATTTGTGATATTCAATTAAAATATTTTTACTATTACACTTGCAAATATTTATATACAAATAACTGAACAAATAAAAAATAATTACACCACAATTTCTAATTTGTGCTTCATAGAGTGTGGTCTCAGATGCTCATTGACCCACCTTCTGTGGTATGTAGAGATGTGACATGGCCATTCCTCCTTAGTCAGGAATTATTCTAAGTAAAACAACAACAACAACAACAAAACCAAACAAAAAAACCACACCTCTGTTGACTGTCCTTCATGTGCACACAGCCTTGTGCTCCCTGTGCTTGGTAACATGACTTAAGATACATTAAATAGAAGGCATTGCCTTTGCTAGCAAGGATGGCAAGATACAGGAAGACTGAGCAATTCATAAAAGATAAGCAACAGACACCTCGAAGAGTAAATATACACTGTCCCTGGAAGTATAGGTTTGTATAATCTCTTTGCTGGACAAGTTATCAAGATCTATAAAAATTAAAATGCAAAATCTATAAATTTAAAACAATACCAGAAAAAGACATAAAAAATTAAAACAACAATCTCCAAGTGAGGAAAGCATTTCTAAGTATGACATAAAACTCTTAACAGCAGAAACAGATATTATACTAAATAAAAATCAACATTTCTACATGATAAAACAAATAATAAAGTCAAGACACAAATGGAAAATAGTAATTTATAATCCACTCAAAGAGCTACTTTTCTTAATATATTAAAATTTCCTGCAAATCAATAGGAATGAGAATAAAAAACCATTAGAAAAAGTAGACAATATGAATAGTCAGATCACAGAAAGAAAGTATAAACATTTTTTAAACATTTAAAATATGCTTATTCATACAAAGAGATACTCAGATGTTTACCATTTAATCTCTCAGTTCAGCAAAAATCAAAAAGTTTCTTAATACCTTATGTGTGATTTCTTAGGTAAGAATATGGGGAAACAGTCACTCTTGTAAATTTCTCTTAGAAATGTAAATTGGTGCAACCTCTGTGGAGGGCAATTTGGCAATGGTTACCTATTTTAAAATGAAGCTATCCCCGACTCAATAGTTTTATTTCTAGAAATGTATTCTCCTTTGGATATATATATATTTTGCCAAATAATGTGTATAGAAGATTGTTTATTACAGCATTGTCCGAACTAGCAAAAAACCTGAAATAACCTAAATATCCATCAAAGAAGGACTGGGTAAAGTATGACACATCCCTCTGTAGAATGCTATTCAGCTGTACAAAAGAAGGAAAGCCTATTTACATACTGATATATAGCCATAGAGCGAAGGTATGTGATTAAATGAGAAAATGGAAGGTGCAGAACATTGCATTTCTTGGCATATATAAAAGAAGCTGGTAACGGAAGTTATTCTAGGAATGGAAAATAAATGGCTTTCAAACAGTGGTATTTAGGAAGCTTACTTTTTCCTAAATACTCTTTTAACTTTTGTTATTGGACCATGTGAATATACTCAATCTTCAGAAATTAATATAATTTAAAAAAACAATAAAATACATCTAAGAATTGATCTAGTAATTCTACTGCTGGAAATTCATCTAACAGCATAGTTCATAATAGCAAAGCACAGTCCGTAAGTGGCAGCAGTAAAAGAGAATTCCATGTGTGGTGATATGAAATGTTCCCAAGACAAATCTGTACATTAAAAAAAAGCAAAAACAAGTTGCAAAAAAATATATATTATGCAACTATGAAAGTTGAAGAAAACTATATATATACCCATTATAAATATTTCATGTTTTCATTTATACTAAAAATTTCATGTGCATATAGTGTTTGTATAGGCATGGAACACTCACGTATGTGGAAAGACACACAGATATTTAGGGTAGAAGGCCTGGGGGTCATGGATACAACTAAGATTTACATTGTAATGTGTCTCTTTATATAACCTACACATTTTAAATTCCCGTGTCCAGATAATCATTAATCAAGCAAAAAGGAAAACATAAAGACAAGGACAAACATGTAGTTTTATTGTTTTGTGAACAGCTGAATTGACCTTCTGGATGAGGAGAACCATGCCGAGTTAAAATTGGCATTAAAGGGAGAGCCAAGCTCATTATGTGCAGAGCCGAAGTCCTAGAGATACATTTGGGTCCTCTTTAATTCCAAAATGACCAGCTAGACAGAAAAGACAACCACAGAGGATAGATGACTTTATATTTTGAACAATAATAGGTTATTTTCCAAAGATATTCGGCTTATAACAATTTCCATTTCATTGAAAATGTTGGACTTTTTATACCCTTCCATGAAACTTGGCAGACCAAAAAAGAGAAATTTGACTTTTCCATGTTGCCCATGATGCAAAATCCTGAAATATTCAGAACACAAGAGACACATACAACAAGCACGATGACCTTGAAAATTCTCAAGCAGATGTATCAGAGTCCGTTTCACATGGCTGATGTCCTTGGCCAGGGAGTGAGCGTACAGCTGGCTAAATGCCGCCTCCACAGCAGCCAGTCTAGGGATGTGCATTAGCTTTTTGATTTAAAGAGAAGAGAGGGCATATGATGGTGGAGAGTGAGGCATGTTATTCAGGGTTAGATGGCAGAGAAGGTCCTGAAATGCAAGTGTGACGATGCTTACTGAAGGAGCACTTTATTGGGGAAAAATACTCAGAGATGATCCTGCCTCTGGACGTGAAAGCAAAATTCAGGTAACCCTTAGCTGCACATCAGAAGTCATTTTATCATTTTGGTAAAATTTCTTTCAGTCAGTAGCTGCTTTTGCTCCCTTTTCTATATGGGAACTGTCCAACTCTGGAGTTCCAAAGCTGCATGAAGTAAACACACATTTGCTCTTGACCATTTCCTTGTGTTACCTGCTATTTTCAGTCAGGAGTCTCTCTAGTTGTGCCTCCTCTGCTTGCTTCTTGTTCCAAGTTGGGTCTAGCTATAAATTCCTTGACTTCTGAAGTGGATGTTTGTGACCACCCTGCCCGACCTCTGTTCTCTCTTCTTCTCAGCCCCCTGGGAAGCCCCTCCTTTATTGCTCAGTCCGTGCAGCTCTCATGATGTGGATAGCAGTGCCTCTGGATCCAGGACTGGAAGCTGTAATCAGCACCAGTTAGAACTCCAAATCTCCTCGGCCACAGTGATTGGTTTCTGGGTATACATGTGACCCAATGGATCAAAGCAGAACAAATCCTGGGATTGGAGTGAGAGGTTCTGGGAGATGGGCTTTCCCACTGGACTTGAGTTAGAGAGGACAAGAACCTGAAGCAATCACGCAGTACCACACAGAGCCCGAGAGTGAAGAGTACACACACTCAGCCCACAGCAGAACCCAGAGATGCAGAGAAACTGAGTCCAAGGACACTATGAGATCCCTGAACCTGCCAAGCCTAAAGCTGCATCAACCCTGGACATTTTGGCTATAAGAGTCTCCCAAACCCCAAACTCTTTTTTCCTCCATCTCGTTAGGCTAGCCTGGGTTTTCAATTATCTGTAAGAGATAGAACCCTGACCAACGTATCTCTGATGATGATTATAGCAATACACCTGTATTTTTTTTTGTTCTTTCCAAACATTTTCATCTACGTTAGCTAATTTCTTATCTCAGTGACCCCGTACAGAGGTCAGGAGCACAACTTATACTAATCTCCACTTATATTTAGGAGAACTGAGGCTCACAGAAGTTAAATGACTTGCTTGGAGTAATCATAGCTAGTAAGAAGCAGAGCCTGTTCTGAAACTCAGGACTCTGGATTTTGTGTGCTTTGCAGTGCCGCCTAGGAGGTAGGACGTGACTTTCAGTCCCCTGGCTTCCTTTCTCTCATGCACTGCTGGGCTGTGAGCTTGGAGGACCTTTCACTCCTCGGAAGCTGGCACTGGGGGCCCTGCAGGCCCAGCCAGGTGAATATCTGGGGCCTGGGGAGAGGCAGAAAAGGGAACCTTTCACTTGAGTTAATGAAAAGTAACCAGATTCTTTGTCCCAAAGGAGTGGTAGGGTAGAGCTTGTTTAGCAATCAGAAATAAGCCACTCCTGGGCAAGGAGGGCACCAAGAGGCAAAGCCACACAAAGGAGGCTGAGGAGCAGTGACCTTCAGTGGGCGCTGCAGTGGATTTGGAGGAGGAAAACGAAGGAGAAAGCATGGGCGGAGGCGCTTCCCCTTCTTGCTGCCCCATTTGCTGTGAGCGTCTTAACAGAATGAAGCCTGGGGACCTCTGGGTCACTGCTTAGCCTCCTGACCTGGTTCTTTGAAGCCCTGGTTCTCCTCTCCCCCGTTCCACTTACATCATCTTTTCCCACTGCCACTTACAATCAGAAATAATATAAATATTAACCTGCTCATTGGTGAAAAGGAATAAGATATCAAATATGTTTCGATTTTTATTTTTAAAAATCAGAGGATGGAAGCCATTTTGAGTATTATAAAAAAAAATAAAATTTCTGCATGGGGTTTGAAATATTCCCTCTGCATATATCATTGTCTTTGAGGCATGAGGATTTAAGACCTCAGATACCAACCTAATAAAAACAGCTGGGTTAGAAAGTGAAGGTGAATCAACATCGGTTAACATATTCTGTAATTAAGTAATATTTTTTCTTTTAAAGGATCCCTCTTCCTCATCTGCCTGCAAAAGGGACTGTGGTGGGATGTCACTGGTTCCTGGGGAGGGGCAAGGTCCTTGGTGAGTTCAGGCTCTCCCCTCCTGTCCTGTGCCTAACCTCCGCAGAACCCTCCACCAGCTCATGGTTTTTTCTTCCTCAGGTCTTGGCAGGTAGTTTGTCAAGCTGATCTTAATGAGATCACTATGTAATTACAGAGGGACTGTCAGGATATTTTTGGTTGTCATCTTCTAACAAAATGCAGATTGTGTGGCATGTATACATAGAATTACTCTGTAATTCAAAGTAAATTGACATTTAATTTCAATTTAATTACACAGGAATTACGGGCATGACAAGACACAGTCTAATTAGGAAGCAAAGTATAAGAATCTGTTTATGGAATGAAAATCCATATTATGTCACATTTTAACAGAATCAAAATAATTTCTTTGAATTTTTGTAAAGCATATATAATGACAACAGTAATAATTGAAACTGCTTCTGGGCCATTCATCAGGTGCATACATACTATCTTATTTAATTCTAGCGGTAACTCAGCAAAGCTGGTGTGATCATTCCCATGGTACAGAAGGGAAAACTGACATTTGGAGAAGTTAGTAATGTGCCCTGTGTTACACAGCTCAGGAGTTGTCAAGGGGAAATTTAAGTCCCATGATCAAGAGGCCCATGCTTAGGAATACCGTGCTGCTGCCTCGGGTGCTCCCTAGAACTTGCACTTCTAGGGAGAGGAGGAGGCACAGGATACAGTTCTGGAGGTTGGCCTCAGCAGCCAGCTCTCTCTGGAGCTGTGGCCCAGAGCATCGAGCTTGTTTTCCCCCTTTCCCTTTCCCTATGCTCTCTCCCTTCATCTCTACCTTTCTTCTTTTCACTCACTTAACAAATGTTTACCCAAATGGCATCCACTCTGTCAGTCATTGTACTGGGTGCTGGGTGTTAAGTGCCAAGGGTGGCTGACAGTGCTATGGCCTCATGGGATTTCCTCTGCCCACCCGTCCTTATAGGACATCTCAAGCACCCTGTTCAACAGCTAGGGTGAATAATGAACCCTGGCTAGTCAGCTGCACATGCAAGTATCAGGAGCTATCAGGATCCAACCACAAGGAGACAGATAAAAGCAAGTGGGAAGGGGACCCCCAGAGTCCATTTGGTGGAAGCTTTACCCTCAGGATAGTTTTCCCCACACTCAGGGTTTATGGAGCTTTCACCTCTCTTCTAGTGGAGCTTTCAATCAAAGCAGAATTTTGGAGTGTGTGTGTGTGTGTGTCTGTCTGACCCCTACCCTTGTACAAAACAAATCACAACCTGGGCTGCTTCCTACCTTTCCAAGAACCAGACCTATCTAGTTTCAGTGACTGCAGAATTTTATTTTATTTTATTTACTATTTTATTTTATTTTATTTTATTTTATTTTATTATTTTATTTTATTTTATTTTATTTTATTTTATTTTATTTTATTTTATTTTATTTTATTTTATTTTATTTTATTTTATTTTATTTTTTGAGACCGAGTTTTGCTCTGTTGCCCAGGCTGGAGTGCAGTGGCATGATCTCGGCTCACTGCAACCTCCACCCCCATGTTCAAGCGATTCTCCTGCCTCAACCTCCTGAGTAGCTGGGATTACAGGCATGCGCCACCATGCCTGGCTAATTTTTTTGTATTTTTATTAGAGATGGGGTTTCACCATGTTGGCCAGGCTGGTGTCGAACTCCTGGCCTCAAGTTAGCTGCCTGCTTTGGCCTCCCAAAGTGTTAGGATTACAGGCATGAGCCACCGCACCCAGCCACAGGATTATCTTTCTCACTGATTTTACCAATTTCCTTCAACCTAAATGACTTCTTTAGCTTCCGCTCTCTTATCCCTCCTCTATCCCTCACTTAGTTATAATCTCTTCCATGGGTGTCATACTTTATGCTTGGTAAAAGGCTTTCCCTTAAAATAGCTCATTTGATTCTTAAGCACAAATCTGTGAAGAAGTCAATATTTTAATCATATCCAGCTTATAGATGGGGAAGCCAATAACCAGAGATGTTCAAGACATTCATCACCTTCCACAGCTTGTCAGTGTAGTACTGGTTTCAGACTCAGCTCTTCTGGGGTTAATGCCAGCTTCTGTCTGGGACATCAGCTGCTGGTCTTTCACTGAAGCCCTCTTTCCTCTTTCTTCTTGTTACCTGAAATTTCAGCATTCACATATCGCCTATGTAAATGTTTATTTAATTTTTTCTTTAAACTGATTTAAAAATATTTGAATATATTTATTTTAGAAGATAATTTCATATGACTCCTTCCAATGGACAACTAGCACCATTTAATAGAAAGAGAAGGTAAATATAAATCTAAATATGAAATGAAATGAAAGGTTATCATTAGATCACAGCTAGTCACTGTTGCTTGCTGAAGGTTCTTATCCTGATGCCAGCGCTTTGTTGACAATTGAACTTTGCCAGAGTGAGAGGGCTGTTAAATGTCTACTAACACCAAGCAGACAGTTGCTCCTTAATGTGACAGGCAGCACTGAAAGAGAATCAAAAGAAAAAGACAATTTTTTTACTATGCAGTCAATGTTTTTGGATGCTCTCTCTGTATCCTACTCAAAGCATCTCAAATCACGTACTGTGGTAAATACTGTTCTGGCCTAACCACTCTACATCACACAAACTTAACTCCACTTATCCCTACCAAGAATGCCTAGCAGGTCAAATCTTGACTTCAAGGTTCAGTAGAAAGATATTAACCTGGTGCAGAGTAACCCAGTGCCTGGGCCTGAGTCTTTCCGGGCCTTTCATCAGCCCGTTGGGGTAGGTGACCTTGATTTATTATAGACATTTTGTAGATTCATGTGTCTTACAGAGAAATATACCTTATAGAAGAAGTGGGCTTCTCCTGGGTTTGGGAAACCTTGGTGAGATTACCTAACCTCTCCAGGCTTAGATTTTAGCTTCTCATCAATCAGACTTTCAAGGTTTACATTTTGTTTGCTTATGGAAAATAAAAGTTCTCCATGGTGAAAAATGGAGCATTTTGAGAAGGACATCAAGTGTCTCCTTGAAAACATGTCTTGATGAAATGTAAATGATGATGTAAATGAATCAAACCCAATGGATTAATCAAATCATTAACATATCAATCATTAATAAGTGGATTTTATTTTTTAAAAAATCCAATGAAAGTGCTCCTACAAATAGATCAGACATTCATATATTATGCTGCCTTAAATCTTTTCTGGAACAAAGAAGGATATAAATAAATAAACATAAATTAATAATATAATAATAGCAATCTTGTCCCTCATTGTAATTTTAGATTTTAAAGTGAAGAAAAGACTTAGGAATAGAAAAAGATATTTCTGTCTGGTTGATGTACTCAATCTGAATACAGCCAGGGAGTTCCATATATCTAAAACATGGCCACAATTGTAGCTCTGAAAATCCTCACTCCCTGTTCAATTGCTTTCTTAGCCTCATGAAAATGAAATCTAGGAGGAAGCAACTCACTTCTAAGGATACACTTAGAATTCATCTCTAACGTGCGGGAGATAAAAATCAGAGAACTCATTGCTCTACCTTTGCCATTTCATCAGTTTTAAAAGATTGTATATAAACAACAAATCTGAACATACAAAGGGATTAGTTAATCCAAAAAAGATCAAAAGCAATGAGAATCTCTCCACATGGAACAGGGTGGCATAGGGACAGGAGCTCTATAGAGAAATAATTTGTCATGAACAGGTGAGGACAGAGAAAGCAAGCAAAGGAGAGAGCAATTCTAAAGAGTAGAAAGCTATTCACCAGGTCACACATCCCCTGCCCTTGGAATTAGGAAAGAAACCCACCATTCTGCCCTGTGTCAGAATGAGGGAAAAAGCATCTGCTGCCAACTCTGCCTGCCTTTGTGCAGGGCATGGGAGTAGGAGTGGAGAAAGGGTGATGTCCTCCTCTTTCTGGTAATGCTGAAAGCTCAGTCAGTCTGCAAAGTGGCAGTTGCGGGAACTCAAGAAGCTCAATGTGCTATTCAATTAGAAGCAAAAATGTCAAGTTTATTTTGATCATATCTCAGTAACCCCTGTCACTTGGCAGCCTCCCCTCTTTAATTTCACTCTCTTGCCTGGTTACCTCAATAAGAAGATGCCCCATTCTCTCTGGATCTGAGACTCTTGCCTCCCTCTGTCTCAGCTCTCAACAGAAAATATCCATGCCATGTCCTAGACCTATGAGATCACAAAGGTACGCTGTGTGATACCTGCACAGACAGGCTAGTAAGTGGTGCTTGTTTTGTGGTGAGAGCACTGGGACTTAGAGTGAACAGGGTGGCTCATGCTCTGTGGAGAGCAGGCAAGTTGAAGAAATTGCTAACCTCAGAGTTTGCCCAATAAAACACTTATGTGGGGAGGCTTCCATCAGCTGGAACAGCTCCCATTTCAAAACCTTTGCCTGGTCTGTTAAAGAACCTGATAAAGGCAGTGGAGTTCAGGTCTTAATGAGTATGATTTACACGGTGTGCTACCTCTCCCCTTGAACCTACCCCTCAAAAGGAAAGTAAAAAGGATTTGCATTCTGAAGGGGATCCTAATTACCTGAGATAAAAAGGATGTTCAGAAAAAGTATTTAGGACAGGAAAGCAGGTATGTAAGAAAATGCGCACCCTCAGGTCACATACTAGCCATCTACAGCAAAGCCATAGAATTGACACTCAAGTCACACTTCCATTTCCTGTCCTTGTACCCTGGCCAATACTCATGGCACCTTTGCTCATGGCTTCCAGAATAATCCACTGAACACTCCTCTTCAGCCTGGAACTCCTGGCAGTCCCTGCCCATCATTTGGAATTGGCACGGGAGATAGAAGCTAGAGGCAATTCTTTTATACTCAGAGCAGATGCTATTTGAGGCTGGGTGAGGCAGGAGTGCACTCCAGAAGTCTTCAGAAGGCCTTGTTGACTCTCCACCACCACCATGGAAGTCCCTTGTTAAGCAATCTCTTTACTTACCCAGGAGACCATGTTGCTATTGATCACCAGACCCCAAGGGAAAATTGATTCCGATGGTAAGTATGGTCAAAATTGACTGATCTGAGAGTCTGCGGGTCTGGATTCTAGTCTTAGTTCCTCCATTTCTTTGTTATGGAACCTTGGCCAAGTTATTTAATTTCTCTAGACCTTAGTTCTCTTACTGCTAAATAATCTTTCCAACTCTATCTTTGTGGTGGGGTCAGAAAAGATAGTAATTAGGCCCATATATCAGAGTTGTGTGAGGTTCAAAATGAGATGCAATATGTATGTCTTGGGCAAACTTAACATCACTTCACACATGTACAATCATTCTTCTCTGGGTTTTTCCAGAGTTAATGTCCAATGCTATGGAAAATTGAGGAAGCCTGTTTTTGTGAATTTCTAGTATCCTCCTGAATCCAATGGAAAAAATCAGTCCACTTGTAAATCTGTACATTTCACATAATGGAGGGTTATTTTTGTGCCAAAATAAAAGTTTTCTTATTTGAGAACTTGATGGAAATAAAATGAAGACTGCAAGAACATTAAACGTTTAACCTATGATTTTCTTGCTTTGGGAAAGATTTAAAAAAACAATGCATTGTGTTCTGTTGTCCTTTGTCGATGCATAATTAAAGATTTTTTTTTACCATCCAAGATAATTTCAAGTCCAGTAGGAATAAATATTACCAGTCTGTTACAAATGTGCTAAATTCATGTTTTAATAAACTGAATTTACTCTGCCTGGTTCTTGCAAAATTAGAAATTATAAACATATGCTTTCCAAGAAAAGTAGTCATTTGCCTTGCTTTCATCTGGACTAAAATGTGATCGTTTCCCCAGCAAAGAGGAAAAAAAGCTGGGCTATATTTAGGACTGCTTGATGATCCTGGGGCCAGCTGGCAGCAAAGAACGTAAAAAAGATTTGGATGCCGGGTGTGGAGGTAGCCTCAAGACCGGACTCTTAGGGAAGGCCTCCAGGGCTCCCCACCTTTGGAGATCCGCAAACCACATGTATTTTTCATCCTTGACTTTGCCTTTAGGATTTCTGAATGTCTTTGGAAGTAACTTTTCTTTTTCTTTTATTAAGCAGTTAATTCCACTAAACACATTTTAACTTTTGATTTCAAATCAAGAGTTTCTCTCCTTATATATTTTGTTTATTCAGAACTATTAAGTTTTAATATCTGTGAGTCCAGTAGTGATTGTCTTCCAGAACTTTATGTGAAAATAGTGATCCTGGGAAGCCCAGCAGATAGTTAAATCTTATCGGCGAAGTCATGTTTTGAATGTGTTAAAAGACTTCTTTCAAAACATGGTGAATCCTTTATAAAGGAAATTGTCACTTCCAAGTAATAATTATTCTTCATTTTCATAATTATATATCTAGATTAAAGCTAGTAACATATCTGAAAAAGGTTGCCAATGGATAGAAAAATGTTGCTCAACAAATAAGAATTCTGTTTATGATGTAGAGTCACATCACTGTCATTAATGGAAAGTGACTACAGTCTTTGTTTTAATAAAAAGCACCACGTAAGTCCCTGGGACTGGCTTCCAGCAAAGAGGGGCATATCTGATGGAAGAGGGCAAAGGCAGTTTCCTAGAACAGAAAACCGTCTACCTGGACCATCTGCATTCCAAGAATTTTTCCACCCAGTCAATGAGCCCTAGGGAGTGAGCAAGTTTGTATGTTCATATTTGTATATATGGGCCTGTGTGAATGCATGGGTGAGCATGCCCAGATGTGTGCATGTGTGTGTGTTGATTTGTGTGCAAATGTATATAATTTGTGGGCTTGCCTGTGTGGTTCTGTGCATGTGTATAAGAGTGTGTGTGTGTGTGTGTACCCACGTGTAGATGCCTACATCTGTCTGAAGGTGGTGAGTGGACAGAGGGAAGGAAGGAAGCTCTCTTTTTTCCTTTCTTTCAGTACAGATCAGCTTCTACAGCTGCAAAGTTAATGAGTCTGGCATGGTGCTTTTTCTAAAGTATAACTCAGTTCCCAGACTCACAGAATTAGAGGGAAAGCAAAGGAAGAAAAAAGAAGATTAGTAGGTTTAGTAAAAGGTAAGTTGCTATTACTATATTCCATAAACATAAAATTGTCCCATTAAAATGATTCTGAATTAGTGTGATAGAGTCCTAAGAACAAAGGTTTATGAAGAACCTCCTCAGAGATGACGAGAAAACCTCAAAGAACAGCTAGCATTGATTAGAAAGCCATGGCCTGGAGGGTTGAGGGCAACATTGGCCTTGGAAACACAGTTTATGCTGAGTAATAAGATAGTGAACAGTTCCATATAAGCCAGCTGGCTGGTGCTGGGCTTCACAACATAGCATTTGAAGAGGTTGTATATCTCATACTTTAGACACTGAGTTTTATTTTAGCATCCCAGGATTTGAATTCCTAGCTCCATTATTTACTTGCAGAGAGACTTTGAGCAAGTTACCAAATTTTCTCTGAACCTCAGCTTCTTCATCTATAGAATGGAGATAGTGATACCTTCCTCTCAGGCGTGTTGTGATAAATTAAATGAGATAAATGAAGCCTCATGAAGTGTCTTCCCTCTTCCCTTATGAATTCTATCCTTTGGTGAGTAGTTTTATGAGAAATAGCTGTCAAGAAAGAGGTTCCCTTATATTACCTAGTTATCACTCCCTGCAGGAACCATAAGGAAATTCAGAAGCAACAGTGTCATTTGAGTTATGGCCGTCTTTAATCTAATCAGGATCAATAAAGAATCATTTAGCCCCTGGTGCTGTCTGTGTTGTGTCCCCAGGGGTCTCATCCCCAGTAAACACACATTTAGTCAGTGGTATGTAGATAAGGGGATGTCAAGCAAGAAAGGGCACTGTGGTTCCAGGGTCAGGAGACACCATTGGCCCTTCCACTCCTGATTATTAATCTCTCTAGATTTCTGTGAGCAGAACCGTGCCTTTTACAGAAGACACCAGCTTTCATGTCATGTAGGGGAGAAGAGCATGGCTTTTTGCCTTAGCCTGCCTTGATTCAAATCTTGGCTCTGAAGATTACCAGCTAAATGATCTTACCAAATTATTTAGTCTCTCTGGCTTCAGTTTCCTCATCTGTAAAATTATAATAATAATGCTTAAATTATAAGATTGGATTAAATACATTTATATGTGTAAACTGGCTGGCTCACAGTAATTAACAAACATTTGCTTTGACTATTAGATGATGATGGTTATTGTAAAAAAAAAAAAAAAAATCTCTGCTGCTGGTCTGTGGGCATATCTTTGGTCTGCTGAATGCATTTGAGGAGATATGAAACTATGGAGCCTGAAACATTTTTGGGTAATGTATCCCACAGTCCTAGAGCCAAAAGTGCTTACAGCTACCCAAGCCAACAACCTTAAAAATAATGCCTAGACCAAACTGAAAAGGAAAAAATTACAGGAGATTGTTTCTTTATGGCAGCCTGGCAATATTGGTTTATATTCTCCTATATACTCAGTGGGGGAAAATAAGGAATGTTTTTCTATTACTTTTTTACTTCCCACCAGTCTTAGTCTCCAAACTCACAATCAATCAACACATCCATCAAGAATCTTACTGGCAATGAAATGAAGAACATATTTTCCTTTTATAATCAAGCTGTATGGTCTAGTGGTTAAAACTACATGCTTTGGAGTTAACTACATCTGAGTTTGATTTGAGACAAATTACATGAACTCTCTGAAAGTCCATTTCCTCATCTTTAAAATGGGGTAATGATGATGCCTGCTTTGCAATACTGTTGTGAGAATTACCTGATAAAATGTACATAAAGCTCTCAGAAGAGGGTCTGGAATTTTCTAATCATTCAGTAACTCTTCATTTCTACAATGTTTTGAAAATAGTGCCAAGCGGGGCTTGGGCTTGGGAGCTGGAAGTCCACAAATATGAAAGGCATCAAGTGAAGTTGTGAAGAACCTGGCCAGCCTCCCGACAGGAAAACTTACCACCCTCATCTCAGAAAACAAAGCCCACGCAGAGGTTGTCCTTCCCAGCATGTCTTCCTCTAGGGCAGGATCTGTAAAACGAGGAGCAGGACTGGCTACATAATTTGCAGGGCCCAGTGCAAAATGAAAATGCGGGACTTGTTGTTCAGAAAGTACTAAGGATTTCAAGAAGGCAGCAACAAAGCATTAAACCGAGTGTGGAGCCCTGCTGAGCCCAGGATCCTATGCAACTTCTCAGTTTGCATGCCCCTGGAGCCGGCTCCTAGGAGTGAGAGAGAGTTGGGGGGAAGGAGGATGGGAGAGAAAATCAGTTCCACCTTAGGAAAAAAGTCGAGTTGGTTTTAGAGCACAAGAGCCACGTTCAAGTACACCCACACTGGAGCCCACCTGGGGACACACATTTCATAAACCTGCTTCTTGAGAGGTGTGTCCCTCACTGTGTGGAGGACAGGCAAGCCAGGGGCTGCTCATTTGTTTAGCTTTGCAGTTGCCAAAAGCAAGACCAGCATTTTAGGGCCACAGTGCAAGATAAAATTTATAGGCTCTTTCCAGCAGCCTGTGCTTTACTCAGGGTTAATCCGGCTTATTAGAGGAGTAGCAAGGACGTGTGAAAGACGCCTTGGAAGGGCTCCATGTCACAGCCTTGACTCCTCATAAAACGGGCTGTCCCCACCAGTCCCTGGCACAACTTCTACAATACATCAGCCCAAGGAGGCAGAGGCAGGCTCCCTGCCAGTCTCCCAGCACTCACTTCATTTGCTGTGGTTGAAGGACCAGTGCTGACTCCCCTTAAGACTTTCAGGTTTTCCAGCAAATTCCTGGCCTGGCTTTGTGGGAAAATGTACTGGGAGCAGGGGGAGAGAAGGCCTCTGGGGTTGAGGAGCTGCAGGGTAGGCGCTGCAGGGAAGAGATGTTGAGAGAATGAGACTGGGCAGAGCAAGTTCTTAATCAACACACTGCTAAGTTTCCTTGCCAAGAATACTCACTCCTAAGCTGCCAAAAGACCTGATGGAGGAGTTGCTATCTGAACTCCAAGCAAGTATTCACTTATGTGGTTAGTTAGAGCAATTAAAAACAATATGCAGGTTATGGTTGAGAATAATGCATCCCATGGTCCAAAGTCCTTTCAAATACCAATGATTGATGATGCATCAGTTCATTTGTGTAATATGAGGAATGGTATTTCAGTTCTTCAAAAGAGCGAACAGAGTTCCCTCCCGCATGTTATCTCAAGAGCTGCACCAGTAAAGAAATATCCCTGTGCCTTTTTATGTCATCTTGACACTTGGAATGAATTGACAAGGCCCAGCACAATTCATCTCTTCTTCAAACCTTTGTTGCAATATCCATGGGATTCAACTGTGCAGCTGAGTCAGTGAATGGTGTATGCTAATCCAGGTTTACTGAGATCTGAAATCCAGGTGTGTGCTTCTGAGCTTATATGCGTTGGAAATTTTTCTGCAGAGTTCGTTGCAGTCTGTGTAAGGCAGAATTGGAAAAACTTGGCTATAAATGACACCTGCTATGATAGATAACGTAGGCTTCTTTGTGGAAAGGGCAGCCCATTTTTAAACAAGCACTGGATAGAGGTTTGCTGGAACCGTGCTTACCTCTTCTTTTGGCCATTGTAATTTTGTTTCTGAAGAATATTTAGGACGTTTTTAAGAATATTTTACCCTTGCCAAGAAGAAGCAGGTTTCTGAGCCTTTTGGCTTTGCAAATTATGGTTTCTCTGTTAATTTTTCAGAAATCAGTATCTCGAAAAAAAAATTTTTTTTTTGAGGTGGCGTCTTGCTCTGCTACCCAGGTTAGAGTGCAGTGGCATGATCTCAGCTCACTGCAAGCTCCGCTTCCCAGGTTCATGCCATTCTCCTGCCTCAGCCTCCTGAGTAGCTGGGACTACAGGCGCCCACCACCACACCCGGCTAATTTTTTGTATTTTTAGTAGAGACGGGGTTTCACCGTGTTAGCCAGGATGGTCTTGATCTCCTGACCACGTGATCCGCCCGCCTCGGTCTCCCAAAGTGCTGGGATTACAGGCGTGAGCCACCGCGCCTGGCCTCAAAAAAATATTTAAAGAAGGTTTTGCTTCAAAGATTCTTTCTCCCTTAACACAGTAATTTATGGCTGACATAGATTATAGAAGACCCTTAAAACTCCTCTGAATAAAGATACTAGAGACCATAACAAATAGAATGAACCTATGCAAGATGTGCTTTTTAATCATTCTGTGAATCAAAGCTATTTAATGAACTCTCTACCAAGATTATTCAGAAAAACTTCCTTGCATTGGATGGAACATCCCAAAATTAAATATAATTTATAGTTACATTACAAACAATTGTTTGTTCAAGTGAGAGGCTAATATAAGTCAGAATAATGAACTGCATAACCTGTTAGACTATAAAAGGTGATAAAGTATGTTTTTACATCAACTGTTTATCATAAGAAGCGCAATGAATTGCAAAGATTATTAAATCCAGGCTGCTGCCCAGAGTGATAGTAAGGTTGAGGAAACCTGGGAAAGAAGTTGAGTCCACACGGAAATGCTAGGCCAGGCTCTACCTGTTTTATAGCTTTGACAGCCAGCTCTCCTCTCCTCAGGGTCGTTTTGGCCCTGGAACTTGTCCTTTCCAGGGTGAGCAGAGGAGAGTTAGGCTGAAGAATATTTTATTGATGGATTTACAATAAATGTACTCAATCTGGTAATGATGAACATTTTGATGTTTGTTAATCATTCTAACATTTTGAACATCCTGGTCTTTTGTTACTATAAACAATGCAAAAAGGAACAACCCCATATGTATGCCCTGTACACTTTTTGGATTTATATGTCCTTAGAAGAGCCAAATTCTTGTTGTGTCAATGTGTATGTGCATTTCCTACTGCCAATTTGCCTTCCAAAGAGGTTGTACCAGTTTATACACCTGCCAGAATTTTATGAGAGTATCTATTACTTCACACACATGCCAACACAGCATGCTATTCAACTTTTGGATCTTCATTCATCTGTTAGGTGAAAATGGCATCTCAGGATAGTATTCATTTGCATTTATTTTCTTATGAGTAAGCCAAATATCTTTTTATAGGTGAGAAGGCCATTTTGTAATTTGTTTTTCTGCAAACTCCGTTCATGTTCTTCATTTCACTTTTTGGTTGCTGGTCTTATTAATTTTCAAAAGCTCTTTATATATTAATAAAGTTATCCCTTTGTCTATCATGTATGTTTCAACTACTTTCCTTAATTTTTCACTTGGTACCTTTGTTAAGGTATTAGTGCTTTATTTTGCAATGCAGACATTTTATGCAGTAACATTTTCAATCATGTTAAATGTGCTAATTTTTTAGAATGCAGTAAGGACACTGTGGAATAATAGTGAGAAATGCCACCCATTCAGTATGTGGGGTGCTTTTCCTCAACACGGTGACTTCCAGAAACATCTGGACAGGTGTCACCATGTCTGCCATTTCACACACCATCCATGGCTGTCATAGGTTGCCTCTCCCAAAAAACAGACTCTGAGGCAGCACTGTATGTGTAGGAAGTTTATTGTGAATTGCTTCTGGGAACAGCATTAGTCTGAGGAAAGCAGGGAAGGGGGCCCTCAACTGATCCTATAGGGATCCCTGGAGCTGGGATGGCCCTTCAGAGGTGTCTCAACTAAAGCCAAGGTGGAAGGGGCTTGTACTCCACATAAATCTGTTCTTAAAGGAGGGATGCCCCAGGGAGGGAAGGCACCCTTGGGTGTGGCAGCTCCTTTCAGCTGAGGACAATTCCCCAAGAGGGACTAGGCTGTGAGATGCCAGCTGCAATGCTTCCAGCAACTTTAAACAACCCTTGGTCCTGAAGGGGAGGGCCTGGGTGGCATGCCCAGTACTCACTCTACCGCCTTTTCCGGCTGCCCCCTCTCAATTTAGACTGAGTTCTAGAATCTTTAGGCTTCAGAGCTTTGCCAACTTATGCTCTCTTCAGGTTTACACTGTTTAAATACCTTTTTAGTGCATAGAGAAAGGGCCAGTCACATAGCCGTTGGCCTGACTGAGAGTTTTTTCCTCTCTTCTCTCCCGGGGTCTTTATGGTTCTTTGACACCTTGCACAGAAATGTGAAAATGCTGTAAAAAGCTCCCATGCTTGCAAATAAAGTGAACCAGACACAGTAATTAAAGAGATGAAGATGGCTGCAAATTTAGGGCTTTTAGGAGATTTTGGCTGATGTGTTTCAGCAGTGATGGAAGGAGAAACAGGATTGCACTTAATTAGCCCCAAGTCCCAGGCGGCCTTAGCTTTTCCATGCCTGTTACCCACTGAGCGCCATCACACCGCTGAGCTGGAAGCTCCTTTCTGGATGGTTTGATAGGCATTGCAAATCCTCTCAGAGGGCCCCTTTCAGAACCCACAATAGTGCGCCTAGCAAAACATCACCACATGTGCATAGTACCACTTCCTTTTTAGGGCTGCTGGCTCTTACTGGAATCAGGTTTTCCTGGTGCTTGCTTTGGCTCCTGGCCACCAGCTGCTCCTGTGCCTGGAACAGGGCAGACAATGAAGAGTGGAGACTATAGCTGATGCTGCTGGTGCCCTGCCCACATCCCCTAGGCAGGCCCTGCTCTGTAGGCTCCCACGGCTTTGCTCGGTTCTCAGAGTTAATGACCCTGGAGGCAGCCTCATTCAGTAACTTGGATAAATACCCCAGCTTCCTTGCCTCTAGAGTGGGGCCAGTCTGAGGCTTGCTGTATGGAGTTCCCCAGGCGCTCAGGCAGGATTGCATCCCGCTTGCTCACAGAAAAACCTGCTTATTAGCACACTGTATTTTGGCCTCCTTCCTTTCCCCTACTTCTCTCCCCTACTCCCCTACTGCTATTTCCTGGGATCACTTCCCAACTCAACTACCGGCTCTCAAATCCTTATCTGCCAGAGCCAGACAAGTGTCAAGGTGTAAACCTTGCCAGGCAAAGGGTTCCATCTGGGAAATCATGTTGAAAAGTATATGTCCTGCCTTCTCCCCCATCTTGTCCATCCAAAGCAAAAACATCCAACCAATCCAAAACAAGCAGACAAGAACAACAGCAATAAAAAATCAGCAACATCTGTTACTTTGTCCACAGAGGACATGTCCTAATTGTCTGAACTGGTCTCTGCAAATGTGTTAGTTCTTACATTGCTGGCTTCAAAACTGCTTTCCAGGCAGAATTCCAGCCACCCTTTCTACTGATTCTTAACTTGCGGTTTCCATAATCTTCCTGATTCTTGACATCACTCCCAGCGCATCGTCAGCTTATACCCACCAGGACAGAAGGGAAAGGGGGTATTTGGTGATGAGTCCAGTATTACTTCCAGCCACTCAGAGCCTGGTTTTGATGAAATGCATCTATGAATGTGCACTTATTTTCTCTATGTCCATATCAATACTCTGAGCTGATAGAGATTAAAAGGGGAAAACAGAGCTCGAGAGTTTTACAACTCCTGCTGGAGTTGCAATGTGTGTTCCTATCTGTCTGTTTGATTGGAAATTCAAATCATCTCACATTTTAGGCAATTAGTAGCCTCATAAGATAACAAATCTGACAGTTTATGGCTCAATCTGTGTCTTGCTGTCTTTAAAGGAAAGGTAGTAAAAACTGAAATTATGGAAAACAGATAAATGCCTAAGTCCTGGGACAGTGCATTTTATAACGATCACATCTGCTGCAAAGTGCCTGAAAAATGGCTCTGGAAGGCTGTCGGTGCCGCAGAGCAGCTCACACAGGGAAGCAGAGCTGGACAGGAGAGGACATGAGATGTGAGCATTTCCCACCGCATATTCACCTTGTGTTGATGAGTGTGACTGTTCCTTTCTCCCGTTTGTTTTTTGTTGCAGCTGTTCGGCGTCTTTCAAAGCACATGAGATTCCTGTCTATCTCCGCCCAGCTTAGGAAGGAAAAAGGAAATGGACAGGCTCAACAGTCAGTGGGGCTGGTGTGTGTGCCAGGGGAAGAGGGAGGTGGAGAGAAGATGTGCAAATCGCAGCAGCTGCTCTGATTTTTGTGGTTATCATTTGCTTTGATATTGGATCCTTGTGGCAACTTTGTCTGCCTGGTAGGTCAGGGGGGCAAATTAGAAATTCAAGCCTAATTGTATGATTTGAAAAGGTAATGATAATCATGAGAAAGAATTAATAATAATCGTTAAATTAAGTATGAACCAGGGACTGTGCTTAGTCCACTATGCAGAATATTTTACTTAATTCTAACAACCCTCAGGGGGAGGTATTAATATAGTAGTATTCCCATTTTCAAGATGAGGAAATCAAGGTTCAGACAGAGCACAGGACACAGTCAAATGAAATCGAGGTGATCGGACTTCATGTGCAGTGGGGCTGATTTGAGTTAGAGCTGTGTTCAATCTAGAGCAACTTTTTCCCAGCCAAGAGAGGGAATGGAGTGATGAGCCTCGCCTCTCTCCTTCCTAGGTGTGCTTTTTTCCACCACCCAGACTCCTGGTCTCTTCTTTTTCACTCCTACCTGCCTAGGTGGCTGTCAAGTCCCTTCTGCTCATTAAACTATGAATAGCTCACAATGCTTGACAGGAGGCTTCTTTCAGGGGTTTTGCATTTTCACCTGGAACCCCACTCTCAAACCAATGAGCTCCAAGGACCACTTCATGGTGTTAAGGGATGGCTGGACAGCTGAGCCTTGTATTAATTTGGGTTCCTCCACAAGCCAACTCTGTATCAGGAATGTATTGGGAGGTGAGGGAGACCCTGGCAAGGGATTGAGGGAGTGGAACAGGAAAGGGAAGGCAGCCATCGAAACTTGCTGTAACCTTTGTGGGCTAATGGAGTTTAATCCCCACTGAGAAACCCTGGTAGACATCTGTTCTTATGAGGAAGCATACACCTCAGAATTATCCTGTTCAAGGGGCCAGGAAACTTGCATATTTATATGCATTCCCCTGGTTGTGGTTGAGGGCTTCTGTGTTGGGGAGTGTTAATTCCCTGCAGCTTCTGGCCTGGCATACAGGCGGCAACATAAGCTTCCATGGCTGGAGAAAGCCTCAGGCAGAGAGAAGCAGGTGGTGGCACTGGGAAATCAGGTCAGAAGTTACTAGCACAGAAAGGGCCAGGGGATATGGGCAGGCATTGGGCTGCTGCTTGACCTGCTGCAAGCTTCCTTGGAGTTCTTAAAACCACAGGCCTTGAAGTTAGGAGTTTCAATCTGAATGGGCATCTCCCTTAGCTTCTAGGGGACACCAACATGTTTTTGCCTTCTAGGCAAAAAGATAGTTAAAAGAACAAAGGGTGATTATTGGACACAACTGGACATGGTGTTCAGTGTGTGTGTGATAGTGATGGTTATGTAACTGTCTTCTAAACTTGAAGGAAATAAAAATGGTACCAGTTGGGGCTGGGCGCGGTGGCTCACTCCTGTAATCCCAGCACTTTGGGAGGCAGAGGCGGGAGGATCACGAGGCCAGGCAATCGAGACCATCCTGGCTAACACGGTGAAACCCCGTCTCTACTAAAAATACAAAAAAAAAAAAAAAATTAGCTGGGCATGGTGGCACATGCCTATAGTCCCACCTATGTGGGAGGCTGAGGCAGGGGAATGTCTTCAACCCGGGAGGCGGAGGTTGCAGTGAGCTGTGATCATGCCACTGCACTTCAGCCTAGACAACAGAGTGAGACTCCGTCTTAAAAAAAAAAAAAAATGGTACCAGTTTTGGGTAATTCGAGTATTTTCTACAGCTTCCTTTTTCTTCTTAAGAAGCTTTGATTTAAAGGCCAGAAGATCCTATTATTGCCTCTAAGTCTTTTATAATACAGTTGAAATTGTCTAGACTGCTCTGCATGACAGTAACCAATTCTAGGTACTCTACTTTTTAAAGCATGCATTTATTTAAGTGACAGTAGTACGGGGTCTCTGTGTTTGATTCTATATGACTACTTTAAATGATAGTTACAGCTTTTTTTATCTAGTCATTTTAATGATTCTTTTGTGAAATAAATGGGTAGCAAGCATTCTCTACACAGAAAACTTTGCAGCCTCTATCTGAATCAAAATGATTTTTTAAAGAAGCAAAATAACTAATTCATTCACTAAACAGCTGTTTTTGGAAAGAGTGGTTATTTGGCTGAATTTAAATGCTACCCTCTTCTGCAAATTACTTGTGTGCGTAGGTGTGTGTATATTTGTATAGTCCAGATAGATATTAGCTATTGTTATCCATTAACAAAAAATAGTCCATTAAGAAAATTTCTAAATAGTGTATCTGTACTGGATATCTGTGAGGATTTGGGGGAGGTTGATCTCTCCAACATTCATTCCTGTTTTATTTTGTTGGAATATCCCCAATATGTGTAGATATTTGTAGCTTGGTCTTTCATCTCCACCTTCTAAGAGGCAGACCAAAGGCATTACCTAGGCTGGGGCAATTGAAAGTTCCAGGTAAGATTTCACAGCTTGAGCCAGCAATACAAAGAGAAAGCTTTGGTGCACATCCCCTATAGGAGCCTCAAGTGAGAGGTGATGGTGGATATACAGTGGTGACGATCACAGAAGTAGTGTTTAGCCATAATGGTGTTCTGGTGATTTTGTTTCCTGTTTCTTGTCCCTCTGGAGTTGCCTCTATATATTCACTGAAATAACAATTGAGGAATTGCTCTGAATCAGTTACTATTTAATATTTCAGATGCGTGGGATACAGAAGTAAACAAAACTGATCTAGTTCCTGGAATCATTCCTAAAAATAATAAAAAATCCCTCTCTTTGCACCTAGGACTTTGCAAAGTGATGTTACAGGGTCTCCCAACAAGAGGCAGAATCTAATTTTCTTTTAACCCTTTTGGAGTTGAATTTGGGTTGGCTAATGGAACTGTCACAAATGTGACACACTCAGAGGTACGAAGGGTAATTGCTTACTGCAACCCTGATGTGCCAGGAACGCTGAGCACCATACGAACAAGCCTAAGCAGGCTGGCTAGAGGATAAGGGGTCACATAGAAAAAAATTCAACAGCCCAGCCAAGGGTCAGTCTGCTCTCTGCTGACCCCATTGATAAATTCAGATGAATAAGCTTCAGTCAAGATCAACCAAGCCTGCCCCAGACCAGAGGGACCACCCAGCTATGGGCAGCTCTAATTGCCAAACTATAGAATTATGAACTATAAGGGCTGGGCATGGTGGCTCATGCCTGTAATCCCAGCACTTTGGGAGCCCGACGCAGGTGGATCACCTGAGGTCAGGAGTTCAAGACCAAGATGACCAACGTGGAGAAACCCTGTCTCTACTAAAAATAAAAAAAATTAGCCGGGTGTGGTGGTGCATGCCTGTAATCTCGGCTACTTGGGAGGCTGAGACAGGAGAATCACTTGAATCTGGGAAACGGAGGTTGTGGTGAGCCGAGATCACGCCATTGCACTCCAGCCTGGGCAACAAGAGCAAAAGTCCACCTCAAAAAAAAAAAAAAAAAAAAAGAATTATGAACTATATAAATTGTTGCTGTTTTTAGACACTAGGTTTTGAAATGATTTATTACTCAGCAAGGGTCTAGTGGGTGGGTAGACTAATATATATATATATATATATATATATATATATATCTATATATATATCTTACATATATATAAATCTAAGCTGATGAAAACTGCTATAAACATTTAAGACGAGAAAGGAAAAAGAGCAATCAGGAAAGCTTTTTCTTGAAAACATACTTGAGCCTGTGGATGCCTCCAGAACAGCTATTTCAGAGAGGGGAGGCAGTAAATACAAATATTTTGAGGCAGGAGCATGCTTGGTATATTCAGGGGAAGATGAGCAGGCCAGATGTGAACTAAGAGAAAGCCAGAGAGTGGGGAGGGAAATGCAGTGAGACAGTGATACGGTTTGGCTCAGTGTCCCCACTATAGTCTCATCTTGAATCATAATCTCCATGTGTCAAGGGAGGGACCTGTGATCTCCACGTGTTGAAGGAGGGAGGTGATTGGATCATGGGGCCATTTCCTCTGTGCTGTTCTCATGACAGTGAGTGAGTTCTCAGGAGATCTGATGGTTTCATAAAGGCCTCTTTCCTCTTCACTTTCTCTTCTCTCTCCTGCTGGCTTGTGAAGAAGGTGCCTGTTTCTTCTTCCGCCATGATCGTAAGTTTCCTGAGGCCTCCCCAGACATGTGGAACTGTGAGTCAATTAAACTTCTTTCCTTTATAAATTACCCAGTATTGGGCAGTTCTTTAAAGCAGTGTGAAAGTGGAAAAATACAGAGAAGTAGACAGGGACCAGTAATTACTGCAGAAGATGGAACATCGAATGCATGTTTTCAGAATAAAAGTGTGTGCTGAGACACATCGAGTGCCTGAGCACCACCTGTGCTTGGCCAGACCAATGGGAGAAAATGATCCAGGAAGTCAAAATGAGCAGGTTCAGCCATCTGGAAGGGTGTGAACGTGGTATGGGGGTGATGAGGGGAGGCAATGAAGCAACTGAAAAAAGAACAATTAAAAAATATGATGGACAAATAAATTTATGTATATTCTACTAGCTCTTTGCTTCCCATGTACAAATCAACAACTTTGCAGATATTTTTCTTCCAGGAAACCTTAAAATCACATATTAGGTGTCCCTTGTTGACATGCTTTTACATGCCTTTCCTCACCTCTTATGTAGTGATTAGTGTGTAACTAGGGAAATTATTTTTGATTTTAGGCCAGGCATAAAGTAATTAGGAAGATAAATCTGTTACATGAAAGAATCAATCCTTTTACTCATTCCACAGTCAAATTGAATTTTTTTAATCCAAGTCATTGCACTCTATGAGAGATTATACTGAGTTTTCTGCATTATTTTCAAGTTACAAATTATAAACAGGAAAAATTAGTACAGTATACACAATAGTGAGTTTACATATGGCAGAAATTCAGTTCTGCATGGTTAGCCTCATTCATCAAAGAACACTTCAAGCATGAATCTAGACACCATATAGTTTTGTGACAGTAATTTACTAAGGAATATCCTGGTATTCTAAGAGGGTTGAACCACCTTGACCATTCCCCAGGAGTATAAGACGTTCAGAACCGTGTGGCAAGTGAGGGCCAGGGACTGTGTACAAAATGATTTCAAGAGTCAGATCTGGTAATGTGTTTCCAAGTACGGTGGCAAGGCAGAAAAGACCCAGAATAGTTACCTGAAATTAAATGTTAGAGCCACAAGATTGAGGCTCTCTGAAAAAACCAAAATGGGCAAACAAATAGTGGGTTGTAGGGTAGTCTGAGGATAATGGAGGTCATTAAATAGGTCCCTGTGTGTGTTTCACTTGATGCCTAGGGAAATAATATCTAAAGAAGGAGTTAGAGGGCATATAGGTGACCAGGGATGCTTTTTTAGGGAAGAAAATGTAAATGTGGGTACAGATGAGCTGGGGTCTTTCCTATTGCCTGAGGATGATTCAATGAGAAGACCTAGTATAGAGAGTGAGTGGAGAACATCCAGCCTCGTTGTCCTCAGTGGAGAGAAGGATTGAGACAGCTTCTGGCAGATGGGATAGCTGTGGACACATTGTAATTGTGCCCCAGATGCTGTAGGTCTGCGGTCGTGCACTTGGTTTCAGCTTGCATGGGCTCTAGAGACAGTGCTGTCCAACAGAGCTTTCAGAGATGATGGAAATGTTCCATATCTGCATTGTCCATTAGAGTAGCCACATGTGACTCCTGAGTATTTGAAATGTGGTGTATGTGACTGAAGAGTTGAATTTTGAATTTTATTTTAATTAATTTGAATTTAATTTATTTTAATTCATTAAAATAACAATTCAAATTTGAATAGCCACATGTATTTAATGGCTAACAGCCCTATTGGCCAGCACCACTCTAGAACATTTGCTTTTTAGGGCCTCTGCCCCTGATCTGGTGATGGGGATTTTATGGGAGTTCAGGGCCTCCATAAAAGCTGACTGTCTGCTTTGGTCTCTTTAAGACCTGGAATAAAGCCTAGTGCAGCGTAGATGCTCAGTAAACATTTTTTGAATACATTAATTAATTAATTGAGAGAAGGGCAATCAATCACATATAACACTCCAAGATCCATATTTATTTCCAAAGTTTTACCAAATTGTCATCATCTTGGTAATGGGTCCTTGGTCAGAGTGATCTATACCAAAGCTTGCCTTTGAAAGCTTCTTGCTAAGGACAGGACCATGACAGTGAATCTCCATCCTGGCTGGCTTCAAATGATTCTCCCAACTCAGGCTTAGTCGTTACATATTTTTAAAGGTGCATATTGTTTGCAACATTTGTGGAAAATTATATTGAAAGACTAAGTTAACACATTGTAAATTCTCTCACCCTACAGAGTACCAGGATCTAGTTTTTTACCATGTGAAAATGCCATAATAATTGCCATTGATTATGTGCCAAGCACAAAACTAGACACTTTGTAAGTAGCACTTCCAGTCATTATGACAATCCTGTAAATAAAAATTTCCATCTCCCTATTACTGATGAGGAAAATAAGGCTCAGAGATATTTAGTTTACTTGTCCAAGGTTACACACCTTCCAAGTAGTTGAGCTCTGTGTGCCTTCAAAATCCATGCACCTTTCAGTGTATCCCCTTGACTTAAAACACTGTTATTGCATCCTTCAAGGGACCCAAGAGCCTAGGAATGTAGAAAAGAACTAAAGTTCACTGCAAATTGCTTGTTTTAGGAATATGTAACTAAAGAAACAAACAACCTATTATCTTAACAGGCTTCTTTTTGCCTGGGCCCAAATATAATTATGCATACTATAGAAACGATAGCCACCTAAAGCATAGTACTGCCCAGTGGAAGAAGGTGGTATTTATCCTAGATGACGAATTACCCCCTTAGATAATAAATCTGAGAGAGCTTTGTGAAGGATGACTTAGAAGAAAGACAAGAGTTTCCATTGGGAAGCTAGAGAGCAGTGTAGAAAATTATTGTGGTAAGTTTATTTATGTTACCATTTTGGGCTTTTATGAGAAATCCTAAAAGCCACATCTCTGGAGCTGGAAACTTGGCAGAAAGACAAAATAAAGTGTCCCATTTCTATCCAAGGAGTTACTAACATGATGGCCACGGGAGTCATTCTCTTTCCAGAAATGATTGAGCCAAATGTATTGTGATTAGAAGAGAGAAACAAACCTAGAATCCAGTCAAGATGACTCTCTTGTCTCTCATTTGCTGCCAACTTGCAGCACCTGCTGGGAAGCCCAATGCTTTGCCTCATTTTCATCAGGGCTTGGCTAATAGACCAGCAAGCTATGCAAAGTCAAGCTCTGAATGGCCTTGTTTGAGAAGAATTGAAGACAGGAAAGAAGAAATCTTCAGGTCACGGATTCTATTCTTCCTTTTATATGATCTAGGAAGCAAGTCCAGAGGGGGTAGAATGACTTGTTAAAGGACCTCACGTCAATCTCCAGCATCCAAGTCCAATGCTCGAACAACACCACTCTTCACAGTGAATCTGACCATGACTCTTGCTCCCCATTGCCTTCGTCCTCTCACCCTGGCCATAATTTGTGTTATATTCTTTACTTTTCCCAATACCTTTCTACAGGCATAATTGTTCCTGAATTCCAGTGCTGAGAAAGTGCTTGCCTGCTATTTGGCATCGTCACTGTCATCTTCCTAATCACTACCAACAACTAGCACCTAGCAGATCGCAGTTATTTAGAGACTACAACTGTGTGATGTGCCTGCTGAGATATATTGATAACTCATTTGAAGTAAGCATATGCCGTAGATCTCTAAGAAGCTTCTAGTAGAGAGGGGTAGGAACTATACAATTACAGATGCCCTAACATAGTTATAATGGTTGTTGTAGCTAGTAGTTATTGAGCGTTTACTAGGTACTATATCTAATGTTAAACAATCTGCATGTATGGTCTCCCTTAATTCTCAAATTCTACCTACGAGGTGGCAACTGGTATTATCTGCTTTTTCTGAATAAGGAAACTGAAATGGAGAGAGCTTAATAATTTGTCCAAAGTCATGCTCTGCTGACTCTTAAAGATGAAGTTTTTCCATTACCGCATTCAGGGAGTTGTGTGCCAAGCACAGGAATTCTTTTGCACTTGAAGCTCCCCAGTAATATGAGACTCCCTGCCCTTTCCCCCACATCTCTCCAGAGATGGAACCTTGTGCTAGAGTAAGAAGTCCAAAGTCTATGTTCCTGCCTGGGCCTGAGGGAGTCACTCAGTGGGCCTCCCCTCCCTCCCAAGGCCTCTCCTGACTGTCCCCCAACCCCAAGGAAGCATGTTAATGCATGAATACAGGTCCAGAATGATACATGGGTGGATAGCCATCACCTACCTGGAATGCCAGGGGCTTCAGGGTAGTTATCATGGTCAAAACTATTAGCTCATCATGTCCATAACTGTGCCTTAAATTCTGTCATTAGCTTTACGTCACAAGTTAAGATCTGCTATTTGTAAATACCCTCTTAAAAATGCCAGGATAAGTTCTTAACTCAGAAACCAGCAGGGTCTTAAAAGATCACTTACTGTTTGACATTTGAAGTGCACTTTTCCACAGAAGCCATGTTAAAAACACTGGTTAGATTTCTACACTGGCCCACAAATCCTTTGCTTTTTAGCCCTAATGTACCTGTCATTTGCTACTAGTAGTACTGTGGTACTATTTCAACTCTATCTAACTATGTCTGAAAATTGTTTCAATGGGAAAATGCAACAAGTTTCAACTCAAGATACTAGACACACAACCTTTCCTTTTACTAGTGGGACTGAGAACTGATTGCCTGGTCTTCCCTAAGAGTGATAATAGGCATCCCTTGCCCTGGCCCAGATCATTGGCCCTGGAGTTTCCTGTCTTGGCACAGGTACCAAGCAGAACATGCTGGAGGCTGCTGTGCGTGGAGTTATGGGAATAATCAGAGAGGTGATGTTTTCGGGAAAACTGAACCTAAAGCCAGTCACATTACATAATTAGCAAACCTCATATTATATAATCTGGCAAAACTTAATAAAATTAAATAACAAATATACCTCCCACTTGACCCAGTAGTGCCTGCAGAAATCTAGCCTCAGAAACAAAATAATCTGTATATAAGGAGATACGCACACATGTGCGCACACACACATACACTGTGGTTCTATTTTTTAGTAGCAAAATCTGGAAAACAACATAAGTGTCTATCAACAGGCAAATAAATTATGGTACATATTTAACATGGAATATTATGTACCTATTTAAAATTCTAGTTAGAACTACATCTGTTAGCTTGGAGGATGTCCATGAGGTATTGTCAAAAAGGAAAATAAATCTATAGGATAATATGCATATTAAAAGTCAGATTTTGTAAAATGGGATCAAGAGCAGCTGAAAGCAAATAAACAAAAAAAAATCTGCCCTCTCTATGTGTCTGTGATGTATGGTTGCCATGAGAGTGGAGAACCATTTGGAATAACTTATACCAGGGGGTCAACTCTGGCAGCCTCAAGAAAGTAGGGGCAGGCGGTTTATATACTACACTCTGTGCCATTTTAGTTTGATTTATTTTGGAAGCACTATTGCTTTTGTAAGGCTTAACGTTTTTCTTTTTATTTTTTATTATTTTTTTTTGAGATGGAGTCTTGCTCTGTCACCCAGGCTGGAGTGCAGTGGTGCATCTTGGCTCACTGCAAGCTCCACCTCCCAGGTTCACGCCATTCTCCTGCCTCAGCCTCCCAAGTAGCTGGTAGCTGGGACTACAGGCGCCCGCCACCATGCCTGGCTAATTTTTTCTATTTTTTTTTTTTAGTAGAGACGGGGTTTCACCGTGTTAGCCAGGGTGGGCTCGATCTCCTGACCTCGTGATCCGCCCGCCTCGGCCTCCCAAAGTGCTGGGATTACAGGTGTAAGCCACTGCGCCCGGTCATAACTTTTTTTCTTAAAAAGTTGAAATTAATGCCGGGCATGGTGGCTTATGCCTATAATCCCAGCACTTTGAGAGGCTGAGGCAGGCAGATCACCTGAGGTCAGGAGTTCGAGACCAGCCTGGCCAACATGGTAAAACCCTGTTTCTACAAAAAATACAAAAATTAGCTGGGCGTGTTAGTGGGTGCCTGTAATCCCAGTTACTTGGGAGGCTGAGGCAGGAGAATCGCTTGAACCCAGGAGGTGGAGGTTGCAGTGAGCCGAGATCACGCCATTGCACTCCAGCCTGGGCAACAAGAGCGGAACTCCAAAAAAAAAAAAAAAGAAGAAGTTGAAATAAAAAAAAAAGAGGTTGAAATTTGAAAACACAAAATGAAAGGTGAAAGAAAGTACTGAAAACATTCCAAGCAAGGCTGTTGCAATGTTTCATAGGCTGTGCCTTGGGCATGATTCGGAGGAAACAGTTGGGGTTCCATACCTGGCCTAGGTAGTAGCAGTGGTGGTCCTGGGGTGGATGTGATGGAGATAATAGTAATTCTTAGAGAAGCAGGAGCTCCAAACATACTTCTAAAAGCAGAGGAGTGGGAATGAAATGGGGGAAAGTAAAACATTCCTGAAGAACGATAGTTCTCCACCATATATATTCCTACAGGCAGAAAAATAATCTTATTTTGTGTCCATAGCTCCTGGCATCATACCTAAATCAGATATTGTCAGGATGCTCTGATCTGGGAGAAAAAAAACAACTTCACCCTCCCCCCACCCCAAAACACACACACACACACACACACACACACACACACACACACACACACACAAAATGGTGAGATAGGCAGGTGTCTGGGAGTGCTAGAAGATTTTATTTTTATATGTAAAGCATTGATAAGATAGACAGAGGATCTTAGCTAGGGATGACTCCTTGGAAGAGAGAGTTCAGTAAGTCATTTATACCTTAAATAAGAATGAGCTCATCAGGATATTCTTCTATATTCCTTGCCCAGGATTTGGCAGAGTGACAAAGAAACATGCCAAATAGAGACTGAATAATAGTTCTGCTAGATGACTTATGTCTTGCAGAACAAACATTTCCCAGATCTGTTAGAGTATCAAAGCATCATCTTCCCTTTTCAATATTTTGACAACATAAAAATCATCATCATCATCATCATCATCAATATCATCATCATCATTTTCATCATGACCACTAAGGTGAATTGAGTGCTTGTGTTCCAGGCACTCTGCTAAAAGCTTTATATCCACTATCTCATTTTATGTGTATAACATCCCTATGAGGTAAGGCTCTATTATTATCTTTAATTTACACATAGGGAAATTGAGCCAGGATTCAGACGCACTTTATTTGATTCAATACCCATACTCTTAATAAACTTGGGAGGCAGTTGCTACAACATACTTGTTAGGGCTCAAACCAGCTCCCTGAAATCAAACTTCCATGAGTGTAAAGTGACATATGTGGGTTCCCCAGAAATCAATTTCATTAGTCTGTGATGACATATCCCCAGATTGGAAACAGCCCTCATGAAAAGCTGCTGAGGATTTAGCCGATCATGAGCCTGACCTGAGCCAAGAGTGTGATGTAGCTATTAAAACAACAATCTGACACTGATTCAATAGAAGTACAGGGTTGTAATGTTATTAAGTAACAGGTCTGTCATACTCTATTGTTCAAAAACAAAATATCAGGAATATTTTTTCTTGTGGACAATACATTTTAAAAATAAGCATGTATGAACAACAGTGTGTCGGGAGAAGCATGACAAAGAATTTTCAAGGTACTCAGTGGTACTTACTCTAGGCCAGGCACCTGCTGAGTGCTTTACATGCATTGTCTAATTTAATTTTCACAATGCCTCTAGAAGGTGTGTACTCTGTTTTTCACAAAAGAGAAAATGAGGATTAGGGTACTTAAGAAATGTGTCCTAGGTTGAACAATTGATAAATGCAGAGCTGGGATTTCATACCAGGCTTGCCTGAAACCAGAGCCTAGGGCACTGTCTCTAGCCAGGACCCAAAAAATTGTGACCTGCATGCAACTATGCAGCAAGTTTAGGATGAGCTCAGAGAAAATAAGACTTTGGGGAAAAACCCACTGGTTGTCTTTGGTATCTGGGTAAATGTATAACATAGATATGTTTTATTTAGTCCACATTGTAGTTACTGTTTTTTCTTTTTAAAGAGAACTTTACACAATGATTCTTATTCCTACTTTGCTTAAAAAATTTTGTAGGCAATACCAGACCCTCATTTTTAGCCTTGAGAGCTGCAGAGCATCTTCCCCAATCAAAGGGCATAGATTTGCCAGTTTATTATAGTGCCCACAATGCCTTACAAAATCTTTCACCTAATTCTTTTAAGCCACCCATCTGGCTCCAGGGGGAAAGAGGGAAAACTGTGTTCTGTTGAGCTCCAGCGAGTAGAAGGGAGGCCAATTCCTTTCAGCAGAGAAGCCCTTTCTATAAGGTAGTTCAAGTTAATGGTTTAGACCAAAAACTTCATGAGATTGTGAGGTTCCCATCTGTGGAAATAATCACATGGGGTTTCGACATGTCAGAGATTCTGTGTCAGGTTAAGATACTGGAATAGATGAACTCCATGATCTCACCATTCTGGCTCTCATATAATAGGTCCTTAATATCTGTTTTTAGGTTTCAAAGTCCCCGCTGGAACATTTTCTTGCAGGGATATTTTCTTTCAAGAAAATAATACCTGCAGAATGGGAAAGAAAATTGGTGCTGTTTGCATGTTCTTTACCATGCAGGTATTATCGTCTTAATAAGAAAAGATAAGCTAGAAAGAGCAGATGATTATAGTCAGGTATTTCACTCAGTCAGGATTTTTTCTGCCTATGAGTAGTTGAATGTTGTTTTCTGCCAGTTAATTTTCCTATAAGCTATTGCAAGATTCTTGCTAGTGGACAAATAACATTTGAATTCCTAGGGAAAAGGGGCTTCTTTAACAGATCTAATACTGGCAATTTTGAAGGATGAAGAGAGATACTTTTTAAGTGAGCTCATCAAATAAAAAAGACTGTTGTTGGGACAATAGATAACTTTTTTGCTTATAAAATTTCGATAAATACATGTGATAATGGTTTGAAATAGTGACATGTAATATATTTTTAGTTATGTAACTAAATGTAAACTTTAAATTTGTAATTTTAGTTACTTGTGTGGACAGACAAAATGGAACATGTGTATGATAAAAATAACACTTCACATTTTTATTGTACTTTCCAAAGCCCTATCCTACCATTGAATTTAATTTATGCAACAATTTTGTGTGATGTTTTCTCAGTTAACACATATGATATTTCAGTGTAATTGTGTCATAGCCCTTAAGTTTTGGTAGGAGTGGCAAACCCCAATGCCTGTAGGGGTAAGGCAGGTAATGTAATGAGCAAAACAGAGGCACATGTAAGAAACAACAACGCAAGGACATTGATAAAACACATTTGGCCTCAGTGTTGGGGAGAACAGTGTGATGGATCAGTCTGTGCTTAACACAGTCACTCAGCATATATTTCCATATTCTTCTACGTACGTTTCTGGACTACAGCTAGTGTCCTACAGGTGAATTAGGCTCTGTGAATTAGATGCCTTTGTGTGTGATTTGGACGGCTAGATTGGGGGCTTCTTTCTCCCGCTGTTTTACTTGGCAAATAAGGTTGCAGGTTGTAGAGAGGCAGCTGTAGCCAGAGTACTGGCCTTCTGATCTCAGGATCGCTGACACAATCAGCATTCAGAATCGCTGATATAATCAGCATTCAGAATCGCTGCGTTCTTGAAGAGCTAGAAATCAAGATGTGAAATAAATTGTGAATAAATGTGAAATAAATTGATTTTTAAAATATACTTAATACTTGATTTTTTAAATATACTTACTGTGAACTACATTGGTTTCTTAAAATATACTTTTCAGGAATACTTTTAGATTTACTTGAAGGTTATGAAGATAGTACAGAGAGTTCCCATCTTTTCCACACCAATTTCCTCTATTATTAGTACCTTAAACTCGTATGGTACAAGCTGAGTATCCCTTGCGGAATCGGAAGTGTTTTGGATTTTGAATTGTTTTGGATTTTTGCATTATACTTAGTGGTTGAGCGTCGCTAATTGAAAAATCCAGAATACCAAATGCTTCTCTGAACATTTTCTTTGAGAATCATATCAGTGCTCAAAACATTTCAAATTTTGGAGCACTTCAGATTTTGGGTTTTCTAATTGGGGATGATCAACCTGCATATTTGTTAAAATTATTGCACTAATATTGATACACCATTATTAATGAATATCCATACTTCGTATGGATTTCTTCGGTTTTTACTTTACATCCTTTTTTGACCCAAGATCCCACTGAAGATATAACATTAGATTTAGTTGCCATGTCTCTTTAGGTTCCTCTTGGCTGTGAAAGTTTCTGAGACTCCTTGTTTTTGGTGACCTTGATAGTTTTACAAAATACTGAGAAGGTATTTTGTAGAGGTCCCCTCAATAGGGGTTTGTCTGATGTTTTTCTCATAATTAGACTGGGATTATAGGTTTTTGGAAAGAAGAATTGTCATGCCAGACCCCTAATGATGCCAGTAGGGATGGCACTGTGTCTGCAGGTCTAAGAGGAGACCCAGAGCCAGCAAAGGAGACATAGGGTTTATGGAGGACTTACATACAGCGACTGTGGGCTGGACAGGAGAAGCACTATCATTTGTAAAAAGCATGCAGTTTAAATAGCATTTTTTACTTAGCACTGTCCCTCTAGAAACCTCCATTTAACTCAAAACAGGGTTCTCAATTCCCTGAATAGCTGCATAACAAGGAATGGGTCAGGTGTTCTGATGTCCTTCTTAAATAAGGAGTAAACCTCTGGGTTGGCCACTCCTGGATTCCTTAGTTTGGAATTCTGAGCCAACATTCTTCTTAGACCACAGTGTCATGCTTGGGGTATGCTTAAGTTATTGCTGACAGGTGAGGATACATCTGTCATATAAGAGCACAGAGGCAAAGTGCCATTCTCATCACATCATATCAAGGGTACATATTATAAATATGACTGATTATACTAACCTTGATGACCTGGCTGAGGTAGTGTCTGTCTGCTGTCTCCACTGTAAAGTTACTCTTTCACCCCCTCTCCATACTGTACTCTTTAGAATAAAGTCACTATGCACAGCCTCCTTGGGAGTTGATATGGTTTGGCTGTGTCCCCACCTAAAATCTCATCTTGAATTGTAATCCCCATAATCCCTATAATCCCTACGTGTCAAGGGCGGGACCAGGTGGAGGTAATTGAATCATGGGGGTGGTTTCCCCCATACTGTTCTCATGATGGTGAGTGAGTTTCATGAGATCTGTTGGTTTTATGAGTGTCTGTCATTTCCCCTGCTTGCACTCATTCTCCCTCCTGCTGCCCTGTGAGGAGATGCCATTCACCATGATTGTAAGCTTCCTGAGGCCTTCCAAGCCATGAGGAACAATAAGTCAATTAAACCTTTTCTTTATAAATTACCCAGTCTTTGGTATTTCCTTATAACAATGTGAGAACGAACTAATACAGTAAATTGGTACCAAGGTAGTGGGGTATTGCTATAAGATACCTGAGAATGTGGAAGCAACTTTGGAACCAGGTAATGGGCAGAGGTTGGAACAGTTTGGTAGGGCTTAGAAGAACACAAGAAAATGTGGGAAAGTTTGGAATTATCTAGGGACTTATTGAATGGCTTGGACCAAAATGTTGATCATGATATAGATAATAAAGTTCAGGCTGAGGTGGTCTCAGATGGAGATGAGGAACTTTTTGGGAACTGGAGTAAAGGTGACTCTTGCTATGCTTTAGCAAAGATACTGGAAGCATTTTGCCCCTGCCCTAGAGATCTGCGGAACTTTGAACATAAGAGAGATAATTTGGGGTATCTGGCAGAAGAAATTTCTAAGCATCAAAGTATTCAAGAGGAAGCTTGTTAGGAAGCTTCAAATGTTTGGAAAATCTGCTGCTTGACAATAGAATAAAAAAGAAAAACCCATTTTCTGGGGAGAAATTCAAGTTGCTGCAGAAATTTGCATAAGTAACAAGGAGCCAAATGTTAATCACCAAGACAATGGGGAAAATGTCTCCAGGGCATGTCAGAAGTCTTCACAGCAGCCCCTTTCATCATGGGTCTGGAAGCCTAAGAGGGAAAAATGGTTTGTGGGCTGGGCCTGGGGCTACCTCTCCCCCTGCCAACCCCCCCACCCCCCAACTTCTCTGTGCAGTCTTGGGACGTGGTACCCTGCATCCCAGCTGCTTGTTTCAGCCTTGGCTAAAAAGGGTCAAGGAGGGGCCGGGCACGGTGGCTCACGCCTGTGATCCCAGCACTTTGGGAGGCTGAGGCGGGTGATCACGAGGTCAAGAGATCGAGACCATCCTGGCCAACACGGTGAAACCCCGTCTCTACTAAAAATACAAGAATTAGCTGGGCGTGGTGGCGCATGCCTGTAGTCCTAGCTCCTCGGGAGACTGAGGCAGGAGAATCGCTTGAACCTGGGAGGCGGAGGTTGCAATGAGCTGAAATCACACCCCTGCACTCCAGCCTGGGTGACAGAGGGAGACTCCATCTCAAAAAAAATAATAAATAAAATAAAAAATAAAAAGGCCCAAGGTTCAGCTTGGGCCATTACTTCAGAGGGTACAAGCCCCAAGCCTTGGTGGCTTCCACATGGTGTTGAGCCTGTGAATGCACAGAAATCAAGAATCAGGGTTTGGAAACCTCTGACTAGATTTCAGATGATGTATGGAAATACCTGGATGTCCAGGCAGAAGTTTGCTGCAGGGGCAAAGTCCTCACAGACAACCTCTGCTGGGAAAGTGCAGAAGGGAAATGTGGAGTCAGACACAGTGGGGACAGAGTCCCCACTGGGGCACCACCTAGTGGAGCTATGAGAAGAGGGCCACCACCCTCCAGACCCCATAATGGTAGATCTACTGACAGCTTGCACTGTGAGCCTGGAAAAGCCACAGACACTCAATGAAGAGCAGCCAGGAGGGGAGTTTTACCCGTCAAAGCCACAAAGGCAGAGCTGCCCAAGGCTATGGGAGCCCACTTCTTGCATCAGTGTGACCTGAATGTGAGCCATTGAGTCAAAGGAGATTATTTTGGAACTTTAAGGTTTAATCACTGCCTTGTTGGATTTGAGACTTGCATGGGGCCTGTAGCCCCTTTGTTTTGGCCAATTTCTCCCATTTCGAATGGACCTATTTACCCAATGCCTGTACCCTCATTGTATCTAGGAAGTAACTAATTTGCTTGTGATTTTACAGGCTTTTAAGCAGAAGGGACTTGCCTTGTCTCAGACGAGACTTTGAACTTGGACTTTTGGGTTAATGCTGGAATGCTTTAAGATTTTGGGGCTGGTGGCATAATTGTGTTTTGAAATGTAAGGACATGAGATTTGCAGGGGAACCAGGGGTGGAATGATATGGTTTGGCTGTGCCCCACCCAAAATCTCATCTTGAATTATAATCCCCATAATCCCCACGTGTCAAGGGTGGGACCAGGTGGAGGTAATGGAATCACAGGGGTGGTTTCCTCCATGCTTTTCTTGTGATAGTGAGTGAGTCTCACAAGATCTGATGATGGTTTTATAACCATCTGGCATTTCCCTTGCTTGCAGTCATTCTCTCTCCTGTTACCCTGTGAAGAGATGCCTTCTGCTATGATTGTAAATTTCCTGAGGCCTCCCAGCCATGCAGAACAGTGAGTCAATTAAACCTCTTTCCTTTATAAATTACCCAGTCTCCAGTATTTTCTTTTTTCTTTTACTTTTAGATGGAGTCTTGCTTTGTCACCCAGTCTGGAGTGCAGTGGTGTGATCTTGGCTCATGCAACCTCTGCTTCCCAGGTTTAATCAATTATCCTGCCTCAACTTCCCAAGTAGCTGGGATTACAGGCATGCGCCACCATCCCTGGCTAATTTTTGTATGTTTAGTAGAGATGGGGTTTCACCATGTTGGCCAAGCTGGTCTCAAACTCCAGACCTCAAACAATCCACCCGCCTCAGCCTTACAGACATAAGCCACTGTGCCTGACCTGTCTCAGGTATTTTCTTATAGCAATGTGAGAATGAACTGATACAGGAGTGAAGTAGCTACATAATTTATGTGGAATTCTTCTTTTTGAGATACTTTTCTCCCATTTATTAGTTTATTCAATAATTTCTTTACGTAAGTATGAATGCATGGATATTTATATTTTGAGTTACAATTCAATATTATGTTATTTCCTTTGTTGCTCAAATTGTTGACAATATTGGCCATTGGGAGCTCTTTCAGTTGGCTCCCATGTTCCTCTGTCATCCCCCCACCATTCTGCAAGTTTTTTTGGCTTTGGGGTTTTTTTTGGAGTACTTCCTTACTTTCTAGTACTATAAGATGCTTCAGACTTATCTTGTATATTCCCTGCCTCAAGTCTAGAATCAGCCATTTATCAGTTGATTCTTAAATCTTGCCTTAAAAGAAAAATGTTTTTTTTTCTCTTTTTTTTTTTGAAACAAAGGGCAGAACAAACAAAGCACATCTGTGAGCTAGATCAAGGCTGTGAACCACCAGTTGGTGACTATGGCTAGTGGATTCCATTCCAAACACTGTAGTATCACTCTTTTGTGTCTATTGTTAGCTTATGAGTGCTCTCACCTCACAGCTCATATCAAATTTGCTCTCATTCTCTTCATTCACACAGGTAGAGATGACTGTTCATGGTTCTTTTATTTTAAAAGTGGTCAAGTATTAAGATAAATCAATCACTTAGAAGGCATGGTAGTGAATTCAGGTGAAATACAGTGATCCTGTACACTCTCTTTCCCAAAAAAGGACAGTCTATTTGAGACAGAAAGGATGGATAAAATAAGACTCTACTCACAAAAAAAGCCAAAATGTAGTAAGTGCCACAAGTTGGCAATGTACACATATGAAATCAGGACAGCATAGAATAAGAGAAAGCAGTGGAGACTCTGAGGACCCGAGACGGACCATGAATTAATAGATCATGATTGATTGCTCTCTCATGATTGGTGGCTTCTGTGGAGAGCAAGAGAGCGCCAGCATTGTGTAGGTGGGCTGACCACCACTCAGCTCTAGATGATTGTTATCACACAGAAAAGAGGGCCTTGTGTTGTCCAGTCTTCTGATTTTCAACAGAAAACTGAAGGTTTTCTAAAATCACTCCATTTTTAATTACTGACAGCATATTCCTTCCCTCTCCCTCTCAAAAAACACTAAAACGATTTGAAATTTAACCTCTTTGGGGCCACCAGTTTGAGACCACTGCAGGGAGGATATTGCTGATGTGCTTTCATAGAATTTCAGGCATCAGGCAGGTTCTGGAGGCCTTTTTTAGACTCAGCGTTCTCCGTTTTTAGACCCTAGGTCTAAAAAAGTTGCTCCTGTGTGAGCAACTGCTCCTTCCCTGAGTGGAATGCTGACTCCAGCCCATTCTCCTAGTACTTTGTCAATACCACTACTGGGAAAAGCTGAAACAACAGGACTTAAACAAGAACTTTGCCACAAGATGTGCTGCTTTCTTCTGTTTCTTGCATTTAGAAAAATTTGCTGAAAACATTCTCAACCGTCACAGGCTAGCTGAGGTGCTATGAGACTCAAGGTTTCAGTGACATAATCGTCATTACTAACACAGCAAAGTGAGCACTTAGAAAATGGTTGACTTTGGCTGGGTGCGGTGGCTCACGCCTATAATCCCAGCACTTTGGGAGGCCGAGGCATGTGGATCACCTGAGGTCAGGGGTTCAAGACCAGCCTGGCCAACATGGTGGAACCCTGTCTCTACTAAAAATACAAAAATTAGCCAGGTGGGGTGGCAGGCGCCTGGAATCCCAGCTACCTGGGAGGCTGAGGCAGGAGAATTGCTGAATCTGGGAGGTGGAGGTTGCGGTGAGCTGAGATCGTGCCACTGCAATCCAGCCTGGGTGACAGAATGAGACTCCGTTTCAAAAAAAAAAGAAATAAAAAAGAAAAGAAAATGATCGACTTTATAAGCTTAGTAAATAGAGGCTCAGGGCACAGAACAATTCTCCTTTGCTGATGGATCCAGTGCCTGGGAGCCAGTCCCCCACCAGGCTTGCGTTCCAGCGTCCTCAGCTATGCGTCCCTCCGGAGGCTGAGTCAGGACTGGGAAGTCTCTTATTGGCACAAAGGAAGCCATGCTGAGAAGCTCCGCTGGCTGAGTAATTGTGCTTCCCTCTGCCTCTCTCACCCATGCTGCAAGAGCCTAATGAGCAGCCTGGCTGGAGGACCCCCCTAGAAGCCACCTGCCCTGCTGTCTCAAGATTAATGGAATCAAGTGAGGCAGCAAAAATGCCATGACAGAACCTTATGCTGCCAATCCTCTCGGTGTTATTTAACTAAAGAAACCGTAAACAAAAACGAAGAAGAAGAAAACAGCTGGTGGTATAATCCTGCTCTATTCTTCATGAGAAAGAGAAAGGGGAAGAGAGTTCTGATTTTCATATCTGAGAGGTTTCTCTTGGCTGAAACTTCTAGGGAAGCTTCTACATATGCATAGTTGTAACTCCAACTTTATTGTGAAATGTTAGAGCTGGGATTCAGCTGTAGCCCCTCCCTCTCGAAGGTGGCCTTTTGTGACCTCCAGAGCTCTACTTCAAACAACTCAATTTCAGGGATTTCATAGCTCTTTATAAACCAAGCAGTGAGTAGTAGCACATTCTATTCCTCCTGATTCAAGAGAAGAGAAATCAAGGCACTGAATAAACACAGGCCGTTTGGTGTGGTCAGGGCCTAAAAGTACAGAAGCAGAGTCTGACATTTGAGTTATATCCATTGGCAAACAATACTCACTATTTCTTGACAAATTTCAGGTTTTGCTCTTGAGAGAGGAACTGTAGTTGGCGACTTTGTTTGTTCAAAGACATGGAATCAGGCACTCAAAAGTGCCCTCGATAATGCTGGAGTTTGCAAGAGAGGACACAAAATGGAAAAGTCAAGAATGTTAATGGCTAAGGCAGATGAACAGGTTATTCACTTTCTTTTTGAACTCTGTGCCTACCCACCTTCTGGGGATTATATTCTCCATCCTGAGAAAGCAAATTGGCCATGCTTTATAGCCCAAATACTGGCTGGCAGTCTCATTTGAGGAATTTGTTTGTCTTGCTGTCAAGCTTGCGTTCTGAGCTAAATAGGCCAGAAAGGGTGAAGAATACTGTAGAAACACAGGCTAAACCCAGGGTGAAATTATTACAATGTAAAATATCCCTTTTAAGAAAGGGGCAAATTCTAAAAATTCTGTTCTGGATTTCTGGAATTACAGATCAATGATAAAGGGTGACTGATTCATGATGTGACAAGTTAGCACCCAGCTTCTCCCAATAAATGCCATCCAGACCTTCTTTTTGTGGCGGGGGGTGGGGGGGGGGAAGGCTTTTTCCCCCTTCATACATAATACTTACAATAAAATTATTTAGACATTCAAATACCAGAACTTTTGTGGCTTAATACCAACTGCTTTTTTTAGTTAATAAAAACTATCATTTACAGAATATTTACTATGTGCCAGGAATTACACTGAATTAGGACTTTACATAAATGATCGAATTGAATCTTCATAATCCTATGAAAAAGTAATATCTGTCAGGCCTCTGAGCCCAAGCCAAGCCATCGCATCCCTTGTGACTTGCACGTATACATCCAGATGGCCTAAAGTAACTGAAGATCCACAAAAGAAGTAAAAACAGCCTTAACTGATGACATCCCACCATTGTGATTTGTTCCTGCCCTACCCTAACTGATCAATGTACTTTGTAATCTCCCCCACCCTTAAGAAGGTACTTTGTAATCTCCCCCACCCTTAAGAAGGTTCTTTGTAATTCTCCCCACCCTTGAGAATGTACTTTGTGAGATCCACCCCTGTCCACAAAACATTGCTCTTAACTTCACCGCCCATCCCAAAACCTGTAAGAACTAATGATAATCCATCTCCCTTCGCTGACTCTCTTTTCGGACTCAGCCCACCTGCACCCAGGTGAAATAAACAGCTTTATTGCTCACACAAAGCCTGTTTGGTGGTCTCCTCACATGGACGCGCATGAAACTATCCCTGTTTTACAGATGAGAAAACCGAAGCACGAAGAGGATTAGTAATGTGGCTAAAATGGTGCAGCCAAAGTGTGGCAGAGCTAGGACCCAAACCTAGGGATCTGAGCCAAAGGCTCAGGTTTTGACCTCTTAGCGCCTTAAGGCTCACTGATTGAAGTGTGAACTCTGCAGTGAGTTTCTGTTATTCCATACCTCACTCTGTCTCTGGGCTCCAACTCTACTTCTTTTATTCAGAATTTTAGGTTCTTTATTTAGGAGCCTGTAGAGTTCAGGCAACTTGAATCTGAGCATGTCTTCCTTGCAGTGAGAATTCCCCAGTTCCCACATACCAGGAGCACAAACCTGACTTTGTACTTCCTGTGCCTTCTACATGTCTTTGTTTCCGTTCAGGCCAGCACCAATTAACTGGATTAATTAAGCATAATACAAACTAGACGAGCTGAAGCTCAAAGTAAATTAATGAAGAGCCTATTCTATCAATCTAGGCAAATATTGGAAAAGTACTTATGGGCCTTGTTCTCTCAAATGAGGACTGAGGTCTGGGTGCTAAACAAAGCTCAGGTCCCATAAAATCCCTAGGTGTAACTTTTCCCATTAGTATTCTCACTGATTTAGAATGGTTGTTATTCCAGCCTCACCCCCACCTCTTCTCTCCAGCCCTTAGCAATTTATTTTCCTTTTTAAAGATTTTCTTTTTAACAATCTCCACACTGGCTTTTACCACCAAATGAAAGGAAACTTTTTTCTTGGAACTTTGTTGCTTTTTCAAAATATAGCCCTGAAAGTCTGATACTCGAATCTTATGTTTCTAGTATATTAACTAGATCCTTCCTATGCCATAATTGTGGCCAGGTGCCTGGATTGGGAAGAGGACTGAGAAAGGCACTTACCTATAAGGTTAAGATTACAGGCCCATCAACAGGGTAGTGGCTAAACAAACTGTAGTTTTATATGATAAATATAATAGCATAGTTAAAAATGAGACATAAAGTAAGTTCTAACATGGTGCAGCAAAAATACACAGTGTATTTTTTTACTTCATTTATGTAAGGGGCAATCACCAAGCAATACCATATATATATCTTTTCCCTGTGGGTACACACACATGGGTGTACGTGAATATAACAACATTTGAAAGATGCATTCAAATCCATACCGATACCCCCAGGAGGAAGAGAACATGAAGCTACTAAGAATGTGCAAGAATAAGCAAAACAGAATTTAAGCCTTATACATGTTGTTTTAATGTGAAAAGGAAAATGTATTCATGTATTTCTTATATCATTAAAAAAATAATTTTAAAAAAGGTAAAATAACTTCAGCTTTAGAGAAGGTCACTGCAGCCCCCAAATAGGATACTTCTACTTATTTCTTGGTACATCATAAAATCCCTTACAGCCTTTATATAATTAAAATCAGAATCCAAATGTAAGTGTCTCTAGACTACGTGACAAGGAGAGCTCACCTCCTGGTAGAATGTAAATGAGTGACAGTGTTTCCTTGAGATGAAGTTTTGTTTGGGAGATGTTAGGGCTGCAGGCTCAGAGCTGAGGAAGCCTCAGTTTTGCTGGGGATGTGATACTCTTAGCTAGTTTTGTAAGTTCACCTGGGGATTGCCCTAGTTAAGGGCTCAATCTCTGAGGGGAATTTTTTTTAGTTTTAGAATTTTTTTTTTTTTTTTAAACAGAGTCTTGCTCTGTTGCCCAGGCTGGAGTGCAATGGTGTGATCTCGGCTCACCGCAACCTCCGCCTCCCCGGTTCAAGTGATTCTCCTGCCTCAGTTTCCCGAGTAGCTGGGATTACAGGTGCCTTCACCACGCCTGGCTAATTTTTGTGTTTTTATTAGAGACAGGGTTTCACCATGCTGGCCAGGCTGGTCTCGAACTCCCGACCTCAGGTGATCTGCCCGCCTCGGCCTCCCTAAGTGCTGGGATTACAGGCGTGAGCCACCGCGCCCGGCCCAGTTTTAAATTTTTTTTTTGGCTGGCATCTACATCCAGCACCCTGTCCACACAGCTTACCTCTGTGGTAAGTTTTTAGAGTACAGACAGTTCAGACACTTCTTGGGAAGCCAAAGCAAAACAAAACATCAAGCCAAGAAACAACCCCACTGCAGCGGTGAGAATATGTCTCATTATTGACTTTAACAATTTGTGAATTCTTAGGACCAAGAACATAAGTCATTGCAGTTGAAAATCGAAACCTGCTGTGGCTTGCATTTAGCACCCAGGCTGCCAAAGGACCAGGCCTGTGGGGATTCCCTGTGAAAATGATGTGGCCTGAAGCACGTAGCTCCGCGTGCTCCCTGCTCCGTGTGCTTAAGTGCCTCTGGGCTGGGCTGGCCTGCCGTGGCCATACCACCTGTAGGGGATTTTCTTACGAAATCTAAGCTGTGGGAAATGGGAAATTGCGTAAAAATCTGGGTTGGGTGATTTAAAAAAAAAGCAGGGGCTGGGCATAGGCAGTAATATAAGGCAAGATGGCTAAGGAAGAAGGTGGGCAGCGGAGCCGGTGAAGGAAGCCGCAGGCGCGGATGGAGGCGAAGAGATCAGGAGCAGTAAAGGAACACTCTCTTCCCCAGTCAGCTGGGATACGGATTTTGTAAGGCCTAGGGACTTTGTCTTTGGAGGTCCTGTCTCCATAAGGTAACATTAAAAATGAAAGTTTACGAGTGTGCTGCTATAAAGACAAACTTATGATGTTCTATATTAAAATACACCTAAGAATTCTTTTTTATTTTCTGCTAATCTTAAAGAAATTAGAAGATTTTTGTGGAGCTCCCCTTTTCTGCAAAGGATCGTGGGTCCTAGGCACTATCGTACTGCATCTAATGGAGAAGTCACCCTTGTCCCCAAAAGAATGGCATCTTGTTTGTTTCCTCCTATAAATAAATTTATCCCTGATTTCCAAGAACTCATAACCTAGATCATCTCTGATTTCACATTTCCTGCTGCTCTTATAGCTGCCCCCTGCTCAGGAAGATAAATAAATAAATAAATAAGACATAGGACAATTTCTAAATCAGAGTTTAATGGTCTTTGAATCTTAAAGGATTTATCAAGATAAGGTAGGAAATCAACTACCTTTTATGAGTAACTGCTATGTGCTGGTGTCATTTAATTTACGTAAGTTCCTATGAGTTAGAAATTGTCTCTCTTTTAAAGGGCCTTTCACAAAGGACCTAGGTATGTTGGTAACATGCTTGAAGTCATTCAACCAGAGAGGGTTAGAGCTGAGTCTGGAGCTCAGCCTGTCTGTCACCTCTGCTACACTTGCTGCTCCCTTTGCTTAGAACATTCTCCCCTGTTCCCCCCCTCCCCACCCCGCACCCCTACTTCCTTGTTATGACTGTGGCTGACATAAATAAATAAGACACAGGTCCATTTTAAAATCAGTTTAATGGCGTTTGAATTTCGAAGTGTTTATAAAGATAAGATAGAAAATCAGGGCTTTCCTTCAAGGCTGTTTGTGGCAAGCACCCTCAGATGGCAACCACTAGGTCATTCTCCATCATATCACACCACAGTGGTGCCCAACATTGCCTTTACAGCCATCTGGCATTCCTTGTTTATTTCTCTCTTATCTATGTGTTTATACTGTGTTTCAGTTTGTCTGTTTCTCCCCATTTCTAACCCCAGACTCAAGTGTATGGACCCCATGACAGCAAGGGTCTTTCCTTCCTGCTTTACTGCATGCCTGGCACACAGCCCGTGTTCAATAAGCATTTGTTGACTGAATGACTCAGAATCCAAAGCCTGTATGCACTGTAGGGGAAGAAAAATATATTTTTCTCATCCATCACTAGGTTCATGGATGAGGCCCCTGTAACAAAAGATAAATTAATGAGTGGAAAACATATACACACTTAGTTATTGGAAGTTTAACATGACACAGGAGTCTTTAAAGGAAATGAAGGCCTGAAGAAATGAGAAAGCTGGTGTATTTTTATGGTAGATTTTTGATGAAGAAGTGGATAGTTATGAAGAAGTATGATTGGGTAAAAAAAAAGTATGATTTAATGGTAATAAACTGTGTGTGGGAGGGTACTTAGCATGGACTGTTTGTTCAGATTCTTCTCTGTGACCCTTTTTCTTCAGAAATAAGGATGTTCTTTCCTACCAGTATTGGGAGGGCACAGTTCACATGAGGGTCTTGTGATCTCCTTCAGAGGAGGGTCAGAAAATTCTTCCTAGGTTTTAGGACCTGCTTTAGGGGAGAAGAGCAGGAGAAGGCGAGGGTGACCTTCCTGCTTCTGCTGTTTTCTCAAATGCCAAGGTGCCGTACTTTGGGGCAGCTTGTCCTGAACTCCATCAGCACATTAGCACATTATTACCACTGTGCACTGCTTCTCTGGATGGCTTGCTTTCTTTCTTCTTCTTTTTTTTTAATTTAAATTTTCTTTACTTAAAACGCAGCCAATTTTAAATTGAGATAATGTGACTCAATGAACAGGAAGCACAGGCTCAAAGTTCACAAGCTACATGAATTTGAAGAAATTGCTTAACCTCCTTATGGTTCGATTTCTTAAAATAAAACAAGGATGACAGAACAATGCCTCCCAGTCTAAATATAAGAGATAATAGAAAAACAAAACGTACCCTTATGGTGTACAAATAATAACATTAATCGAGGTTAACACAGCACAGTCAGTGTTGCTGTCATGGAATACTACAGGAGATTGCTCACCACCAGCATTATTACATAAGAAGTATTACAGTAAGCAGTGAGCTCAGAGATTGTCTATTACGAGATACTTTTTGGAGAGAGCATTGAAAAGGCAGATAGAAACAATGACTCAGCCAGTATTACTCATCTCTGAAGCAAAGAGCTGTGGGCTCCCGGTGTTGGGTTTGCATCCAGTGTTGACATCACTAAATGCTGCAGGAGGACTCCTGTGGTCTGAGTCCTGTTCATTTAGGAGATAAGACTCTCCAAAGAACTGGGTAATTTGCTGCGAGGACAAAAAAACCAAACACCGCATGTTCTCACTCATAGGTGGGAGTTGAACAATGAGAACACTTGGACAGAGGAGGGGAACATCACACACCGGGGCCGTTGTGGGGTCGGGGGAGTGGGGAGGGATAGCATTAGGAGATATACCTAATGTAAATGAGAAGTTAATGGGTGCAGCACACCAACATGGCACATGTATACATATGTAACAAACCTGCACGTTGTGCACATGTACCCTAGAACTTGAAGTATATATAAAAAAAAAAGAATTGGGTAATATGGGGGGCTTCTCTAGTTCTGCTGTATAACTTAACCAAGTCTGATAGCCAGACACCAGAATTTGTACTACAAAATTTTTTTCGGTGCCAAAAGGATGATATGAGAACAAGAGTCTAGGCTGACACTTCTGTCCACAGGCTTTTTCTTTAAAGTTGGAACTCTTTTGGCCAGGGCCAGTGGCTCATGCCTGTAATCCCAGCAGTTTGGGAGGCTGAGGCGGGTGGATCACAAGGTCAGGAGTTTGAGACCAGCCTGGCCAATATGGTGAAACCCTGTCTCTACTAAAAATACAAAAAAAAAAAAAAAAAAAAAAAAAAAAAAATTAGCTGGGCGTGGCCGGGGGCAGTGGCTCACACCTGTAATTCCAGCACTTTGGGAGGCCAAGGTGGGCGGATCACCTGAGGTCGGGAGTTCGAAACCAGCCTGACCAACATGGAAAAACCCTGTCTCTACTAAAAATACAAAATTAGCCAGGCATGGTGGCACATGCCTGTAATCCCAGCTACTCGAGAGGCTGAGACAGGAGAATCACTTCAACCCAGGAGGCGGAGGTTGTGGTGAGCTAAGATCGTGCCATGGCACTCCAGCCTGGGCAACAAGAGCAAAACTCTGTCTCAAAAAAAAAAAAAAAAAAAAAAAAAATTAGCTGGCCGTGGTGGTAGGCGCCTGTAGTCCTAGCTACTCAGGAGGCTGAGGCAGGAGAATTGCTTGAACCTGGGAGGTGGAGGTTGCAGTGAGCTAAGATCACGCTACTGCACTCCAGCCTGGGCCACAGAGCAAGACTCCATCTCAAAAAAAAAAAAAAGTTGAAACACTTTTCTGCATGGCTGAGGAGTTCCATGGTGTCCTGACAATGATCCTCTCACAATAGTAACCAGGGTCCAAGGCTGGGCATGTTGACGCTGAGTGCCTAATGGATGCTAAATTCTTACTTGCATAATCAGTTCTCTCCCAAGGTCCAAATCATTATTTTGCAGAGCACTTTGGAACAAATAGGGGCTAATTCTGCTCCAGGGTAACAGTGGCTGATAAATATTTCAGACTGTCCTTTCATCTTGTTTCATAGGGACTTACATGTGTAACTCCTTTGCAATCTTACCAGAGTATACTCAGAGCAGGTATTTTCTAATGAAAAAAATATGCATCTATGTATATCTGGCTCTTCAAAAATAACAGTTCGTAATTGCTGTCTTCAAAGAAGTCAGTCAACATTAGCCAGACAGTAATGTTCATCTCTGAAAGACTACAGAACATGCTGGGGAGGATGAGTGGCTCCTCTTCATTGTTAGATTGGACAGCCCTCCTGACAATGGTCTGGTCCTCCTGTGCTTACCTTGGTCATGGCATAGCCCACACTTCTTATTTTATAAGAGAAGGCTTGTGAAATTGCCTGCATCCGTGGGAATCCCAGTGTTCGTGACTGTATTATCCTTAAGCTTCAGCTTTTTTATTCAGAGTAGTTAGGGCATCAACACACTTGGGAATCCCTGGTATATATTTTGCATAAGAAGTCTTGTATTTTATTAATTAATTCATCATAAGAAAATGTGCTTTGGTGACTGATTTTTTGGGAGGAAATTCAATGTCTCATTAGGGATCATCACTGCAGCTTAATGCAATTATGTATGTCAAACCTAATGACATTTGACATTGTGGCAAGAGAGACTCTCTAAATGGGATGCGACTTAAGAAGATGACAAACCTAGGATTGTTTGTTTCATTTTTTTCCCCTCAAACATAAATTCAGGTTGATTAGACTTTGGGGCTTGCTGTATCTCCTTAGTAGATGACCTAAAATCACAGTTCACTAAGTTCTTTTGTTTAAGGTTATGACTTAATGGTGAAAAAACAAACAAACAAACAAAAAAAACACCTTGGTCCTAAATCATGTCTTTCTCTATTTAGTTGCCTAACAGATGTAGAAAAGTAATATCTTAAGCAAAATCATGTGGCACATTAAGTTTGACCTAAAAATCAGTCCAGTTTCAGGGAACAAGCCGACTTTTATAAACATTTCAAGAAATAGCAAATGACTGGGTTCCACTAAAGGTATACCATTACTTAAAAGTTCCCCCTTCACTCAAAAGAGACCTTACGAATTATTTCATAATTTCACTGAATATTTGCTAGTCTATCCTTTACATCAATGCCTTTACTTACCTCTTAGCAGATATTTAGGCTTCACCTATTTCACTTTTCCTGTGGTTATCACTTAGGTCGAAAGGTTTGCTATGGCTAAAGGCTAACCAAGGACCAGGGTAAAGAAGAATGATGTCAAAATTCAAGAAGTGTTTGACTGGTGATATGGCAGAGTGACTTTGATTTAAAGCCAGACTGTAATTGATTTGCTTCATGATCTTGGGAAAAAATCATTTACTCGGAATCTTCAGTATTATCTTATGTCAAGCAACTGTGAATCACACTTTCTCTCTCTGTAGAGTACACAGTGCCCAGTACAAAGCCCTGCATAGAGCAGGGGTCCAAGTCCATATGACTATGATACTAAATCTATTTCTTTTTTTTTTTTGAGACAGAGTCTCTGTCATCCAGGCTGAAGTGCTGTGGTGCAATCTTGGCTCACCGCAACCTCCGCCTCTCAGGTTTAAGTGATTCTCCTGTCTCAGCCTCCTGAGTAGCTGGGACAGCAGGTGCGTGCGACCACGCCTGGCTAATTTTTTGTATTTTTAGTAGAGACGGGGTTTCAACGTGTAAGCCAGGATGGTCTCCATCTCCTGACCTCGTGATCTGCCCACCTCAGCCTCCCAAGGTGCTGGGATTACAGGCGTGAGGCACCGCACCTGGCCATTTGATACTAATTCTTAAAATTAAGTATTATTCTGTGCTTCAGGCAATCATTTAGCTTTATTTCTCAGCATTAATGAGAGTAGGCCAGGAGCGGTGGCTCACTCCTGTAATCCTAGCACTTTGGAAGGGCAAGGCAGGAGGATCACTTGGGCCCAAGAGTTCAAGACCAGCCTGGGCAACACAGTGAGACCCCATCTCTACAAAAAATTAGCTGGGCATGGTGGCATGTGCCTGTAGTCCCAGCTATAGGTGGCTGAAATGGTAGGATCACTTGAGCCCAGGAGGTCAAGGCTGCAGTAAGCCATAATTGCACCACTGCACTCCAGCCCAAGTGACAGAGTGAGACCTTGTCTCAAAAAAACAAAAAAAACAGAGTAAACATATTTTCTGAAGTAGATAGATCTAACTTAGGACACTAGGTTGGGAAAAATTTGGGCACTTTTGGTTAACCAAGTGAATTTTAAATATAATAAGAAAGACCACACCTTCAGCACTTTTAGAAATGTTGTCGTAAAGCAGTAAAGATTCCTTTGCAAATGAATTAACACGATTTTTCATGTCCACATGTATTTTCATTAATTATGCTTGCTTAAAATAGCGTACATGCATGTAAACTAACATCTTATATTCACCCATTTAAAATTCACTGGGAAGGCCGGGCACAGTGGCTCACGCTTGTAATCCCAGCACTTTAGGAGGCCGAGGCAGGTGGATCACGAGGTCAGGAGTTCGAGACCAGCCTGGCTAACGCGGTGAAACCCTGTCTCTAGTAAAAAATACAAAAATTAGCTGGGCGTGGTGGTGCACACCTCTAGTCCCAGCTACTTGGGAGGCTAAGGCAGGAGAATCGCTTGAACCCGGGAGGCAGAGGTTGCAGTGAGCCAAGATCGTGCCACTGCACTCCAGCCTGGGCAACAGAGCAAGACTCCATCTCAAAAAAAAAAAAATTCACCTAGAGATGTCTGCTGAACATGGAGAAACAAAATAAAACAAAACAGGATATGTCTGACTCAGAAGTTTACTTCCCTGAGATGCCAAGAAAGAAACCCACCTACTTGCCACCCTTTCTAATTTGCATCTCCTTTGTTTCATAGTAGATCAGATTTACCTTAGAAAAAGCCCTTGATGGTAACCAAGCAGAGGCCTTAATGTTCCTGACAAATGTGCTGTAGCATCAGGTACTCAGTGGCTGTGAATGTTTTTGTGAAACCTGCTGTGCACCAACGTTTTTAGCTCTCCAGGAACCAGTAGCTCCTATGCTGACTGTCTGCTCTAGCTTAAAGCCAGATTCCCTCTTCAGGTACAGAGGGGCTGCAGAACATGGCTTTGCTGAAGACACACCTTGGACCTGGAGGTTTATCTCTGAAGGGCTGGATTCTCTTATTGCGTTCTTCAAAAAAAGAGGAAAGCTCTTTTGCTTATAAGATACTATTATTTTAACAAAAACGTTAGGGTTTGCCTAGACTGAAGACCTCTGTGAAAACCTAGCTTTTAAGAAAATACCATAAAACATTTTTTAATGCCACTTTAGCGTGAGAGGGTCCTCTTCAATGTGTGTGGCCAAACTGAGCCCGAAGTACTTTTCCTCCTAGCTCTAAAATGGGGCATATGGAAGTGATTGTCAGGAGAAGGCAGCTGCTGCAGACACAGGGTGAAGATTTCGCAGCAACACCCAAAGCCGGTTCTGGAAGCCGTGGAACAATGTAAGTTCTGTTGTCCAGGAATGCGTTCTCAACACAGCGGTTTCCTGAATGCCCCAAGAGAGTGGGGCAGTGAGAGGCTGAAGGCCAGACAGCAGGGTTACCTTTCCTGTTCTGTGCAGACAAGATTCATTACTCCCTAGTGATGTTTTAAGTGAATGTATAGCATTCATTCATAGACAATGTCTAGTTAGGTAATGTTAGCATGAAGGGTAAATTCTAAATGTGAAGGAATATACACATGACTTTGACTAATCAACATACTATCCCTGGAAAACATGTTGGAACTGCAAAAACAAAACAAAACAGAAAAATAGAGTGAAGTGATTCAGAGGTTGTGAAACCCTAAATTTTTAATTAAAATTGCACAATGCAGTTCTATCGTGAGCACAAACTGGATTGAACGCCTCCTACATCAAAATCATTCTCAAATGTTTGAAGTCTGAATAACTAGTAACAAGATAAAGATGGACAACTAGACTCTTTGGATTAAATGACAAAGTTACCAACTCACCCTACTGTTCTTTTTATTTTTTTTACTTTTAGAATGTTTTGGGTACTGGGCAGACATGTCTGAACTCAGATCATCTACTTGGCTATGCTAATGTTTATTTTTCTCTTCCAAATTATCCCTCCAGCTAAAACTGTACTGGGTCCTAGACAGGGGAAAATGGCTGCTCCCGAGACCTCTCTGGAGAGCTGAATTTGCAGATGGAATCTATTAGTTGCATTTCTAAGCTTGAAAGATCATCTTCCTTTTACCTTGAAGGTAAAACTTTCCTCTCTAATAACCCAGAGTGATTTTCTTATCTGCAATTTAGATTACTGAGGCCATCTGGGGACATTTGCAAAGACTGCTGTGTTATTTTGGAAATAGGTGTCTGGCTGTACATCTGAGTACTCCTTCCCCAACTTTATGGACCATATTTTCCAAGTCCAATTTTAAAACATGGAGTGGGTTAACCCCAGCATAAAGCAGAGACAGACAATCGCTAAAAAGATGCTTTCATTTAGCCACTGATTTTAGTGTGCAATTTAAAATGGAAGGTCTTTAGAAGTATTTTAGGTTGAAGAATAAAAACAGACACACCAGAGGGAGATTTGCCAACCATATACATACACAGGCGTTAAGCCCCCTATACATAAACCAAATATAAATGGAAAGACAATGAGTGAACTGCACATATAAACAGACAAAGCCCCAGTGGATAAGTCATAAAGATCTGACAGCAAGGACCATACGTCTTTAAAACTCTCAGCTTTTCTACTCAAGTAATGTGTTATTTGTCCCAGGTTTGCAGTTCACTCATTCCACTCAACATCTTCCTTGGCACTGTTCAGTTGTCTGCTGTCTACACGTTTGGGCTCTTGGCAAATGTAGATGCTCTCAACGAGAACAGCTTCTGAGTGTTATTCAGACTCCTGATGGGCCTCAGATTGTATAAAACCAGGATTTGTAGCTCTTTAGGGATGTAACTCTGTTTGAAGCAAAATATCTTCTCACTTCTTTCCAGTACTTACATGTGGGGAGCTAATCCCAGAGCAGGAAGAGAAGGTAAGCAGTTTTTTTCTTATAACAACAGCTTACAAGTTTTTCCCAGAGGTTTGGGAAGTAGGTGAGCAAACATTAGAAAGCTGATGGATGGCCTCTGATCATCTACTTGAACAAATCCTGAGCTGTGTTTTTCCAGTATAAAACAGTGTCAAACAAATACAAGTTAGGGCTGTTACAAACCATTTTTTTAGTGTCAAATAAAATGACATATGTGAAACCATTGTAAAACCGTAAATCATTGTGCAAAATTATTATAGCTAGGGTGGAGGGAGAAACTATCCAAATTGACTTGAGAAGTCACTATTTCAGGGTGATTGAAAGTTAGAAACCACTTAGGTTCTTAGAAGATGTGTTTCCATAACACTGAGCAAATCTTCAGTCTTCACTTAACAATCTGGTCACATAATGCCTGGATTTATTCAATTTGGGTAAATATATGTTAAAATATCATTCCACCACTGTAATCTGTGGAATTGTTACCCTTCCCACCTGGTCTTGGAAGGCAGTACTACTTTGAATAGTGCTTATACCTTGAGCTCCTACTCCAGTTTTTCAGACTTTTTTGGTGTGCAAGGGTTACACTGTGACAAGTGTATTATTGGTTTGCATGGAAGGGCTGAGAGTTTAGCAAGGGTCTGTGAACAGTAAGGCCAGTGAATGTTAGGGCAACTCCCAGTACAGCTGGCCATTCGGTGGCCTTGCTGTGAGTGATCACCGCACAAGCCTTCTGAAGTGGTAGCTATTTACAAGAAGAAGGTGAAATATTCTGCCGTAACAAGGACAAGCAACAGCACAATACTTTACAAAAAGGTCGGAAGGCAGGGCACTTTACCTTGCATGGAATTATTCAGGAGGCTCAATAGCTTTGTATAGCAACGGAAGGCTTATTGACAGGAGTTAAAGGCTTCCGGAAGAGGGGACTAATTCTCTGGGACAGCCACACACACAAAGTCATTAACCCCCTGCAGGAAAGTGTGAAATTGTCCTGTATTGGAGGCTGGGTTAACTTGTGTGGCCCTATTGTGGCCATTTCCCCTCCTTGTACAGTAGAGAATCTATCTCCTTCTTCTTTCCATATAATTAGTGAGTTTGGTGCCCCAAATCACCAAAGCAGTTGAGGTCCCAGCATTTTCTTCATTACCATGTGGGCCTCTTACCCCCTCCCTGCATAGTTGCATAGTTAGTGGTTGTGAGAACCAGTCTCCATTCTCTGCTAGTGTGGAAGGAAATGTGGGCTCTTTTTATCCCCTCCACTCTTCCTCACCCAGGGTGGAGGAGAAGAAGTCACATTTCTCCATTGTTCCAAAAGAGAAACTCTCCTATTTAATTGGGTCAATTTTAATTTAATACAGAAAAATGACAGGAGTGTTTCCCAAATAACTTGTTTGTAACTGCTTAGGTCATTCTAACAGTATAACTTTGGACAAATTCCTATGAACACTACAGAGGAAAAAAAAAGAATTCCTAGCTGAGAGGTGTTGATGGAATGACCAAAAAACTCTACTGTCTGATTAGCAGATCAAGTGCTTTGGGTTGTCTGGGTAAATATTTAGAATAAAGGAAAAAATCAAGGACTTAAGACATACAGATGTGAATTTAGTTGGTAGCCCTGGTGCCTTCTTAGCAGAGAAATATCAAGCAATTAATTTGCTTATCCTTGTTGAGCTCTGGTTTCTCTACTTGTAAAATGAGATGAATAATGCTAACCTAATAGAAAAAAACAGAAACAGCCCTCATACTACGAATAGGGGAGTGGTTAAATAAATTAGAGTATATCTGCAGTATGGTGTATTACACAAACTTTTAAGATAGGTAGAGGCATATGTGCTGATGTGGAGAAACATATAAAAATATTAAGTGGATAAAAGCAAGATGTAGAACAATATGTATATCAGATTTCCTTTGGTGTAATAAGTAAAAGAATTTTACATCAGGAGATATGCATCCCCATATGTGCTTAATAATGAGGGGGATAGGAATTATAAAAAACAGTTAGAAGTTAACTTGAGGGAGAGGAATGGAAAGTTGGGCAGGAGGAGGGAAGTTAACATTTTTAATTTATATTTTTCTCTGTTATTTAGGTTTCCTAGCCAGGTCTGTATGTTACTTTTATTTTTAAAATGTCCACATAGTTTATTTGCCTAGTAAGATTATGAACCTTTTTTATATTTTTATAGATTAAAAAGTAAAAACCTTTGAAATTAGTATGGGAATTAAATTAAGGAATATGTGTGAAGTGCCTAGAATAGAATGGGCATAGTCAACATTAGTGCAAATAAAATGAAGAAAAATACCTAAATAGTTTTTAACCTCCAACTTCTTTTTTTGAAACTATATTTTATGCATGAACGATTATCTTTATTATCCCATTTATTATTTTTATTGCTAATTTTTAGAAACTGTTTACTACCTGTTTCTCTGTCATTTTTGGCTTATGGTTATGACTGTCCTGGATGTGGTGAAAGATCACTAGATTGGTAGTAGAACCGGATTTGCCAATAATTACTGTAATTTGTGGCAAGCAGGTCATTTGATCTTTCTGAGCTTTTGTTCCCTCAACTATTTAGCAAGTCATCTGGACGATCTCTAAGGTCTCTCTAAACTCTAAATTTTCATATCCATTTGCCACTGAATTTGGTGCAGCTGAAACCAAGAGTTTGAATTAGTAGGCCGTCAGAGAGTTTGTAGCAGGACAAGCAGGACAAGCTGCAGACAAAACTACTCAGACACCGAGTTAAAGAAGGAAGGGGTTTATTCGGCCGGGGGCATCGGCAAGACTCCTGTCTGAAGAGCCGAGCCCCCGAATGAGCAATTCCTGTCCCTTTTAAGGGCTCACAACTCTAAGGGGGTATGCGTGAGAGGGTCGTGATCGATTGAGCAAGCAGGGGTTACGTGACTAGGGGCTGCATGTACTGGTAATTAGATCGGAACAAAAAAGGATAGGGATTTTCACAGTGCTTTTCTATACAATGTCTGTAATCTATAGATAACATAACCGATTAGGTCAGGGGTGGATCTTTAACTACCAGGCCCAGGGTGTGGCGCCGGGCTGTCTGCTTGTGGATTTCATTTCTGCCTTTTAGTTTTTACTTTTTCTTTCTTTGGAGGCAGAAATTGGGCATAAGACAATGTGAGGTGTGGTCTCCTCCCTTAAGTTCAAAGATAAAAGAGAAAAGGAATATCATAAAGAAAAGTTTGAAGTTAGGAAATAGTTATCTAAAACCAACCCAATCTGTTACAATAGA